>NC_000018.10:19347598-19651058 GCF_000001405.40 Homo sapiens
AGCGTTCTGAGAAACTGCTTTCTGATGTTTGCATTCAAGTCAAAAGTTGAACACTCCCTTTCATAGAGCAGTCTTGAAACACCCGTTTTGTAGTATCTGGAACTGGACTTTTGGAGCGATTTCAGGGCTAAGGTGAAAAAGGAAATATCTTCCCATAAAAACTGGACAGAAGCATTCTCAGAAACTTGTTTATGCTGTATCTACTCAACTAACAAAGTTGAACATTTCTTTTGATAGAGCAGTTTTGAAATGCTCTTTTTGTGGAATCTGCAAGTGGATATTTGGCTAGTTTTGAGGATTTCATTGGAAGCGGGAATTCATACAAATTGCAGACTGCAGCGTTCTGAGAAACATCTTTGTGATGTTTGTATTCAGGACAGAGAGTTGAACATTCCCTATCATAGAGCAGGTTGGAATCACTCCTTTTGTAGTATCTGGAAGTGGACATTTGGAGCGGTTTCAGGCCTATGTTGAAAAAGGAAATATCTTCCCATAACAACTAGACACAAGCATTCTCAGAAACTTGTTTGTGATGTGTGCCCTCTACTGACAGAGTTGAACCTTTCTTTTCATAGAGCAGTTTTGAAACACTCTTTTTGTAGAATCTGCAAGAGGATATTTGCATAGCTTTGAGGATTACGTGGGAAACGGGATTGTCTTCAGGTAAAATCTAGACAGAAGCATTCTCAGAAACTTCTTTGGGATGTTTGCATTCAAGTCACAGAGTAGAACATTCCCTTTGGTAGAGCAGGTTTGAAACACTCTTTTTGTAGTATCTGGAAGTGGACATTTGGAGCGCTTTCAGGCCCATGTTGGAAAGGGAAATATCTTCCCGTAACAACTAGGCAGAAGCATTCTCAGAAACTTATTTGAGATGTGTGGACTCAACTAAGAGAATTGAACCACCGTTTTGAAGGAGCAGTTTTGAAACCCTCTTTTTCTGGAATCTGCAAGAGTATATTTGCCTAGCCTTGAGGATTTCGTTGGAAACGGGATTGTCTTCAGATAAAATCTAGACAGAAGCATTCTCAGAAACTTCTTTGGGATGTTTGCATTCAAGTCTCAGAGTAGAACATTCCCTTTGGTAGAGCAGGTTTGAAACGCTCTTTTTTTAGTATATGGAAGTGGACATTTGGAGCGCTTTCAGGCCTACGTTGGAAAAGGAAATCTCTTCCCATAACTAGACAGAAGCATTCTCAGAAACTAGTTTCTGATGTGTGTCCTCAACTAACACAGTTGAACATTTCTTTAGACAGAACAGTTTTGAAACACTCTTTTTGTGGAATCTGCAAGTGGCTATTTGGCTAGATTTGAGGATTTCGTTGGAAACGGGATTACATATAAAAAGCAGTCAGCAGCATTCTCAGAAAGTTCTTTGTGATGATTGCATTCAAGTCACAGAATTGAACATTCCCTTTCACAGAGCAGGTTTGAAACACTCTTTTTGTAGTGTGTGTAAGTGGACATTTGGAGCACTTACCGGCCTAAGGTGAAAAAGGAAATATCTTCCCATAAAAACTAGACAGAAGCATTCTCAGAAACTTACTCGTGATGTGTGTCCTCAACTAAAGGAGTAGAACCTTTCTTTTCATAGAGAAGTTTTGAAACGCTCTTTTTGTGGAATCTGCAAGTGGATATTTGGCTAGTTTTGAGGATTTCGTTGGAAGCGGGAATTCATACAAATTGCAGACTGCAGCGTTCTGAGAAACATCTTTGTGATGTTTGTATTCAGGACACAGAGTTGAACATTCCCTATCATAGAGCAGGTTTGAATCACTCCTTTTGTAGTATCTGGAAGTGGACATTTGGAGCGCTTTCAGGCCTATGTTGGAAAAGGAAATATCTTCCCATAACAACTAGACAGAAGCATTCTCAGAAACTTATTTGAGATGTGTGTACTCAACTAAGAGAATTGAACCACCGTTTTGAAGGAGCAGTTTTGAAACTCTCTTTTTCTGGAATCTGCAAGTGGATATTTGGCTAGCTTTGGGGATTTCGCTGGAAGCGGGAATACATATAAAAAGCACACAGCAGCGTTCTGAGAAACTGCTTTCTGATGTTTGCATTCAAGTCAAAAGTTGAACACTCCCTTTCATAGAGCAGTCTTGAAACACCCCTTTTGTAGTATCTGGAACTGGACTTTTGGAGCGATTTCAGGGCTAAGGTGAAAAAGGAAATATCTTCCCATAAAAACTGGACAGAAGCATTCTCAGAAACTTGTTTATGCTGTATCTACTCAACTAACAAAGTTGAACCTTTCTTTTGATAGAGCAGTTTTGAAATGGTCTTTTTGTGGAATCTGCAAGTGGATATTTGGCTAGTTTTGAGGATTTCGTTGGAAGCGGGAATTCATACAAATTGCAGACTGCAGCGTTCTGAGAAACATCTTTGTGATGTTTGTATTCAGGACACAGAGTTGAACATTCCCTATCATAGAGCAGGTTGGAATCACTCCTTTTGTAGTATCTGGAAGTGGACATTTGGAGCGCTTTCAGGCCTATGTTGGAAAAGGAAATATCTTCCCATAAACAACTAGACAGAAGCATTCTCAGAAACTTATTTGAGATGTGTGTACTCAACTAAGAGAATTGAACCACCGTTTTGAAGGAGCAGTTTTGAAACTCTCTTTTTCTGGAATCTGCAAGTGGATATTTGGCTAGCTTTGGGGATTTCGCTGGAAGCGGGAATACATATAAAAAGCACACAGCAGCGTTCTGAGAAACTGCTTTCTGATGTTTGCATTCAAGTCAAAAGTTGAACACTCCCTTTCATAGAGCAGTCTTGAAACACCCCTTTTGTAGTATCTGGAACTGGACTTTTGGAGCGATTTCAGGGCTAAGGTGAAAAAGGAAATATCTTCCCATAAAAACTGGACAGAAGCATTCTCAGAAACTTGTTTATGCTGTATCTACTCAACTAACAAAGTTGAACCTTTCTTTTGATAGAGCAGTTTTGAAATGGTCTTTTTGTGGAATCTGCAAGTGGATATTTGGCTAGTTTTGAGGATTTCGTTGGAAGCGGGAATTCATACAAATTGCAGACTGCAGCGTTCTGAGAAACATCTTTGTGATGTTTGTATTCAGGACAGAGAGTTGAACATTCCCTATCATAGAGCAGGTTGGAATCACTCCTTTTGTAATATCTGGAAGTGGACATTTGGAGCGCTTTCAGGCCTATGTTGAAAAAGGAAATATCTTCCCATAACAACTAGACACAAGCATTCTCAGAAACTTGTTTGTGATGTGTGCCCTCTACTGACAGAGTTGAACCTTTCTTTTCATAGAGCAGTTTTGAAACACTCTTTTTGTAGAATCTGCAAGAGGATATTTGCATAGCTTTGAGGATTTCGTGGGGAAGCGGGATTGTCTTCAGGTAAAATCTAGACAGAAGCATTCTCAGAAACTTCTTTGGGATGTTTGCATTCAAGTCACAGAGTAGAACATTCCCTTTGGTAGAGCAGGTTTGAAACACTCTTTTTGTAGTATCTGGAAGTGGACATTTGGAGCGCTTTCAGGCCTATGTTGGAAAGGGAAATATCTTCCCGTAACAACTAGGCAGAAGCATTCTCAGAAACTTATTTGAGATGTGTGTACTCAACTAAGAGAATTGAACCACCGTTTTGAAGGAGCAGTTTTGAAACACTCTTTTTCTGGAATCTGCAAGAGTATATTTGCCTAGCCTTGAGGATTTCGTTGGAAACGGGATTGTCTTCAGAGAAAATCTAGACAGAAGCATTCTCAGAAACTTCTTTGGGATGTTTGCATTCAAGTCACAGAGTAGAACATTCCCTTTGGTAGAGCAGGTTTGAAACACTCTTTTTTTAGTATATGGAAGTGGACATTTGGAGCGCTTTCAGGCCTACGTTGGAAAAGGAAATATCTTCCCATAACAACTAGACAGAAGCATTCTCAGAAACTAGTTTCTGATGTGTGGCCTCAACTAACACAGTTGTACATTTCTTTACACAGAACAGTTTTGAAACACTCTTTTTGTGGAATCTGCAAGTGGATATTGGGCTAGATTTGAGGATTTCGTTGGAAACGGGATTACATATAAAAAGCAGTCAGCAGCATTCTCAGAAAGTTCTTTGTGATGATTGCATTCAAGTCACAGAATTGAACATTCCCTTTCACAGAGCAGGTTTGAAACACTCTTTTTATAGTGTGTGTAAGTGGACATTTGGAGCACTTTCCGGCCTAAGGTGAAAAAGGAAATATCTTCCCATAAAAACTAGACAGAAGCATTCTCAGAAACTTACTCGTGATGTGTGTCCTCAACTAAAGGAGTAGAACCTTTCTTTTCATAGAGAAGTTTTGAAACGCTCTTTTTGTGGAATCTGCAAGTGGATATTTGGCTAGTTTGGAGGATTTCGTTGGAAGCGGGAATTCATACAAATTGCAGACTGCAGCGTTCTGAGAAACATCTTTGTGATGTTTGTATTCAGGACACAGAGTTGAACATTCCCTATCATAGAGCAGGTTTGAATCACTCCTTTTGTAGTATCTGGAAGTGGACATTTGGAGCGCTTTCAGGCCTATGTTGGAAAAGGAAATATCTTCCCATAACAACTAGACAGAAGCATTCTCAGAAACTTATTTGAGATGTGTGTACTCAACTAAGAGAATTGAACCACCGTTTTGAAGGAGCAGTTTTGAAACACTCTTTTTCTGGAATCTGCAAGTGGATATTTGGCTAGCTTTGGGGATTTCGCTGGAAGCGGGAATACATATAAAAAGCACACAGCAGCGTTCTGAGAAACTGCTTTCTGATGTTTGCATTCAAGTCAAAAGTTGAACACTCCCTTTCATAGAGCAGTCTTGAAACACCCCTTTTGTAGTATCTGGAAGTGGACATTTGGAGCGCTTTCAGGGCTAAGGTGAAAAAGGAAATATCTTCCCATAAAAACTGGACAGAAGCATTCTCAGAAACTTGTTTATGCTGTATCTACTCTACTAACAATGTTGAACATTTCTTTTGATAGGGCAGTTTTGAAATGCTCTTTTTGTGGAATCTGCAAGTGGATATTTGGCTAGTTTTGAGGATTTCGTTGGAAGCTGGAATTCATGCAAATTGTAGACTGCAGCGTTCTGAGAAACATCTTTGTGATGTTTGTATTCAGGACACAGAGTTGAACATTCCCTATCATAGAGCAGGTATGAATCACTCCTTTTGTAGTATCTGGAAGTGGACATTTGGAGCGCTTTCAGGCCTATTTTGGAAAGGGAAATATCTTCCCGTAACAACTAGGCAGAAGCATTCTCTGAAACTTATTTGAGATGTGTGTACTCAACTAAGAGAATTGAACCACCGTTTTGAAGGAGCAGTTTTGAAACACTCTTTTTCTGGAATCTGCTAGAGGATATTTGCCTAGCTTTGAGGATTTCGTTGGAAACGGGATTGTCTTCAGATCAAATCTAGACAGAAACATTCTCAGAAACTTCTTTGGGAAGTTTGAATTCAAGTCACAGAGTAGAACATTCCCTTTGGTAGAGGAGGTTTGAAACACTCTTTTTTTAGTATATGGAAGTGGACATTTGGAGCGCTTTCAGGCCTACGTTGGAAAAGGAAATATCTTCCCATAACAACTAGACAGAAGCATTCTCAGAAACTAGTTTCTGATGTGTGTCCTCAACTAACACAGTTGTACATTTCTTTAGACAGAACAGTTTTGAAACACTCTTTTTGTGGAATCTGCAAGTGGATATTGGGCTAGATTTGAGGATTTCGTTGGAAACGGGATTACATATAAAAAGCAGTCAGCAGCATTCTCAGAAAGTTCTTTGTGATGATTGCATTCAAGTCACAGAATTGAACATTCCCTTTCACAGAGCAGGTTTGAAAGACTCTTTTTGTAGTGTGTGTAAGTGGACATTTGGAGCACTTACCGGCCTAAGGTGAAAAAGGAAATATCTTCCCATAAAAACTAGACAGAAGTATTCTCAGAAACTTACTCGTGATGTGTGTCCTCAACTAAAGGAGTAGAACCTTTCTTTTCATAGAGAAGTTTTGAAACGCTCTTTTTGTGGAATCTGCAAGTGGATATTTGGCTAGTTTTGAGGATTTCGTTGGAAGCGGGAATTCATACAAATTGCAGACTGCAGCGTTCTGAGAAACTGCTTTCTGATGTTTGCATTCAAGTCAAAAGTTGAACACTCCCTTTCATAGTGCAGTCCTGAAACACTCCTTTTGTAGTATCTGGAACTGGACTTTTGGAGCGCTTTCAGGGCTAAGGTGAAAAAGGAAATATCTTCCCATAAAAACTGGACAGAAGCATTCTCAGAAACTTGTTTATGCTGTATCTACTCAACTAACAAAGTTGAACCTTTCTTTTGATAGAGCAGTTTTGAAATGCTCTTTTTGTGGAATCTGCAAGTGGATATTTGGCTAGTTTTGAGGATTTCGTTGGAAGCGGGAATTCATACAAATTGCAGACTGCAGCGTTCTGAGAAACATCTTTGTGATGTTTGTATTCAGGACAGAGAGTTGAACATTCCCTATCATAGAGCAGGTTGGAATCACTCCTTTTGTAGTATCTGGAAGTGGACATTTCGAGCGCTTTCAGGCCTATGTTGAAAAAGGAAATATCTTCCCATAACAACTAGACACAAGCATTCTCAGAAACTTGTTTGTGATGTGTGCCCTCTACTGACAGAGTTGAACCTTTCTTTTCATAGAGCAGTTTTGAAACACTCTTTTTGTAGAATCTGCAAGAGGATATTTGCATAGCTTTGAGGATTTCGTGGGAAACGGGATTGTCTTCAGGTAAAATCTAGACAGAAGCATTCTCAGAAACTTCATTGTGATGTTTGCACTCAAGTCACAGAGTAGAACATTCCCTTTGGTAGAGCAGGTTTGAAACACTCTTTTTGTAGTATCTGGAAGTGGACATTTGGAGCGCTTTCAGGCCTATGTTGGAAAGGGAAATATCTTCCCGTAACAACTAGGCAGAAGCATTCTCAGAAACTTATTTGAGATGTGTGTACTCAACTAAGAGAATTGAACCACCGTTTTGAAGGAGCAGTTTTGAAACACTCTTTTTCTGGAATCTGCAAGAGGATATTTGCCTAGCCTTGAGGATTTCGTTGGAAACGGGATTGTCTTCAGATCAAATCTAGACAGAAGCATTCTCAGAAACTTCTTTGGGATGTTTGCATTCAAGTCACAGAGTAGAACATTCCCTTTGGTAGAGCAGGTTTGAAACACTCTTTTTTTAGTATATGGAAGTGGACATTTGGAGCGCTTTCAGGCCTACGTTGGAAAAGGAAATATCTTCCCATAACAACTAGACAGAAGCATTCTCAGAAACTAGTTTCTGATGTGTGTCCTCAACTAACACAGTTGAACATTTCTTTAGACAGAACAGTTTTGAAACACTCTTTTTGTGGAATCTGCAAGTGGCTATTTGGCTAGATTTGAGGATTTCGTTGGAAACGGGATTACATATAAAAAGCAGACAGCAGCATTCTCAGAAACTTCTTTGTGATGATTGCATTCAAGTCACAGAATTGAACATTCCCTTTCACAGAGCAGGTTTGAAACACTCTTTTTGTAGTGTGTGTAAGTGGACATTTGGAGCACTTTCCGGCCTAAGGTGAAAAAGGAAATATCTTCCCATAAAAACTAGACAGAAGCATTCTCAGAAACTTACTCGTGATGTGTGTCCTCAACTAAAGGAGTAGAACCTTTCTTTTCATAGAGAAGTTTTGAAACGCTCTTTTTGTGGAATCTGCAAGTGGATATTTGGCTAGTTTTGAGGATTTCGTTGGAAGCGGGAATTCATACAAATTGCAGACTGCAGCGTTCTGAGAAACATCTTTGTGATGTTTGTATTCAGGACACAGAGTTGAACATTCCCTATCATAGAGCAGGTTTGAATCACTCCTTTTGTAGTATCTGGAAGTGGACATTTGGAGCGCTTTCAGGCCTATGTTGGAAAAGGAAATATCTTCCCATAACAACTAGACAGAAGCATTCTCAGAAACTTATTTGAGATGTGTGTACTCAACTAAGAGAATTGAACCACCGTTTTGAAGGAGCAGTTTTGAAACACTCTTTTTCTGGAATCTGCAAGTGGATATTTGGCTAGCTTTGGGGATTTCGCTGGAAGCGGGAATACATATAAAAAGCACACAGCAGCGTTCTGAGAAACTGCTTTCTGATGTTTGCATTCAAGTCAAAAGTTGAACACTCCCTTTCATAGAGCAGTCTTGAAACACCCCTTTTGTAGTATCTGGAACTGGACTTTTGAAGCGCTTTCAGGGCTAAGGTGAAAAAGGAAATATCTTCCCATAAAAACTGGACAGAAGCATTCTCAGAAACTTGTTTATGCTGTATCTACTCAACTAACAAAGTTGAACCTTTCTTTTGATAGAGCAGTTTTGAAATGCTCTTTTTGTGGAATCTGCAAGTGGATATTTGGCTAGTTTTGAGGATTTCGTTGGAAGCGGGAATTCATACAAATTGCAGACTGCAGCGTTCTGAGAAACATCTTTGTGATGTTTGTATTCAGGACACTGAGTTGAACATTCCCTATCATAGAGCAGGTTGGAATCACTCCTTTTGTAGTATCTGGAAGTGGACATTTGGAGCGCTTTCAGGCGTATGTTGAAAAAGGAAATATCTTCCCATAACAACTAGGCAGAAGCATTCTCAGAAACTTGTTTGTGATGTGTGCCTTCTACTGACACAGTTGAACCTTTCTTTTCATAGAGCAGTTTCGAAACACTCTTTTTGTAGAATCTGCAAGAGGATATTTGCATAGCTTTGAGGATTTCGTGGGAAACGGGATTGTCTTCAGGTAAAATCTAGACAGAAGCATTCTCAGAAACTTCTTTGGGATGTTTGCATTCAAGTCACAGAGTAGAACATTCCCTTTGGTAGAGCAGGTTTGAAACACTCTTTTTGTAGTGTGTGTAAGTGGACATTTGGAGCGCTTTCAGGCCTACGTTGGAAAAGGAAATATCTTCCCATAACAACTAGACAGAAGCATTCTCAGAAACTAGTTTCTGATGTGTGTCCTCAACTAACACAGTTGAACATTTCTTTAGACAGAACAGTTTTGAAACACTCTTTTTGTGGAATCTGCAAGTGGATATTTGGCTAGATTTGAGGATTTCGTTGGAAACGGGATTACATATAAAAAGCAGACAGCAGCATTCTCAGAAACTTCTTTGTGATGATTGCATTCAAGTCACAGAATTGAACATTCCCTTTCACAGAGCAGGTTTGAAACACGCTTTTTGTAGTGTGTGTAAGTGGACATTTGGAGCGCTTTTCGGCCTAAGGTGAACAAGGAAATATCTTCCCATAAAAATTAGACAGAAGCATTCTCAGAAACTTACTCGTGATGTGTGTACTCAACTAAAGGAGTAGAACCTTTCTTTTCATAGAGAAGTTTTGAAACGCTCTTTTTGTGGACTCTGCAAGTGGATATTTGGCTAGTTTGGAGGATTTCGTTGGAAGCGGGAATTCATACAAATTGCAGACTGCAGCGTTCTGAGAAACATCTTTGTGATGTTTGTATTCAGGACACAGAGTTGAACATTCCCTATCATAGAGCAGGTTGGAATCACTCCTTTTGTAGTATCTGGAAGTGGACATTTGGAGCGCTTTCAGGCCTATGTTGAAAAAGGAAATATCTTCCCATAACAACTAGACAGAAGCATTCTCAGAAACTTATTTGAGATGTGTGTACTCAACTAAGAGAATTGAACCACCGTTTTGAAGGAGCAGTTTTGAAACTCTCTTTTTCTGGAATCTGCAAGTGGATATTTGGCTAGCTTTGGGGATTTCGCTGGAAGCGGGAATACATATAAAAAGCACACAGCAGCGTTCTGAGAAACTGCTTTCTGATGTTTGCATTCAAGTCAAAAGTTGAACACTCCCTTTCATAGAGCAGTCTTGAAACACCCCTTTTGTAGTATCTGGAACTGGACTTTTGGAGCGATTTCAGGGCTAAGGTGAAAAAGGAAATATCTTCCCATAAAAACTGGACAGAAGCATTCTCAGAAACTTGGTTATGCTGTATCTACTCAACTAACAAAGTTGAACCTTTCTTTTGATAGAGCAGTTTTGAAATGGTCTTTTTGTGGAATCTGCAAGTGGATATTTGGCTAGTTTTGAGGATTTCGTTGGAAGCGGGAATTCATACAAATTGCAGACTGCAGCGTTCTGAGAAACATCTTTGTGATGTTTGTATTCAGGACAGAGAGTTGAACATTCCCTATCATAGAGCAGGTTGGAATCACTCCTTTTGTAGTATCTGGAAGTGGACATTTGGAGCGCTTTCAGGCCTATGTTGAAAAAGGAAATATCTTCCCATAACAACTAGACACAAGCATTCTCAGAAACTTGTTTGTGATGTGTGCCCTCTACTGACAGAGTTGAACCTTTCTTTTCATAGAGCAGTTTTGAAACACTCTTTTTGTAGAATCTGCAAGACGATATTTGCATAGCTTTGAGGATTTCGTGGGAAACCGGATTGTCTTCAGGTAAAATCTAGACGGAAGCATTCTCAGAAACTACTTTGGGATGTTTGCATTCAAGTCACAGAGTAGAACATTCTCTTTGGTAGAGCAGGTTTGAAACACTCTTTTTGTAGTATCTGGAAGTGGACATTTGGAGCGCTTTCAGGCCTATGTTGGAAAGGGAAATATCTTCCCGTAACAACTAGGCAGAAGCATTCTCAGAAACTTATTTGAGATGTGTGTACTCAACTAAGAGAATTGAACCACCGTTTTGAAGGAGCAGTTTTGAAACACTCTTTTTCTGGAATCTGCAAGAGGATATTTGCCTAGCCTTGAGGATTTCGTTGGAAACGGGATTGTCTTCAGATCAAATCTAGACAGAAGCATTCTCAGAAACTTCTTTGGGATGTTTGCATTCAAGTCACAGAGTAGAACATTCCCTTTGGTAGAGCAGGTTTGAAACACTCTTTTTTTAGTATATGGAAGTGGACATTTGGAGCGCTTTCAGGCCTACGTTGGAAAAGGAAATATCTTCCCATAACAACTAGACAGAAGCATTCTCAGAAACTAGTTTCTGATGTGTGTCCTCAACTAACACAAGTTGAACATTTCTTTAGACAGAACAGTTTTGAAACACTCTTTTTGTGGAATCTGCAAGTGGCTATTTGGCTAGATTTGAGGATTTCGTTGGAAACGGGATTACATATAAAAAGCAGTCAGCAGCATTCTCAGAAAGTTCTTTGTGATGATTGCATTCAAGTCACAGAATTGAACATTCCCTTTCACAGAGCAGGTTTGAAACACTCTTTTTGTAGTGTGTGTAAGTGGACATTTGGAGCGCTTTCCGGCCTAAGGTGAAAAAGGACATATCTTCCCATAAAAACTAGACAGAAGCATTCTCAGAAACTTACTCGTGATGTGTGTCCTCAACTAAAGGAGTAGAACCTTTCTATTCATAGAGAAGTTTTGAAACGCTCTTTTTGTGGAATCTCCAAGTGGATATTTGGCTAGTTTTGAGGATTTCGTTGGAAGCGGGAATTCATACAAATTGCAGACTGCAGCGTTCTGAGAAACATCTTTGTGATGTTTGTATTCAAGACACAGAGATGAACATTCCCTACCATAGAGCATGTTGGAATCACTCCTTTTGTAGTATCTGGAAGTGGACATTTGGAGCGCTTTCAGGCCTATGTTGGAAAAGGAAATATCTTCCCATAACAACTAGACACAAGCATTCTCAGAAACTTATTTGAGATGTGTGTACTCAACTAAGAGAATTGAACCACCGTTTTGAAGGAGCAGTTTTGAAACACTCTTTTTCTGGAATCTGCAAGTGGATATTTGGCTAGCTTTGGGGATTTCGCTGGAAGCGGGAATACATATAAAAAGCACACAGCAGCGTTCTGAGAAACTGCTTTCTGATGTTTGCATTCAAGTCAAAAGTTGAACACTCCCTTTCATAGAGCAGTCTTGAAACACCCCTTTTGTAGTATCTGGAACTGGACTTTTGGAGCGATTTCAGGGCTAAGGTGAAAAAGGAAATATCTTCCCATAAAAACTGGACAGAAGCATTCTCAGAAACTTGTTTATGCTGTATCTACTCAACTAACAAAGTTGAACCTTTCTTTTGATAGAGCAGTTTTGAAATGGTCTTTTTGTGGAATCTGCAAGTGGATATTTGGCTAGTTTTGAGGATTTCGTTGGAAGCGGGAATTCATACAAATTGCAGACTGCAGCGTTCTGAGAAACATCTTTGTGATGTTTGTATTCAAGACACAGAGATGAACATTCCCTATCATAGAGCATGTTGGAATCACTCCTTTTGTAGTATCTGGAAGTGGACATTTGGAGCGCTTTCAGGCCTATGTTGAAAAAGGAAATATCTTCCCATAACAACTAGACACAAGCATTCTCAGAAACTTGTTTGTGATGTGTGCCCTCTGCTGACAGAGTTGAACCTTTCTTTTCATAGAGCAGTTTTGAAACACTCTTTTTGTAGAATCTGCAAGAGGATATTTGCATAGCTTTGAGGATTTCGTGGGAAACGGGATTGTCTTCAGGTAAAATCTAGACAGAAGCATTCTCAGAAACTTCTTTGGGATGTTTGCATTCAAGTCACAGAGTAGAACATTCCCTTTGGTAGAGCAGGTTTGAAACACTCTTTTTGTAGTATCTGGAAGTGGACATTTGGAGCGCTTTCAGGCCTATGTTGGAAAGGGAAATATCTTCCCGTAACAACTAGGCAGAAGCATTCTCAGAAACTTATTTGAGATGTGTGTACTCAACTAAGAGAATTGAACCACCGTTTTGAAGGAGCAGTTTTGAAACACTCTTTTTCTGGAATCTGCAAGAGTATATTTGCCTAGCCTTGAGGATTTCGTTGGAAACGGGATTGTCTTCAGAGAAAATCTAGACAGAAGTATTCTCAGAAACTTCTTTGGGATGTTTGCATTCAAGTCACAGAGTAGAACATTCCCTTTGGTAGAGCAGGTTTGAAACACTCTTTTTGTAGTATCTGGAAGTGGACATTTGGAGCGCTTTCAGGCCTACGTTGGAAAAGGAAATATCTTCCCATAACAACTAGACAGAAGCATTCTCAGAAACTAGTTTCTGATGTGTGTCCTCAACTAACACAGTTGAACATTTCTTTAGACAGAACAGTTTTGAAACACTCTTTTTGTGGAATCTGCAAGTGGCTATTTGGCTAGATTTGAGGATTTCGTTGGAAACGGGATTACATATAAAAAGCAGTCAGCAGCATTCTCAGAAAGTTCTTTGTGATGATTGCATTCAAGTCACAGAATTGAACATTCCCTTTCACAGAGCAGGTTTGAAACACTCTTTTTGTAGTGTGTGTAAGTGGACATTTGGAGCACTTACCGGCCTAAGGTGAAAAAGGAAATAATCTTCCCATAAAAACTAGACAGAAGCATTCTCAGAAACTTACTCGTGATGTGTGTCCTCAACTAAAGGAGTAGAACCTTTCTTTTCATAGAGAAGTTTTGAAACGCTCTTTTTGTGGAATCTGCAAGTGGATATTTGGCTAGTTTTGAGGATTTCGTTGGAAGCGGGAATTCATACAAATTGCAGACTGCAGCGTTCTGAGAAACATCTTTGTGATGTTTGTATTCAGGACACAGAGTTGAACATTCCCTATCATAGAGCAGGTTGGAATCACTCCTTTTGTAGTATCTGGAAGTGGACATTTGGAGCGCTTTCAGGCCTATGTTGGAAAAGGAAATATCTTCCCATAACAACTAGACAGAAGCATTCTCAGAAACTTATTTGAGATGTGTGTACTCAACTAAGAGAATTGAACCACCGTTTTGAAGGAGCAGTTTTGAAACACTCTTTTTCTGGAATCTGCAAGTGGATATTTGGCTAGCTTTGGGGATTTCGCTGGAAGCGGGAATACATATAAAAAGCACACAGCAGCGTTCTGAGAAACTGCTTTCTGATGTTTGCATTCAAGTCAAAAGTTGAACACTCCCTTTCATAGAGCAGTCTTGAAACACCCCTTTTGTAGTATCTGGAACTGGACTTTTGGAGCGATTTCAGGGCTAAGGTGAAAAAGGAAATATCTTCCCATAAAAACTGGACAGAAGCATTCTCAGAAACTTGGTTATGCTGTATCTACTCAACTAACAAAGTTGAACCTTTCTTTTGATAGAGCAGTTTTGAAATGGTCTTTTTGTGGAATCTGCAAGTGGATATTTGGCTAGTTTTGAGGATTTCGTTGGAAGCGGGAATTCATACAAATTGCAGACTGCAGCGTTCTGAGAAACAACTTTGTGATGCTTGTATTCAGGACACAGAGTTGAACATTCCCTATCATAGAGCAGGTTGGAATCACTCCTTTTGTAGTATCTGGAAGTGGACATTTGGAGCGCTTTCAGGCCTATGTTGAAAAAGGAAATATCTTCCCATAACAACTAGACACAAGCATTCTCAGAAACTTGTTTGTGATGTGTGCCCTCTACTGACAGAGTTGAACCTTTCTTTTCATAGAGCAGTTTTGAAACACTCTTTTTGTAGAATCTGCAAGAGGATATTTGCATAGCTTTGAGGATTTCGCGGGAAACGGGATTGTCTTCAGGTAAAATCTAGACAGAAGCATTCTCAGAAACTTCTTTGGGATGTTTGCATTCAAGTCACAGAGTAGAACATTCCCTTTGGTAGAGCAGGTTTGAAACACTCTTTTTGTAGTATCTGGAAGTGGACATTTGGAGCGCTTTCAGGCCCATGTTGGAAAGGGAAATATCTTCCCGTAACAACTAGGCAGAAGCATTCTCAGAAACTTATTTGAGATGTGTGTACTCAACTAAGAGAACTGAACCACCGTTTTGAAGGAGCAGTTTTGAAACACTCTTTTTCTGGAATCTGCAAGAGGATATTTGCCTAGCCTTGAGGATTTCGTTGGAAACGGGATTGTCTTCAGATAAAATCTAGACAGAAGCATTCTCAGAAACTTCTTTGGGATGTTTGCATTCAAGTCACAGAGTAGGAACATTCCCTTTGGTAGAGCAGGTTTGAAACACTCTTTTTTTAGTATATGGAAGTGGACATTTGGAGCGCTTTCAGGCCTACGTTGGAAAAGGAAATATCTTCCCATAACAACTAGACAGAAGCATTCTCAGAAACTAGTTTCTGATGTGTGTCCTCAACTAACACAGTTGAACTTTTCTTTAGACAGAACAGTTTTGAAACACTCTTTTTGTGGAATCTGCAAGTGGATATTTGGCTAGATTTGAGGATTTCGTTGGAAACGGGATTACATATAAAAAGCAGACAGCAGCATTCTCAGAAAGTTCTTTGTGATGATTGCATTCAAGTCACAGAATTGAACATTGCCTTTCACAGAGCAGGTTTGAAACACTCTTTTTGTAGTGTGTGTAAGTGGACATTTGGAGCGCTTTCCGGCCTAAGGTGAAAAAGGAAATATCTTCCCATAAAAACTAGACAGAAGCATTCTCAGAAACTTACTCGTGATGTGTGTCCTCAACTAAAGGAGTAGAACCTTTGTTTTCATAGAGAAGTTTTGAAACGCTCTTTTTGTGGAATCTGCAAGTGGATATTTGGCTAGTTTTGAGGATTTCGTTGGAAGCGGGAATTCATACAAATTGCAGACTGCAGCGTTCTGAGAAACTGCTTTCTGATGTTTGCATTCAAGTCAAAAGTTGAACACTCCCTTTCATAGAGCAGTCCTGAAACACCCCTTTTGTAGTATCTGGAACTGGACTTTTGGAGCGATTTCAGGGCTAAGGTGAAAAAGGAAATATCTTCCCATAAAAACTGGACAGAAGCATTCTCAGAAACTTGTTTATGCTGTATCTACTCAACTAACAAAGTTGAACCTTTCTTTTGATAGAGCAGTTTTGAAATGCTCTTTTTGTGGAATCTGCAAGTGGATATTTGGCTAGTTTTGAGGATTTCGTTGGAAGCGGGAATTCATACAAATTGCAGACTGCAGCGTTCTGAGAAACATCTTTGTGATGTTTGTATTCAGGACAGAGAGTTGAACATTCCCTATCATAGAGCAGGTTGGAATCACTCCTTTTGTAGTATCTGGAAGTGGACATTTGGAGCGCTTTCAGGGCCTATGTTGAAAAAGGAAATATTTTCCCATAACAACTAGACACAAGCATTCTCAGAAACTTGTTTGTGATGTGTGCCCTCTGCTGACAGAGTTGAACATTTCTTTTCATAGAGCAGTTTTGAAACACTCTTTTTGTAGAATCTGCAAGAGGATATTTGCATAGCTTCGAGGATTTCGTGGGAAAAGGGATTGTCTTCAGGTAAAATCTAGACAGAAGCATTCTCAGAAACTTCTTTGGGATGTTTGCATTCAAGTCACAGAGTAGAACATTCCCTTTGGTAGAGCAGGTTTGAAACCCTCTTTTTGTAGTATCTGGAAGTGGACATTTGGAGCGCTATCAGGCCCATGTTGGAAAGGGAAATATCTTCCCGTAACAACTAGGCAGAAGCATTCTCAGAAACTTATTTGAGATGTGTGTACTCAACTAAGAGAATTGAACCACCGTTTTGAAGGAGCAGTTTTGAAACACTCTTTTTCTGGAATCTGCAAGAGTATATTTGCCTAGCCTTGAGGATTTCGTTGGAAACGGGATTGTCTTCAGATAAAATCTAGACAGAAGCATTCTCAGAAACTTCTTTGGGATGTTTGCATTCAAGTCACAGAGTAGAACATTCCCTTTGGTAGAGCAGGTTTGAAACACTCTTTTTTTAGTATATGGAAGTGGACATTTGGAGCGCTTTCAGGCCTACGTTGGAAAAGGAAATATCTTCCCATAACAACTAGACAGAAACATTCTCAGAAACTAGTTTCTGATGTGTGTCCTCAACTAACACAGTTGTACATTTCTTTAGACAGAACAGTTATGAAACACTCTTTTTGTGGAATCTGCAAGTGGCTATTTGGCTAGATTTGAGGATTTCGTTGGAAACGGGATTACATATAAAAAGCAGTCAGCAGCATTCTCAGATAGTTCTTTGTGATGATTGCATTCAAGTCACAGAATTGAAAATTCCCTTTCACAGAGCAGGTTTGAAACACTCTTTTTGTAGTGTGTGTAAGTGGACATTTGGAGCACTTTCCGGCCTAAGGTGAAAAAGGAAATATCTTCCCATAAAAACTAGACAGAAGCATTCTCAGAAACTTACTCGTGATGTGTGTCCTCAACTAAAGGAGTAGAAACTTTCTTTTCATAGAGAAGTTTTGAAACGCTCTTTTTGTGGAATCTGCAAGTGGATATTTGGCTAGTTTTGAGGATTTCGTTGGAAGCTGGAATTCATACAAATTGCAGACTGCAGCGTTCTGAGAAACATCTTTGTGATGTTTGTATTCAGGACACAGAGATGAACATTCCCTATCATAGAGCAGGTTGGAATCACTCCTTTTGTAGTATCTGGAAGTGGACATTTGGAGCGCTTTCAGGCCTATGTTGAAAAAGGAAATATCTTCCCATAACAACTAGACACAAGCATTCTCAGAAACTTATTTGAGATGTGTGTACTCAACTAAGAGAATTGAACCACCGTTTTGAAGGAGCAGTTTTGAAACACTCTTTTTCTGGAATCTGCAAGTGGATATTTGGCTAGCTTTGGGGATTTCGCTGGAAGCGGGAATACATATAAAAAGCACACAGCAGCGTTCTGAGAAACTGCTTTCTGATGTTTGCATTCAAGTCAAAAGTTGAACACTCCCTTTCATAGAGCAGTCTTGAAACACCCCTTTTGTAGTATCTGGAACTGGACATTTCGGGCGCTTTCAGGGCTAAGGTGAAAAAGGAAATATCTTCCCATAAAAACTGGACAGAAGCATTCTGAGAAACTTGTTTATGCTGTATCTACTCAACTAACAAATTTGAACCTTTCTTTTGATAGAGCAGTTTTGTAATGCTCTTTTTGTGGAATCTGCAAGTGGATATTTGGCTAGTTTTGAGGATTTCGTTGGAAGCGGGAATTCATACAAATTGCACACTGCAGCGTTCTGAGAAACATCTTTGTGATGTTTGTATTCAGGACAGAGAGTTGAACATTCCCTATCATAGAGCAGGTTGGAATCACTCCTTTTGTAGTATCTGGAAGTGGACATTTGGAGCGCTTTCAGGCCTATGTTGAAAAAGGAAATATCTTCCCATAACAACTAGACACAAGCATTCTCAGAAACTTGTTTGTGATGTGTGCCCTCTACTGACAGAGTTGAACCTTTCTTTTCATAGAGCAGTTTTGAAACACTCTTTTTGTAGAATCTGCAAGAGGATATTTGCATAGCTTTGAGGATTTCGTGGGAAACGGGATTGTCTTCAGGTAAAATCTAGACAGAAGCATTCTCAGAAACTTCTTTGGGATGTTTGCATTCAAGTCACAGAGTAGAACATTCCCTTTGGTAGAGCAGGTTTGAAACACTCTTTTTGTAGTATCTGGAAGTGGACATTTGGAGCGCTTTCAGGCCTATGTTGGAAAGGGAAATATCTTCCCGTAACAACTAGGCAGAAGCATTCTCAGAAACTTATTTGAGATGTGTGTACTGAACTAAGAGAATTGAACCACCGTTTTGAAGGAGCAGGTTTGAAACACTCTTTTTGTAGTATCTGGAAGTGGACATTTGGAGCGCTTTCAGGCCTATGTTGGAAAGGGAAATATCTTCCCGTAACAACTAGGCAGAAGCATTCTCAGAAACTTATTTGAGATGTGTGTACTCAACTAAGAGAATTGAACCACCGTTTTGAAGGAGCAGTTTTGAAACACTCTTTTTCTGGAATCTGCAAGAGGATATTTGCATAGATTTGAGGATTTCGTTGGCAACGGGATTGTCTTCAGATCCAATCTAGACAGAAGCATTCTCAGAAACTTCTTTGGGATGTTTGCATTCAAGTCACAGAGTAGAACATTCCCTTTGGTAGAGCAGGTTTGAAACACTCTTTTTTTAGTATATGGAAGTGGACATTTGGAGCGCTTTCAGGCCTACGTTGGAAAAGGAAATATCTTCCCATAACAACTAGACAGAAGCATTCTCAGAAACTAGTTTCTGATGTGTGTCCTCAACTAACACAGTTGAACATTTCTTTAGACAGAACAGTTTTGAAACACTCTTTTTGTGGAATCTGCAAGTGGCTATTTGGCTGGATTTGAGGATTTCGTTGGAAACGGGATTACATATAAAAAGCAGTCAGCAGCATTCTCAGAAAGTTCTTTGTGATGATTGCATTCAAGTCACAGAATTGAACATTCCCTTTCACAGAGCAGGTTTGAAACACTCTTTTTGTAGTGTGTGTAAGTGGACATTTGGAGCACTTACCGGCCTAAGGTGAAAAAGGAAATAATCTTCCCATAAAAACTAGACAGAAGCATTCTCAGAAACTTACTCGTGATGTGTGTCCTCAACTAAAGGAGTAGAACCTTTCTATTCGTAGAGAAGTTTTGAAATGCTCTTTTTGTGGAATCTCCAAGTGGATATTTGGCTAGTTTTGAGGATTTCGTTGGAAGCGGGAATTCATACAAATTGCAGACTGCAGGGTTCTGAGAAACATCTTTGTGATGTTTGTATTCAGGACACAGAGTTGAACATTCCCTATCATAGAGCAGGTTTGAATCACTCCTTTTGTAGTATCTGGAAGTGGACATTTGGAGCGCTTTCCGGCCTCAGGTGAAAAAGGAAATATCTTCCCATAAAAACTAGACAGAAGCATTCTCAGAAACTTATTTGAGATGTGTGTACTCAACTAAGAGAATTGAACCACCGTTTTGAAGGAGCAGTTTTGAAACACTCTTTTTCTGGAATCTGCAAGTGGCTATTTGGCTATCTTTGGGGATTTCGCTGGAAGCGGGAATACATATAAAAAGCACACAGCAGCGTTCTGAGAAACTGCTTTCTGATGTTTGCATTCAAGTCAAAAGTTGAACACTCCCTTTCATAGAGCAGTCCTGAAACACTCCTTTTGTAGTATCTGGAACTGGACTTTTGGAGCGCTTTCAGGGCTAAGGTGAAAAAGGAAATATCTTCCCATAAAAACTGGACAGAAGCATTCTCAGAAACTTGTTTATGCTGTATCTACTCTACTAACAAAGTTGAACCTTTCTTTTGATAGAGCAGTTTTGAAATGCTCTTTTTGTGGAATCTGCAAGTGGATATTTGGCTAGTTTTGAGGATTTCGTTGGAAGCGGGAATTCATACAAATTGCAGACTGCAGCGTTCTGAGAAACATCTTTGTGATGTTTGTATTCAGGACACAGAGTTGAACATTCCCTATCATAGAGCAGGTTTGAATCACTCCTTTTGTAGTATCTGGAAGTGGACATTTGGAGCGCTTTCAGGCCTATGTTGGAAAAGGAAATATCTTCCCATAACAACTAGACAGAAGCATTCTCAGAAACTTATTTGAGATGTGTCTACTCAACTAAGAGAATTGAACCACCGTTTTGAAGGAGCAGTTTTGAAACACTCTTTTTCTGGAATCTGCAAGTGGATATTTGGCTAGCTTTGGGGATTTCGCTGGAAGCGGGAATACATATAAAAAGCACACAGCAGCGTTCTGAGAAACTGCTTTCTGATGTTTGCATTCAAGTCAAAAGTTGAACACTCCCTTTCATAGAGCAGTCTTGAAACACCCCTTTTGTAGTATCTGGAACTGGACTTTTGGAGCGATTTCAGGGCTAAGGTGAAAAAGGAAATATCTTCCCATAAAAACTGGACAGAAGCATTCTCAGAAACTTGTTTATGCTGTATCTACTCAACTAACAAAGTTGAACCTTTCTTTTGATAGAGCAGTTTTGAAATGGTCTTTTTGTGGAATCTGCAAGTGGATATTTGGCTAGTTTTGAGGATTTCGTTGGAAGCGGGAATTCATACAAATTGCAGACTGCAGCGTTCTGAGAAACATCTTTGTGATGTTTGTATTCAGGACACAGAGTTGAACATTCCCTATCATAGAGCAGGTTGGAATCACTCCTTTTGTAGTATCTGGAAGTGGACATTTGGAGCGCTTTCAGGCCTATTTTGGAAAGGGAAATATCTTCCCGTAACAACTATGCAGAAGCATTCTCAGAAACTTGTTTGTGATGTGTGCCCTCTACTGACAGAGTTGAACCTTTCTTTTCATAGAGCAGTTTTGAAACACTCTTTTTGTAGAATCTGCAAGAGGATATTTGCATAGCTTTGAGGATTTCGTGGGAAACGGGATTGTCTTCAGGTAAAATCTAGACAGAAACATTCTCAGAAACTTCTTTGGGATGTTTGCATTCAAGTCACAGAGTAGAACATTCCCTTTGGTAGAGCAGGTTTGAAACACTCTTTTTGTAGTATCTGGAAGTGGACATTTGGAGCGCTTTCAGGCCTATGTTGGAAAGGGAAATATCTTCCGGTAACAACTAGGCAGAAGCATTCTCAGAAACTTATTTGAGATGTGTGTACTCAACTAAGAGAATTGAACCACCGTTTTGAAGGAGCAGTTTTGAAACACTCTTTTTCTGGAATCTGCAAGAGGATATTTGCCTAGCCTTGAGGATTTCGTTGGAAACGGGATTGTCTTCAGATCAAATCTAGACAGAAGCATTCTCAGAAACTTCTTTGGGATGTTTGCATTCAAGTCACAGAGTAGAACATTCCCTTTGGTAGAGCAGGTTTGAAACACTCTTTTTTTAGTATATGGAAGTGGACATTTGGAGCGCTTTCAGGCCTACGTTGGAAAAGGAAATATCTTCCCATAACAACTAGACAGAAGCATTCTCAGAAACTAGTTTCTGATGTGTGTCCTCAACTAACACAGTTGCACATTTCTTTAGACAGAACAGTTTTGAAACACTCTTTTTGTGGAATCTGCAAGTGGCTATTTGGCTAGATTTGAGGATTTCGTTGGAAACGGGATTACATATAAAAAGCAGACAGCAGCATTCTCAGAAAGTTCTTTGTGATGATTGCATTCAAGTCACAGAATTGAACATTCCCTTTCACAGAGCAGGTTTGAAACACTCTTTTTGTAGTGTGTGTAAGTGGACATTTGGAGTGCTTTCCGGCCTAAGGTGAAAAAGGACATATCTTCCCATAAAAACTAGACAGAAGCATTTTCAGAAACTTACTCGTGATGTGTGTCCTCAACTAAAGGAGTAGAACCTTTCTATTCATAGAGAAGTTTTGAAACGCTCTTTTTGTGGAATCTCCAAGTGGATATTTGGTTAGTTTTGAGGATTTCGTTGGAAGCGGGAATTCATACAAATTGCAGACTGCCAGCGTTCTGAGAACATCTTTGTGATGTTTGTATTCAGGACACAGAGTTGAACATTCCCTATCATAGAGCAGGTTTGAATCACTCCTTTTGTAGTATCTGGAAGTGGACATTTGGAGCGCTTTCAGGCCTATGTTGGAAAAGGAAATATCTTCCCATAACAACTAGACAGAGCATTCTCAGAAACTTATTTGAGATGTGTGTACTCAACTAAGAGAATTGAACCACCGTTTTGAAGGAGCAGTTTTGAAACTCTCTTTTTCTGGAATCTGCAAGTGGATATTTGGCTAGCTTTGGGGATTTCGCTGGAAGCGGGAATACATATAAAAAGCACACAGCAGCGTTCTGAGAAACTGCTTTCTGATGTTTGCATTCAAGTCAAAAGTTGAACACTCCCTTTCATAGTGCAGTCCTGAAACACTCCTTTTGTAGTATCTGGAACTGGACTTTTGGAGCGCTTTCAGGGCTAAGGTGAAAAATGAAATATCTTCCCATAAAAACTGGACAGAAGCATTCTCAGAAACTTGTTTATGCTGTATCTACTCAACTAACAAAGTTGAACCTTTCTTTTGATAGAGCAGTTTTGAAATGGTCTTTTTGTGGAATCTGCAAGTGGATATTTGGCTAGTTTTGAGGATTTCGTTGGAAGCGGGAATTCATACAAATTGCAGACTGCAGCGTTCTGAGAAACATTTTTGTGATGTTTGTATTCAGGACACAGAGTTGAACATTCCCTATCATAGAGCAGGTTTGAATCACTCCTTTTGTAGTATCTGGAAGTGGACATTTGGAGCGCTTTCAGGCCTATGATGGAAAAGGAAATATCTTCCCATAACAACTAGACAGAAGCATTCTCAGAAACTTGTTTGTGATGTGTGCCCTCTACTGACAGAGTTGAACCTTTCTTTTCATAGAGCAGTTTTGAAACACTCTTTTTGTAGAATCTGCAAGAGGATATTTGCATAGCTTTGAGGATTACGTGGGAAACGGGATAGTCTTCAGGTAAAATCTAGACAGAAGCATTCTCAGAAACTTCTTTGGGATGTTTGCATTCAAGTCACAGAGTAGAACATTCCCTTTGGTAGAGCAGGTTTGAAACACTCTTTTTGTAGTATCTGGAAGTGGACATTTGGAGCGCTTTCAGGCCTATGTTGGAAAGGGAAATATCTTCCCGTAACAACTAGGCAGAAGCATTCTCAGAAACTTATTTGAGATGTGTGTACTCAACTAAGAGAATTGAACCACCGTTTTGAAGGAGCAGTTTTGAAACACTCTTTTTCTGGAATCTGCAAGAGGATATTTGCCTAGCCTTGAGGATTTCGTTGGAAACGGGATTGTCTTCAGATCAAATCTAGACAGAAGCATTCTCAGAAACTTCTTTGGGATGTTTGCATTCAAGTCACAGAGTAGAACATTCCCTTTGGTAGAGCAGGTTTGAAACACTCTTTTTGTAGTATCTGGAAGTGGACATTTGGAGCGCTTTCAGGCCTATGTTGGAAAGGGAAATATCTTCCCGTAACAACTAGGCAGAAGCATTCTCAGAAACTTATTTGAGATGTGTGTATTCAACTAAGAGAGTTGAACCACCGTTTTGAAGGAGCAGTTTTGAAACACTCTTTTTCTGGAATCTGAAAGAGGATATTTGCCTAGCCTTGAGGATTTCGTTGGAAACGGGATTGTCTTCAGATCAAATCTATACAGAAGCATTCTCAGAAACTTCTTTGGGATGTTTGCATTCAAGTCACAGAGTAGAACATTCCCTTTGGTAGAGCAGGTTTGAAACACTCTTTTTTTAGTATATGGAAGTGGACATTTGGAGCGCATTCAGGCCTACGTTGGAAAAGGAAATATCTTCCCATAACAACTAGACAGAAGCATTCTCAGAAACTAGTTCCTGATGTGTGTCCTCAACTAACACAGTTGAACATTTCTTTAGACAGAAGAGTTTTGAAACACTCTTTTTGTGGAATCTGCAAGTGGCTATTTGGCTAGATTTGAGGATTTCGTTGGAAACGGGATTACATATAAAAAGCAGACAGCAGCATTCTCAGTAAAGTTCTTTGTGATGATTGCATTCAAGTCACAGAATTGAACATTCCCTTTCACAGAGCAGGTTTGAAACACTCTTTTTGTAGTGTGTGAAAGTGGACATTTGGAGCGCTTTCCGGCCTAAGGTGAAAAAGGAAATATCTTCCCATAAAAACTAGACAGAAGCATTCTCAGAAACTTACTCGTGATGTGTTTCCTCAACTAAAGGAGTAGAACCTTTCTATTCATAGAGAAGTTTTGAAACGCTCTTTTTGTGGAATCTCCAAGTGGATATTTGGCTAGTTTTGAGGATTTCGTTGGAAGCGGGAATTCATACAAATTGCAGACTGCAGCGTTCTGAGAAACATCTTTGTGATGTTTGTATTCAGGACACAGAGATGAACATTCCCTATCATAGAGCAGGTTGGAATCACTCCTTTTGTAGTATCTGGAAGTGGACATTTGGAGCGCTTTCAGGCCTATGTTGAAAAAGGAAATATCTTCCCATAACAACTAGACACAAGCATTCTCAGAAACTTGTTTGTGATGTGTGCCCTCTACTGACAGAGTTGAACCTTTCTTTTCATAGAGCAGTTTTGAAACACTCTTTTTGTAGAATCCGCAAGAGGATATTTGCATAGCTTTGAGGATTTCGTGGGAAACGGGATTGTCTTCAGGTAAAATCTAGACAGAAGCATTCTCAGAAACTTCTTTGGGATGTTTGCATTCAAGTCACAGAGTAGAACATTCCCTTTGGTAGAGCAGGTTTGAAACACTCTTTTTGTAGTATCTGGAAGTGGACATTTGGAGCGCTTTCAGGCCCATGTTGGAAAGGGAAATATCTTCCCGTAACAACTAGGCAGAAGCATTCTCAGAAACTTATTTGAGATGTGTGTACTCAACTAAGAGAATTGAACCACCGTTTTGAAGGAGCAGTTTTGAAAGCCTCTTTTTCTGGAATCTGCAAGAGTATATTTGCCTAGCCTTGAGGATTTCGTTGGAAACGGGATTGTCTTCAGATAAAATCTAGACAGAAGCATTCTCAGAAACTTCTTTGGGATGTTTGCATTCAAGTCACAGAGTAGAACATTCCCTTTGGTAGAGCAGGTTTGAAACACTCTTTTTTTAGTATATGGAAGTGGACATTTGGAGCGCTTTCAGGCCTACGTTGGAAAAGGAAATATCTTCCCATAACAACTAGACAGAAGCATTCTCAGAAACTAGTTTCTGATGTGTGTCCTCAACTAACACAGTTGAACATTTCTTTAGACAGAACAGTTTTGAAACACTCTTTTTGTGGAATCTGCAAGTGGATATTTGGCTAGATTTGAGGATTTCGTTGGAAACGGGATTACATATAAAAAGCAGACAGCAGCATTCTCAGAAACTTCTTTGTGATGATTGCATTCAAGTCACAGAATTGAACATTCCCTTTCACAGAGCAGGTTTGAAACACTCTTTTTGTAGTGTGTGTAAGTGGACATTTGGAGCGCTTTCCGGCCTAAGGTGAAGATGGAAATATCTTCCCATAAAAACTAGACAGAAGCATTCTCAGAAACTTACTCGTGATGTGTGTCCTCAACTAAAGGAGTAGAACCTTTCTTTTCATAGAGAAGTTTTGAAACGCTCTTTTTGTGGAATCTGCAAGTGGATATTTGGCTAGTTTGGAGGATTTCGTTGGAAGCGGGAATTCATACAAATTGCAGACTGCAGCGTTCTGAGAAACATCTTTGTGATGTTTGTATTCAGGACACAGAGTTGAACATTCCCTATCATAGAGCAGGTTGGAATCACTCCTTTTGTAGTATCTGGAAGTGGACATTTGGAGCGCTTTCAGGCCTATGTTGGAAAAGGAAATATCTTCCCATAAACAACTAGACAGAAGCATTCTCAGAAACTTATTTGAGATGTGTGTACTCAACTAAGAGAATTGAACCACCGTTTTGAAGGAGCAGTTTTGAAACACTCTTTTTCTGGAATCTGCAAGTGGATATTTGGCTAGCTTTGGGGATTTCGCTGGAGGCGGGAATACATATAAAAAGCACACAGCAAGCGTTCTGAGAAACTGCTTTCTGATGTTTGCATTCAAGTCAAAAGTATGAACACTCCCTTTCATAGAGCAGTCTTGAAACACCCCTTTTGTAGTATATGGAACTGGACATTTGGAGCGCTTTCAGGGCTAAGGTGAAAAAGGAAATATCTTCCCATAAAAACTGGACAGAAGCATTCTCAGAAACTTGTTTATGCTGTATCTACTCAACTAACAAAGTTGAACCTTTCTTTTGATAGAGCAGTTTTGAAATGGTCTTTTTGTGGAATCTGCAAGTGGATATTTGGCTAGTTTTGAGGATTTCGTTGGAAGGGGGAATTCATACAAATTGCAGACTGCAGCGTTCTGAGAAACATCTTTGTGATGTTTGTATTCAGGACACAGAGTTGAACATTCCCTATCATAGAGCAGGTTGGAATCACTCCTTTTGTAGTATCTGGAAGTGGACATTTGGAGCGCTTTCTGGCCTATGTTGAAAAAGGAAATATCTTCCCATAACAACTAGACACAAGCATTCTCAGAAACTTGTTTGTGATGTGTGCCCTCTACTGACAGAGTTGAACATTTCTTTTCATAGAGCAGTTTTGAAACACTCTTTTTGTAGAATCTGCAAGAGGATATTTGCATAGCTTTGAGGATTTCGTGGGAAACGGGATTGTCTTCAGGTAAAATCTAGACAGAAGCATTCTCAGAAACTTCTTTGGGATGTTTGCATTCAAGTCACAGAGTAGAACATTCCCTTTGGTAGAGCAGGTTTGAAACACTCTTTTTGTAGTATCTGAAAGTGGACATTTGGAGCGCTTTCAGGCCTATGTTGGAAAGGGAAATATCTTCCGGTAACAACTAGGCAGAAGCATTCTCAGAAACTTATTTGAGATGTGTGTACTCAACTAAGAGAATTGAACCACCGTTTTGAAGGAGCAGTTTTGAAACACTCTTTTTCTGGAATCTGCAAGAGGATATTTGCCTAGCTTTGAGGATTTCGTTGGAAACGGGATTGTGTTCAGATCAAATCTAGACAGAAGCATTCTCAGAAACTTCTTTGGGATGTTTGCATTCAAGTCACAGAGTAGAACATTCCCTTTGGTAGAGCAGGTTTGAAACACTCTTTTTTTAGTATATGGAAGTGGACATTTGGATCGCTTTCAGGCCTACGTTGGAAAAGGAAATATCTTCCCATAACAACTAGACAGAAGCATTCTCAGAAACTAGTTTCTGATGTGTGTCCTCAACTAACACAGTTGAACATTTCTTTATACAGGACAGTTTTGAAACACTCTTTTTGTGGAATCTGCAAGTGGATATTTGGCTAGATTTGAGCATTTCGTTGGAAACGGGATTACATATAAAAAGCAGACAGCGGCATTCTCAGAAAGTTCTTTGTGATGATTGCATTCAAGTCACAGAATTGAACATTCCCTTTCACAGAGCAGGTTTGAAACACTCTTTTTGTAGTGTGTGTAAGTGGACATTTGGAGCGCTTTCTGGCCTAAGGTGAAAAAGGAAATATCTTCCCATAAAAACTAGACAGAAGCATTCTCAGAAACTTACTCGTGATGTGTGTACTCAAGTAAAGGAGTAGAAACTTTCTTTTCATAGAGAAGTTTTGAAACGCTCTTTTTGTGGAATCTGCAAGTGGATATTTGGCTAGTTTTGAGGATTTCGTTGGAAGCGGGAATTCATACAAATTGCAGACTGCAGCGTTCTGAGAAACATCTTTGTGATGTTTGTATTCAGGACACAGAGTTGAACATTCCCTATCATAGAGCAGGTTTGAATCACTCCTTTTGTAGTATCTGGAAGTGGATATTTGGAGCGCTTTCAGGCCTATGTTGGAAAAGGAAATATCTTCCCATAACAAATAGACAGAAGCATTCTCAGAAACTTATTTGAGATGTGTGTACTCAACTAAGAGAATTGAACCACCGTTTTGAAGGAGCAGTTTTGAAACACTCTTTTTCTGGAATCTGCAAGTGGATATCTGGCTAGCTTTGGGGATTTCGCTGGAAGCGGGAATACATATAAAAAGCACACAGCAGCGTTCTGAGAAACTTCTTTCTGATGTTCGCATTCAAGTCAAAAGTTGAACACTCCCTTTCGTAGAGCAGTCTTGAAACTCCCCTTTTGTGGTATCTGGAAGTGGACATTTGGAGTGCTTTCAGGGCTAAGGTGAAAAAGGAAATATCTTCCCATAAAAACTGGACAGAAGCATTCTCAGAAACTTGTTTATGCTGTATCTACTCAGCTAACAAAGTTGAACCTTTCTTTTGATAGAGCAGTTTTGAAATGCTCTTTTTGTGGAGTCTGCAAGTGGATATTTGGCTAGTTTTGAGGATTTCGTTGGAAGCGGGAATTCATACAAATTGCAGACTGCAGCGTTCTGAGAAACATCTTTGTGATGTTTGTATTCAGGACACAGAGTTGAACATTCCCTATCATAGAGCAGGTTGGAATCACTCCTTTTGTAGTATCTGGAAGTGGCCATTTCGAGCGCTTTCAGGCCTATGTTGAAAAAGGAAATATCTTCCCATAACAAGTAGACACAAGCATTCTCAGAAACTTGTTTGTGATGTGTGCCCTCTACTGACAGAGTTGAACCTTTCTTTTCATAGAGCAGTTTCGAAACACTCTTTTTGTAGAATCTACAAGAGGATATTTGCATAGCTTTGAGGATTTCGTGGGAAACGGGATTGTCTTCAGGTAAAATCTAGACAGAAGCATTCTCAGAAAATTCTTCGGGATGTTTGCATTCAAGTCACAGAGTAGAACATTCCCTTTGGTAGAGCAGGTTTGAAACACTCTTTTTGTAGTATCTGGAAGTGGACATTTGGAGCGCTTTCAGGCCTATGTTGGAAAGGGAAATATCTTCCCGTAACAACTAGGCAGAAGCATTCTCAGAAACTTATTTGAGATGTGTGTACTGAACTAAGAGAATTGAACCACCGTTTTGAAGGAGCAGGTTTGAAACACTCTTTTTGTAGTATCTGGAAGTGGACATTTGGAGCGCTTTCAGGCCTATGTTGGAAAGGGAAATATCTTCCCGTAACAACTAGGCAGAAGCATTCTCAGAAACTTATTTGAGATGTGTGTACTCAACTAAGAGAATTGAACCACCGTTTTGAAGGAGCAGTTTTGAAACACTCTTTTTCTGGAATCTGCAAGAGTATATTTGCCTAGCCTTGAGGATTTCGTTGGAAACGGGATTGTCTTCAGAGAAAATCTAGACAGAAGCATTCTCAGAAACTTCTTTGGGATGCTTGCATTCAAGTCACAGAGTAGAACATTCCCTTTGGTAGAGCAGGTTTGAAACACTCTTTTTGTAGTATCTGGAAGTGGACATTTGGAGCGCTTTCAGGCCTACGTTGGAAAAGGAAATATCTTCCCATAACAACTAGACAGAAGCATTCTCAGAAACTAGTTTCTGATGTGTGTCCTCAACTAACACAGTTGAACATTTCTTTAGACAGAACAGTTTTGAAACACTCTTTTTGTGGAATCTGCAAGTGGCTATTTGGCTAGATTTGAGGATTTCGTTGGAAACGGGATTACATATAAAAAGCAGTCAGCGGCATTCTCAGAAAGTTCTTTGTGATGATTGCATTCAAGTCACAGAATTGAACATTCCCTTTCACAGAGCAGGTTTGAAACACTCTTTTTGTAGTGTGTGTAAGTGGACATTTGGAGCACTTACCGGCCTAAGGTGAAAAAGGAAATAATCTTCCCATAAAAACTAGACAGAAGCATTCTCAGAAACTTACTCGTGATGTGTGTCCTCAACTAAAGGAGTAGAACCTTTCTTTTCATAGAGAAGTTTTGAAACGCTCTTTTTGTGGAATCTGCAAGTGGATATTTGGCTAGTTTTGAGGATTTCGTTGGAAGCGGGAATTCATACAAATTGCAGACTGCAGCGTTCTGAGAAACATCTTTGTGATGTTTGTATTCAGGACACAGAGTTGAACATTCCCTATCATAGAGCAGGTTTGAATCACTCCTTTTGTAGTATCTGGAAGTGGACATTTGGAGCACTTTCAGGCCTATGTTGGAAAAGGAAATATCTTCCCATAACAACTAGACAGAAGCATTCTCAGAAACTTATTTGAGATGTGTGTACTCAACTAAGAGAATTGAACCACCGTTTTGAAGGAGCAGTTTTGAAACACTCTTTTTCTGGAATCTGCAAGTGGATATTTGGCTAGCTTTGGGGATTTCGCTGGAAGCGGGAATACATATAAAAAGCACACAGCAGCGTTCTGAGAAACTGCTTTCTGATGTTTGCATTCAAGTCAAAAGTTGAACACTCCCTTTCATAGAGCAGTCCTGAAACACTCCTTTTGTAGTATCTGGAACTGGACTTTTGGAGCGCTTTCAGGGCTAAGGTGAAAAAGGAAATATCTTCCCATAAAAACTGGACAGAAGCATTCTCAGAAACTTGTTTATGCTGTATCTACTCAACTAACAAAGTTGAACCTTTCTTTTGATAGAGCAGTTTTGAAATGCTCTTTTTGTGGAATCTGCAAGTGGATATTTGGCTAGTTTTGAGGATTTCGCTGGAAGCGGGAATTCATACAAATTGCAGACTGCAGCGTTCTGAGAAACATCTTTGTGATGTTTGTATTCAGGACACAGAGTTGAACATTCCCTATCATAGAGCAGGTTTGAATCACTCCTTTTGTAGTATCTGGAAGTGGACATTTGGAGCGCTTTCAGGCCTATGTTGGAAAAGGAAATATCTTCCCATAACAACTAGACAGAAGCATTCTCAGAAACTTATTTGAGATGTGTGTACTCAACTAAGAGAATTGAACCACCGTTTTGAAGGAGCAGTTTTGAAACACTCTTTTTCTGGAATCTGCAAGTGGATATTTGGCTAGCTTTGGGGATTTCGCTGGAAGCGGGAATACATATAAAAAGCACACAGCAGCGTTCTGAGAAACTGCTTTCTGATGTTTGCATTCAAGTCAAAAGTTGAACACTCCCTTTCATAGAGCAGTCCTGAAACACTCCTTTTGTAGTATCTGGAACTGGACTTTTGGAGCGCTTCAGGGCTAAGGTGAAAAAGGAAATATCTTCCCATAAAAACTGGACAGAAGCATTCTCAGAAACTTGGTTATGCTGTATCTACTCAACTAACAAAGTTGAACCTTTCTTTTGATAGAGCAGTTTTGAAATGGTCTTTTTGTGGAATCTGCAAGTGGATATTTGGCTAGTTTTGAGGATTTCGTTGGAAGCGGGAATTCATACAAATTGCAGACTGCAGCGTTCTGAGAAACATCTTTGTGATGTTTGTATTCAGGACATAGAGTTGAACATTCCCTATCATAGAGCAGGTTGGAATCACTATTTTTGTAGTATCTGGAAGTGGACATTTGGAGCGATTTCAGGCCTATGTTGAAAAAGGAAATATCTTCCCATAACAACTAGACACAAGCATTCTCAGAAACTTGTTGGTGATGTGTTTCCTCTACTGACAGAGTTGAACCTTTCTTTTCATAGAGCAGTTTCGAAACACTCTTTTTGTAGAATCTGAAAGAGGATATTTGCATAGCTCTGAGGATTTCGTGGGAAACGGGATTGTCTTCAGGTAAAATCTAGACAGAAGCATTCTCAGAAACTTCTTTGGGATGTTTGCATTCAAGTCACAGAGTAGAACATTCCCTTTGGTAGAGCAGGTTTGAAACACTCTTTTTGTAGTATCTGGAAGTGGACATTTGGAGCGCTTTCAGGCCCATGTTGGAAAGGGAAATATCTTCCCGTAACAACTAGGCAGAAGCATTCTCAGAAACTTATTTGAGATGTGTGGACTCAACTAAGAGAATTGAACCACCGTTTTGAAGGAGCAGTTTTGAAACCCTCTTTTTCTGGAATCTGCAAGAGTATATTTGCCTAGCCTTGAGGATTTCGTTGGAAACGGGATTGTCTTCAGATAAAATCTAGACAGAAGCATTCTCAGAAACTTCTTTGGGATGTTTGCATTCAAGTCACTGAGTAGAACATTCCCTTTGGTAGAGCAGGTTTGAAACACTCTTTTTTTAGTATATGGAAGTGGACATTTGGAGCGCTTTCAGGCCTACGTTGTAAAAGGAAATATCTTCCCATAACAACTAGACAGAAGCATTCTCAGAAACTAGTTTCTGATGTGTGTCCTCAACTAACACAGTTGTACATTTCTTTATACAGAACAGTTTTGAAACACTCTTTTTGTGGAATCTGCAAGTGGATATTGGGCTAGATTTGAGGATTTCGTTGGAAACGGGATTACATATAAAAAGCAGACAGCAGCATTCTCAGAAAGTTCTTTGTGATGATTGCATTCAAGTCACAGAATTGAACATTCCCTTTCACAGAGCAGGTTTGAAACACTCTTTTTGTAGTGTGTGTAAGTGGACATTTGGAGCGCTTTCCGGCCTAAGGTGAAAAAGGAAATATCTTCCCATAAAAACTAGACAGAAGCATTCTCAGAAACTTACTCGTGATGTGTGTCCTCAACTAAAGGAGTAGAACCTTTCTATTCATAGAGAAGTTTTGAAACGCTCTTTTTGTGGAATCTCCAAGTGGATATTTGGCTAGTGTTGAGGATTTCGTTGGAAGCGGGAATTCATACAAATTGCAGACTGCAGCGTTCTGAGAAACATCTTTGTGATGTTTGTATTCAGGACACAGTAGGATGAACATTCCCTATCATAGAGCAGGTTGGAATCACTCCTTTTGTAGTATCTGGAAGTGGACATTTGGAGCGCTTTCAGGCCTATGTTGAAAAAGGAAATATCTTCCCATAACAACTAGACACAAGCATTCTCAGAAACTTGTTTGTGATGTGTGCCCTCTACTGACAGAGTTGAACCTTTCTTTTCATAGAGCAGTTTTGAAACACTCTTTTTGTAGAATCCGCAAGAGGATATTTGCATAGCTTTGAGGATTTCGTGGGAAACGGGATTGTCTTCAGGTAAAATCTAGACTGAAGCATTCTCAGAAACTTCTTTGGGATGTTTGCATTCAAGTCACAGAGTAGAACATTCCCTTTGGTAGAGCAGGTTTGAAACCCTCCTTTTGTAGTATCTGGAAGTGGACATTTGGAGCGCTGTCAGGCCCATGTTGGAAAGGGAAATATCTTCCCGTAACAACTAGGCAGAAGCATTCTCAGAAACTTATTTGAGATGTGTGTACTCAACTAAGAGAATTGAACCACCGTTTTGAAGGAGCAGTTTTGAAACACTCTTTTTCTGGAATCTGCAAGAGTATATTTGCCTAGCCTTGAGGATTTCGTTGGAAACGGGATTGTCTTCAGATAAAATCTAGACAGAAGCATTCTCAGAAACTTCTTTGGGATGTTTGCATTCAAGTCACAGAGTAGAACATTCCCTTTGGTAGAGCAGGTTTGAAACACTCTTTTTTTAGTATATGGAAGTGGACATTTGGAGCGCTTTCAGGCCTACGTTGGAAAAGGAAATATCTTCCCATAACAACTAGACAGAAGCATTCTCAGAAACTAGTTTCTGATGTGTGTCCTCAACTAACACAGTTGTACATTTCTTTATACAGAACAGTTTTGAAACACTCTTTTTGTGGAATCTGCAAGTGGATATTGGGCTAGATTTGAGGATTTCGTTGGAAACGGGATTACATATAAAAAGCAGACAGCAGCATTCTCAGAAAGTTCTTTGTGATGATTGCATTCAAGTCACAAAATTGAACATTCCCTTTCACAGAGCAGGTTTGAAACACTCTTTTTGTAGTGTGTGTAATTGGACATTTGGAGCGCTTTCCGGCCTAAGGTGAAAAAGGAAATATCTTCCCATAAAAACTAGACAGAAGCATTCTCAGAAACTTACTCGTGATGTGTGTCCTCAACTAAAGGAGTAGAACCTTTCTATTCATAGAGAAGTTTTGAAACGCTCTTTTTGTGGAATCTCCAAGTGGATATTTGGCTAGTTTTGAGGATTTCGTTGGAAGCGGGAATTCATCCAAATTGCAGACTGCAGCATTCTCAGAAACTTATTTGAGATGTGTGTACTCAACTAAGAGAATTGAACCACCGTTTTGAAGGAGCAGTTTTGAAACTCTCTTTTTCTGGAATCTGCAAGTGGATATTTGGCTAGCTTTGGGGATTTCGCTGGAAGCGGGAATACATATAAAAAGCACACAGCAGCGTTCTGAGAAACTGCTTTCTGATGTTTGCATTCAAGTCAAAAGTTGAACACTCCCTTTCATAGAGCAGTCCTGAAACACCCCTTTTGTAGTATCTGGAACTGGACTTTTGGAGCGATTTCAGGGCTAAGGTGAAAAAGGAAATATCTTCCCATAAAAACTGGACAGAAGCATTCTCAGAAACTTGTTTATGCTGTATCTACTCAGCTAACAAAGTTGAACCTTTCTTTTGATAGAGCAGTTTTGAAATGCTCTTTTTGTGGAGTCTGCAAGTGGATATTTGGTTAGTTTTGAGGATTGCGTTGGAAGCGGGAATTCATACAAATTGCAGACTGCAGCGTTCTGAGAAACATATTTGTGATGTTTGTATTCAGGACACAGAGTTGAACATTCCCTATCATAGAGCAGGTTTGAATCACTCCTTTTGTAGTATCTGGAAGTGAACATTTGGAGCGCTTTCCGGCCTCAGGTGAAAAAGGAAATATCTTCCCATAAAAACTAGACAGAAGCATTCTCAGAAACTTGTTTGTGATGTGTGCCCTCTACTGACAGAGTTGAACCTTTCTTTTCATAGAGCAGTTTTGAAACACTCTTTTTGTAGAATCTGCAAGAGGATATTTGCATAGCTTTGAGGATTTCGTGGGAAACGGGATTGTCTTCAGGTAAAATCTAGACAGAAGCATTCTCAGAAACTTCTTTGGGATGTTTGCATTCAAGTCACAGAGCAGAACATTCCCTTTGGTAGAGCAGGTTTGAAACACTCTTTTTGTAGTATCTGGAAGTGGACATTTGGAGCGCTTTCAGGCCTATGTTGGAAAGGGAAATATCTTCATGTAACAACTAGGCAGAAGCATTCTCAGAAACTTATTTGAGATGTGTGTACTCAACTAAGAGAATTGAACCACCGTTTTGAAGGAGCAGTTTTGAAACACTCTTTTTCTGGAATCTGCAAGAGGATATTTGCCTAGCCTTGAGGATTTCGTTGGAAACGGGATTGTCTTCAGATCAAATCTAGACAGAAGCATTCTCAGAAACTTCTTTGGGATGTTTGCATTCAAGTCACAGAGTAGAACATTCCCTTTGGTAGAGCAGGTTTGAAACACTCTTTTTTTAGTATATGGAAGTGGACATTTGGAGCGCTTTCAGGCCTACGTTGGAAAAGGAAATATGTTACCATAACAACTAGACAGAAGCATTCTCAGAAACTAGTTTCTGATGTGTGTCCTCAACTAACACAGTTGAACATTTCTTTAGACAGAGTAGATTTGAAACACTCTCTTTGTGGAATCTGCAAGTGGATATTTGGCTAGATTTGAGCATTTCGTTGGAAACGGGATTACATATAAAAAGCAGACAGCAGCATTCTCAGAAACTTCTTTGTGATGATTGCATTCAAGTCACAGAATTGAACATTCCCTTTCACAGAGCAGGTTTGAAACACTCTTTTTGTAGTGTGTGTAAGTGGACATTTGGAGCGCTTTCCGGCCTAAGGTGAACAAGGAAATATCTTCCTATAAAAACTAGACAGAAGTATTCTCAGAAACTTACTCGTGATGTGTGTCCTCAACTAAAGGAGTAGAACCTTTCTTTTCATAGAGAAGTTTTGAAACGCTATTTTTGTGGAATCTGCAAGTGGATATTTGGCTAGTTTTGAGGATTTCGTTGGAAGCGGGAATTCATACAAATTGCAGACTGCAGCGTTCTGAGAAACATCTTTGTGATGTTTGTATTCAGGACACAGAGTTGAACGTTCCCTATCATAGAGCAGGTTTGAATCACTCCTTTTGTAGTATCTGGAAGTGGACATTTGGAGCGCTTTCCGGCCTCAGGTGAAAAAGGAAATATCTTCCCATAAAAACTAGACAGAAGCATTCTCAGAAACTTATTTGTGATGTGTGTCCTCAACTGACAGAGTTGAACATTTCTTTTGAGAGAGCAGTTTTGAAACACTCTTTCTGTGGAATCTGCAAGTGGATATTTGGCTGGCTTTGAGGATTTCGTTGGAAACGGGAATACATATAAAAAGCAGACAGCAGCATTCTCAGAAAGTTCTTTGTGATGATTGCATTCAAGTCACAGAATTGAACATTCCCTTTCACAGAGCAGGTTTGAAACACTCTTTTTGTAGTGTGTGTAAGTGGACATTTGGAGCACTTACCGGCCTAAGGTGAAAAAGGAAATAATCTTCCCATAAAAACTAGACAGAAGCATTCTCAGAAACTTACTCGTGATGTGTGTCCTCAACTAAAGGAGTAGAACCTTTCTTTTCATAGAGAAGTTTTGAAACGCTCTTTTTGTGGAATCTGCAAGTGGATATTTGGCTAGTTTTGAGGATTTCGTTGGAAGCGGGAATTCATACAAATTGCAGACTGCAGCGTTCTGAGAAACATCTTTGTGATGTTTGTATTCAGGACACAGAGTTGAACATTCCCTATCATAGAGCAGGTTTGAATCACTCCTTTTGTAGTATCTGGAAGTGGACATTTGGAGCGCTTTCAGGCCTATGTTGGAAAAGGAAATATCTTCCCATAACAACTAGACAGAAGCATTCTCAGAAACTTATTTGAGATGTGTGTACTCAACTAAGAGAATTGAACCACCGTTTTGAAGGAGCAGTTTTGAAACTCTCTTTTTCTGGAATCTGCAAGTGGATATTTGGCTAGCTTTGGGGATTTCGCTGGAAGCGGGAATACATATAAAAAGCACACAGCAGCGTTCTGAGAAACTGCTTTCTGATGTTTGCATTCAAGTCAAAAGTTGAACACTCCCTTTCATAGAGCAGTCTTGAAACACCCCTTTTGTAGTATCTGGAACTGGACTTTTGGAGCGATTTCAGGGCTAAGGTGAAAAAGGAAATATCTTCCCATAAAAACTGGACAGAAGCATTCTCAGAAACTTGTTTATGCTGTATCTACTCAACTAACAAAGTTGAACCTTTCTTTTGATAGAGCAGTTTTGAAATGGTCTTTTTGTGGAATCTGCAAGTGGATATTTGGCTAGTTTTGAGGATTTCGTTGGAAGCGGGAATTCATACAAATTGCAGACTGCAGCGTTCTGAGAAACATCTTTGTGATGTTTGTATTCAGGACACAGAGTTGAACATTCCCTATCATAGAGCAGGTTGGAATCACTCCTTTTGTAGTATCTGGAAGTGGACATTTGGAGCGCTTTCAGGCCTATGTTGGAAAGGGAAATATCTTCCCGTAACAACTATGCAGAAGCATTCTCAGAAACTTGTTGGTGATGTGTTTCCTCTACTGACAGAGTTGAACCTTTCTTTTCATAGAGCAGTTTCGAAACACTCTTTTTGTAGAATCTGCAAGAGGATATTTGCATAGCTCTGAGGATTTCGTGGGAAACGGGATTGTCTTCAGGTAAAATCTAGACAGAAGCATTCTTAGAAACTTCTTCGGGATGTTTGCATTCAAGTCACAGAGTAGAACATTCCCTTCGGTAGAGCAGGTTTGAAACACTCTTTTTGTCGTATCTGGAAGTGGACATTTGTTGCGCTTTCAGGCCTATGTTGGAAAGGGAAATATCTTCCCGTAACAACTAGGCAGAAGCATTCTCAGAAACTTATTTGAGATGTGTGTACTCAACTAAGAGAATTGAACCACCGTTTTGAAGGAGCAGTTTGGAAACACTCTTTTTCTGGAATCTGCAAGAGGATATTTGCCTAGCTTTGAGGATTTCGTTGGAAAAGGGATTGTCTTCAGATCAAATCTAGACAGAAGCATTCTCAGAAACTTCTTTGGGATGTTTGCATTCAAGTCACAGAGTAGAACATTCCTTTGGTAGAGCAGGTTTGAAACACTCTTTTTTTAGTATATGGAAGTGGACATTTGGAGCGCTTTCAGGCCTACGTTGGAAAAGGAAATATCTTCCCATAACAACTAGACGGAAGCATTCTCAGAAACTAGTTTCTGATGTGTGTCCTCAACTAACACAGTTGAACATTTCTTTAGACAGAACAGTTTTGAAACACTCTTTTTGTGGAATCTGCAAGTGGATATTTGGCTAGATTTGAGGATTTCGTTGGAAACGGGATTACATATAAAAAGCAGACAGCAGCATTCTCAGAAACTTCTTTGTGATGATTGCATTCAAGTCACAGAATTGAACATTCCCTTTCACAGAGCAGGTTTGAAACACTCTTTTTGTAGTGTGTGTAAGTGGACATTTGGAGCGCTTTTCGGCCTAAGGTGAACAAGGAAATACCTTCCCATAAAAACTAGACAGAAGCATTCTCAGAAACTTACTCGTGATGTGTGTCCTCAACTAAAGGAGTAGAACCTTTCTTTTCATAGAGAAGTTTTGAAACGCTCTTTTTGTGGACTCTGCAAGTGGATGTTTGGCTAGGTTTGAGGATTTCGTTGGAAGCGGGAATTCATACAAATTGCAGACTGCAGCGTTCTGAGAAACATCTTTGTGATGTTTGTATTCAGGACACAGAGTTGAACATTCCCTATCATAGAGCAGGTTGGAATCACTCCTTTTGTAGTATCTGGAAGTGGACATTTGGAGCGCTTTCAGGCCTATGTTGAAAAAGGAAATATCTTCCCATAACAACTAGACAGAAGCATTCTCAGAAACTTGTTTGTGATGTGTGCCCTCTACTGACACAGTTGAACCTTTCTTTTCATAGAGCACTTACGAAACACTCTTTTTGTAGAATCTGCAAGAGGATATTTGCATAGCTTTGAGGATTTCGTGGGAAACGGGATTGTCTTCATGTAAAATCTAGACAGAAGCGTTCTGAGAAACTGCTTTCTGATGTTTGCATTCAAGTCAAAAGTTGAACACTCCCTTTCATAGAGCAGTCCTGAAACACCCCTTTTGTAGTATCTGGAACTGGACTTTTGGAGCGATTTCAGGGCTAAGGTGAAAAAGGAAATATCTTCCCATAAAAACTGGACAGAAGCATTCTCAGAAACTTGTTTATGCTGTATCTACTCAACTAACAAAGTTGAACCTTTCTTTTGATAGAGCAGTTTTGAAATGGTCTTTTTGTGGAATCTGCAAGTGGATATTTGGCTAGTTTTGAGGATTTCGTTGGAAGCGGGAATTCATACAAATTGCAGACTGCAGCGTTCTGAGAAACATCTTTGTGATGTTTGTATTCAGGACACAGAGTTGAACATTCCCTATCATAGAGCAGGTTGGGATCACTCCTTTTGTAGTATCTGGAAGTGGACATTTGGAGCGCTTTCAGGCCTATGTTGAAAAAGGAAAAATCTTCCCATAACAACTAGACAGAAGCATTCTCAGAAACTTGTTGGTGATGTGTTTCCTCTACTGACAGAGTTGAACCTTTCTTTTCATAGAGCAGTTTCGAAACACTCTTTTTGTAGAATCTGCAAGAGGATATTTGCATAGCTCTGAGGATTTCGTGGGAAACGGGATTGTCTTCAGGTAAAACCTAGACAGAAGCATTCTCAGAAACTTCTTCGGGATGTTTGCATTCAAGTCACAGAGTAGAACATTCCCTTTGGTAGAGCAGGTTTGAAACACTCTTTTTGTAGTATCTGGAAGTGGACATTTGTTGCGCTTTCAGGCCTATGTTGGAAACGGAAATATCTTCCCGTAACAACTAGGCAGAAGCATTCTCAGAAACTTATTTGAGATATGTGTACTCAACTAAGAGAATTGAACCACCGTTTTGAAGGAGCAGTTTGGAAACACTCTTTTTCTGGAATCTGCAAGAGGATATTTGCCTAGCTTTGAGGATTTCGTTGGAAAAGGGATTGTCTTCAGATCAAATCTAGACAGAAGCATTCTCAGAAACTTCTTTGGGATGCTTGCATTCAAGTCACAGAGTAGAACATTCCCTTTGGTAGAGCAGGTTTGAAACACTCTTTTTGTAGTATCTGGAAGTGGACATTTGGAGCGCTTTCAGGCCTACGTTGGAAAAGGAAATATCTTCCCATAACAACTAGACAGAAGCATTCTCAGAAACTAGTTTCTGATGTGTGTCCTCAACTAACACAGTTGAACATTTCTTTAGACAGAACAGTTTTGAAACACTCTTTTTGTGGAATCTGCAAGTGGCTATTTGGCTAGATTTGAGGATTTCGTTGGAAACGGGATTACATATAAAAAGCAGTCAGCGGCATTCTCAGAAAGTTCTTTGTGATGATTGCATTCAAGTCACAGAATTGAACATTCCCTTTCACAGAGCAGGTTTGAAACACTCTTTTTGTAGTGTGTGTAAGTGGACATTTGGAGCACTTACCGGCCTAAGGTGAAAAAGGAAATATCTTCCCATAAAAACTAGACAGAAGCATTCTCAGAAACTTACTCGTGATGTGTGTCCTCAACTAAAGGAGTAGAACCTTTCTTTTCATAGAGAAGTTTTGAAACGCTCTTTTTGTGGAATCTGCAAGTGGATATTTGGCTAGTTTTGAGGATTTCGTTGGAAGCGGGAATTCATACAAATTGCAGACTGCAGCGTTCTGAGAAACATCTTTGTGATGTTTGTATTCAGGACACAGAGTTGAACATTCCCTATCATAGAGCAGGTTTGAATCACTCCTTTTGTAGTATCTGGAAGTGGACATTTGGAGCGCTTTCAGGCCTATGTTAGAAAAGGAAATATCTTCCCATAACAACTAGACAGAAGCATTCTCAGAAACTTATTTGAGATGTGTGTACTCAACTAAGAGAATTGAACCACCGTTTTGAAGGAGCAGTTTTGAAACACTCTTTTTCTGGAATCTGCAAGTGGATATTTGGCTAGCTTTGGGGATTTCGCTGGAAGCGGGAATACATATAAAAAGCACACAGCAGCGTTCTGAGAAACTGCTTTCTGATGTTTGCATTCAAGTCAAAAGTTGAACACTCCCTTTCATAGAGCAGTCCTGAAACACTCCTTTTGTAGTATCTGGAACTGGACTTTTGGAGCGCTTTCAGGGCTAAGGTGAAAAAGGAAATATCTTCCCATAAAAACTGGACAGAAGCATTCTCAGAAACTTGTTTATGCTGTATCTACTCAACTAACAAAGTTGAACCTTTCTTTTGATAGAGCAGTTTTGAAATGGTCTTTTTGTGGAATCTGCAAGTGGATATTTGGCTAGTTTTGAGGATTTCGTTGGAAGCGGGAATTCATACAAATTGCAGACTGCAGCGTTCTGAGAAACATCTTTGTGATGTTTGTATTCAGGACACAGAGTTGAACATTCCCTATCATAGAGCAGGTTGGAATCACTCCTTTTGTAGTATCTGGAAGTGGACATTTGGAGCGCTTTCAGGCCTATTTTGGAAAGGGAAATATCTTCCCGTAACAACTATGCAGAAGCATTCTCAGAAACTTGTTTGTGATGTGTGCCCTCTACTGACAGAGTTGAACCTTTCTTTTCATAGAGCAGTTTTGAAACACTCTTTTTGTAGAATCTGCAAGAGGATATTTGCATAGCTTTGAGGATTTCGTGGGAAACGGGATTGTCTTCAGGTAAAATCTAGACAGAAGCATTCTCAGAAACTTCTTTGGGATGTTTGCATTCAAGTCACAGAGTAGAACATTCCCTTTGGTAGAGCAGGTTTGAAACACTCTTTTTGTAGTATCTGGAAGTGGACATTTGGAGCGCTTTCAGGCCTACGTTGGAAAAGGAAATATCTTCCCATAACAACTAGACAGAAGCATTCTCAGAAACTAGTTTCTGATGTGTGTCCTCAACTAACACAGTTGTACATTTCTTTAGACAGAACAGTTTTGAAACACTCTTTTTGTGGAATCTGCAAGTGGATATTGGGCTAGATTTGAGGATTTCGTTGGAAACGGGATTACATATAAAAAGCAGTCAGCAGCATTCTCAGAAAGTTCTTTGTGATGATTGCATTCAAGTCACAGAATTGAACATTCCCTTTCACAGAGCAGGTTTGAAACACTCTTTTTGTAGTGTGTGTAAGTGGACATTTGGAGCGCTTTCCGGCCTAAGGTGAAAAAGGACATATCTTCCCATAAAAACTAGACAGAAGCATTCTCAGAAACTTACTCGTGATGTGTGTCCTCAACTAAAGGAGTAGAACCTTTCTATTCATAGAGAAGTTTTGAAACGCTCTTTTTGTGGAATCTCCAAGTGGATATTTGGTTAGTTTTGAGGATTTCGTTGGAAGCGGGAATTCATACAAATTGCAGACTGCAGCGTTCTGAGAAACATCTTTGTGATGTTTGTATTCAGGACACAGAGTTGAACATTCCCTATCATAGAGCAGGTTTGAATCACTCCTTTTCTAGTATCTGGAAGTGGACATTTGGAGCGCTTTCAGGCCTATGTTGGAAAAGGAAATATCTTCCCATAACAAATAGACAGAAGCATTCTCAGAAACTTATTTGAGATGTGTGTACTCAACTAAGAGAATTGAACCACCGTTTTGAAGGAGCAGTTTTGAAACACTCTTTTCCTGGAATCTGCAAGTGGATATTTGGCTAGCTTTGGGGATTTCGCTGGAAGCGGGAATACATATAAAAAGCACACAGCAGCGTTCTGAGAAACTGCTTTCTGATGTTTGCATTCAAGTCAAAAGTTGAACACTCCCTTTCATAGAGCAGTCCTGAAACACTCCTTTTGTAGTATCTGGAACTGGACTTTTGGAGCGCTTTCAGGGCTAAGGTGAAAAAGGAAATATCTTCCCATAAAAACTGGACAGAAGCATTCTCAGAAACTTGTTTATGCTGTATCTACTCAACTAACAAAGTTGAACCTTTCTTTTGATAGAGCAGTTTTGAAATGCTCTTTTTGTGGAATCTGCAAGTGGATATTTGGCTAGTTTTGAGGATTTCGTTGGAAGCGGGAATTCATACAAATTGCAGACTGCAGCGTTCTGAGAAACATCTTTGTGATGTTTGTATTCAGGACACAGAGTTGAACATTCCCTATCATAGAGCAGGTTGGAATCACTCCTTTTGTAGTATCTGGAAGTGGACATTTGGAGCGCTTTCAGGCCTATTTTGGAAAGGGAAATATCTTCCCGTAACAACTATGCAGAAGCATTCTCAGAAACTTGTTTGTGATGTGTGCCCTCTACTGACACAGTTGAACCTTTCTTTTCATAGAGCAGTTTCGAAACACTCTTTTTGTAGAATCTGCAAGAGGATATTTGCATAGCTTTGAGGATTTCGTGGGAAACGGGATTGTCTTCAGATAAAATCTAGACAGAAGCATTCTCAGAAACTTCTTTGGGATGTTTGCATTCAAGTCACAGAGTAGAACATTCCCTTTGGTAGAGCAGGTTTGAAACACTCTTTTTGTAGTGTGTGTAAGTGGACATTTGGAGCGCTTTCAGGCCTACGTTGGAAAAGGAAATATCTTCCCATAACAACTAGACAGAAGCATTCTCAGAAACTAGTTTCTGATGTGTGTCCTCAACTAACACAGTTGAACATTTCTTTAGACAGAACAGTTTTGAAACACTCTTTTTGTGGAATCTGCAAGTGGATATTTGGCTAGATTTGAGGATATCGTTGGAAACGGGATTACATATAAAAAGCAGACAGCAGCATTCTCAGAAACTTCTTTGTGATGATTGCATTCAAGTCACAGAATTGAACATTCCCTTTCACAGAGCAGGTTTGAAACACTCTTTTTGTAGTGTGTGTAAGTGGACATTTGGAGCGCTTTTCGGCCTAAGGTGAACAAGGAAATATCTTCCCATAAAAACTAGACAGAAGCATTCTCAGAAACTTACTCGTGATGTGTGTCCTCAACTAAAGGAGTAGAACCCTTCTTTTCATAGAGAAGTTTTGAAACGCTCTTTTTGTGGACTCTGCAAGTGGATATTTGGCTAGTTTGGAGGATTTCGTTGGAAGCGGGAATTCATACAAATTGCAGACTGCAGCGTTCTGAGAAACATCTTTGTGATGTTTGTATTCAGGACACAGAGTTGAACATTCCCTATCATAGAGCAGGTTGGAATCACTCCTTTTGTAGTATCTGGAAGTGGACATTTGGAGCGCTTTCAGGCCTATGTTGGAAAAGGAAATATCTTCCCATAACAACTAGACAGAAGCATTCTCAGAAACTTATTTGAGATGTGTGTACTCAACTAAGAGAATTGAACCACCGTTTTGAAGGAGCAGTTTTGAAACTCTCTTTTTCTGGAATCTGCAAGTGGATATTTGGCTGGCTTTGGGGATTTCGCTGGAAGCGGGAATACATATAAAAAGCACACAGCAGCGTTCTGAGAAACTGCTTTCTGATGTTTGCATTCAAGTCAAAAGTTGAACACTCCCTTTCATAGAGCAGTCTTGAAACACCCCTTTTGTAGTATCTGGAACTGGACTTTTGGAGCGATTTCAGGGCTAAGGTGAAAAAGGAAATATCTTCCCATAAAAACTGGACAGAAGCATTCTCAGAAACTTGGTTATGCTGTATCTACTCAACTAACAAAGTTGAACCTTTCTTTTGATAGAGCAGTTTTGAAATGGTCTTTTTGTGGAATCTGCAAGTGGATATTTGGCTAGTTTTGAGGATTTCGTTGGAAGCGGGAATTCATACAAATTGCAGACTGCAGCGTTCTGAGAAACATCTTTGTGATGTTTGTATTCAGGACACAGAGTTGAACATTCCCTATCATAGAGCAGGTTGGAATCACTCCTTTTGTAGTATCTGGAAGTGGACATTTGGAGCGCTTTCAGGCCTATTTTGGAAAGGGAAATATCTTCCCGTAACAACTATGCAGAAGTATTCTCAGAAACTTGTTTGTGATGTGTGCCCTCTACTGACAGAGTTGAACCTTTCTTTTCATAGAGCAGTTTTGAAACACCCTTTTTGTAGAATCTGCAAGAGGATATTTGCATAGCTTTGAGGATTTCGTGGGAAACGGGATTGTCTTCAGGTAAAATCTAGACAGAAGCATTCTCAGAAACTTCTTTGGGATGTTTGCATTCAAGTCACAGAGTAGAACATTCCCTTTGGTAGAGCAGGTTTGAAACACTCTTTTTGTAGTATCTGGAAGTGGACATTTGGAGCGCTTTCAGGCCTATGTTGGAAAGGGAAATATCTTCCCGTAACAACTAGGCAGAAGCATTCTCAGAAACTTATTTGAGATGTGTGTACTCAACTAAGAGAATTGAACCACCGTTTTGAAGGAGCAGTTTTGAAACCCTCTTTTTCTTGGAATCTGCAAGAGTATATTTGCCTAGCCTTGAGGATTTTGTTGGAAACGGGATTGTCTTCAGATAAAATCTAGACAGAAGCATTCTCAGAAACTTCTTTGGGATGTTTGCATTCAAGTCACAGAGTAGAACATTCCCTTTGGTAGAGCAGGTTTGAAACACTCTTTTTTTAGTATATGGAAGTGGACATTTGCAGCGCTTTCAGCCCACGTTGGAAAAGGAAATATCTTCCCATAACAACTAGACAGAAGCATTCTCAGAAACTAGTTTCTGATGTGTGTCCTCAACTAACACAGTTGTACATTTCTTTAGACAGAACAGTTTTGAAACACTCTTTTTGTGGAATCTGCAAGTGGATATTTGGCTAGATTTGAGGATTTCGTTGGAAACGGGATTACATATAAAAAGCAGACAGCAGCATTCTCAGAAAGTTCTTTGTGATGATTGCATTCAAGTCACAGAATTGAACATTCCCTTTCACAGAGCAGGTTTGAAACACTCTTTTTGTAGTGTGTGTAAGTGGACATTTGGAGCGCTTTCTGGCCTAAGGTGAAAAAGGAAATATCTTCCCATAAAAACTAGACAGAAGCATTCTCAGAAACTTACTCGTGATGTGTGTCCTCAACTAAAGGAGTAGAACCTTTCTTTTCATAGAGAAGTTTTGAAACGCTCTTTTTGTGGAATCTGCAAGTGGATATTTGCCTAGTTTTGAGGATTTCGTTGGAAGCGGGAATTCATACAAATTGCAGACTGCAGCGTTCTGAAAAACATCTTTGTGATGTTTGTATTCAGGACACAGAGATGAACATTCCCTATCATAGAGCAGGTTGGAATCACTCCTTTTGTAGTATCTGGGACATTTGGAGCGCTTTCAGGCCTATGTTGAAAAAGGAAATATCTTCCCATAACAACTAGACACAAGCATTCTCAGAAACTTATTTGAGATGTGTGTACTCAACTAAGAGAATTGAACCACCGTTTTGAAGGAGCAGTTTTGAAACACTCTTTTTCTGGAATCTGCAAGTGGATATTTGGCTAGCTTTGGGGATTTCGCTGGAAGCGGGAATACATATAAAAAGCACACAGCCAGCGTTCTGAGCAAACTGCTTTCTGATGTTTGCATTCAAGTCAAAAGTTGAACACTCCCTTTCATAGAGCAGTCTTGAAACACCCCTTTTGTAGTATCTGGAACTGGACTTTTGGAGCGATTTCAGGGCTAAGGTGAAAAAGGAAATATCTTCCCATAAAAACTGGACAGAAGCATTCTCAGAAACTTGGTTATGCTGTATCTACTCAACTAACAAAGTTGAACCTTTCTTTTGATAGAGCAGTTTTGAAATGGTCTTTTTGTGGAATCTGCAAGTGGATATTTGGCTAGTTTTGAGGATTTCGTTGGAAGCGGGAATTCATACAAATTGCAGACTGCAGCGTTCTGAGAAACATCTTTGTGATGTTTGTATTCAGGACACAGAGTTGAACATTCCCTATCATAGAGCAGGTTGGAATCACTCCTTTTGTAGTATCTGGAAGTGGACATTTGGAGCGCTTTCAGGCCTATTTTGGAAAGGGAAATATCTTCCCGTAACAACTATGCAGAAGTATTCTCAGAAACTTGTTTGTGATGTGTGCCCTCTACTGACAGAGTTGAACCTTTCTTTTCATAGAGCAGTTTTGAAACACTCTTTTTGTAGAATCTGCAAGAGGATATTTGTATAGCTTTGAGGATTTCGTGGGAAACGGGATTGTCTTCAGGTAAAATCTAGACAGAAGCATTCTCAGAAACTTCTTTGGGATGTTTGCATTCAAGTCACAGAGTAGAACATTCCCTTTGGTAGAGCAGGTTTCAAACACTCTTTTTGTAGTATCTGGAAGTGGACATTTGAAGCGCTTTCAGGCCTATGTTGGAAAGGGAAATATCTTCCCGTAACAACTAGGCAGAAGCATTCTCAGAAACTTATTTGAGATGTGTGTACTCAACTAAGAGAATTGAACCACCGTTTTGAAGGCGCAGTTTTGAAACACTCTTTTTCTGGAATCTGCAAGAGTATATTTGCCTAGCCTTGAGGATTTCGTTGGAAACGGGATTGTCTTCAGATAAAATCTAGACAGAAGCATTCTCAGAAACTTCTTTGGGATGTTTGCATTCAAGTCACAGAGTAGAACATTCCCTTTGGTAGAGCAGGTTTGAAACACTCTTTTTTTAGTATATGGAAGTGGACATTTGGAGCGCTTTCAGGCCTACGTTGGAAAAGGAAATATCTTCCCATAACAACTAGACAGAAGCATTCTCAGAAACTAGTTTCTGATGTGTGTCCTCAGCTAACACAGTTGAACTTTTCTTTAGGACAGAACAGTTTTGAAACACTCTTTTTGTGGAATCTGCAAGTGGATATTTGGCTAGATTTGAGGATTTCGTTGGAAACGGGATTACATATAAAAAGCAGACAGCAGCATTCTCAGAAACTTCTTTGTGATGATTGCATTCAAGTCACAGAATTGAACATTCCCTTCCACAGAGCAGGTTTGAAACACTCTTTTTGTAGTGTGTGTAAGTGGACATTTGGAGCGCTTTCCGGCCTAAGGTGAACAAGGAAATATCTTCCCATAAAAACTAGACAGAAGCATTCTCAGAAACTTACTCGTGATGTGTGTCCTCAACTAAAGGAGTAGAACCTTTCTTTTCATAGAGAAGTTTTGAAACGCTCTTTTTGTGGAATCTGCAAGTGGATATTTGGCTAGTTTTGAGGATTTCGTTGGAAGCGGGAATTCATACAAATTGCAGACTGCAGCGTTCTGAGAAACTGCTTTCTGATGTTTGCATTCAAGTCAAAAGTTGAACACTCCCTTTCATAGAGCAGTCTTGAAACACCCCTTTTGTAGTATCTGGAACTGGACTTTTGGAGCGCTTTCAGGGCTAAGGTGAAAAAGGAAATATCTTCCCATAAAAACGGACAGAAGCATTCTCAGAAACTTATTTGAGATGTGTGTACTCAACTAAGAGAATTGAACCACCGTTTTGAAGGAGCAGTTTTGAAACACTCTTTTTCTGGAATCTGCAAGTGGATATTTGGCGAGCTTTGGGGATTTCGCTGGAAGCGGGAATACATATAAAAAGCACACAGCAGCGTTCTGAGAAACTGCTTTCTGATGTTTGCATTCAAGTCAAAAGTTGAACACTCCCTTTCATAGAGCAGTCCTGAAACACTCCTTTTGTAGTGTCTGGAACTGGACTTTTGGAGCGCTTTCAGGGCTAAGGTGAAAAAGGAAATATCTTCCCATAAAAACTGGACAGAAGCATTCTCAGAAACTTGTTTATGCTGTATCTACTCAACTAACAAAGTTGAACCTTTCTTTTGATAGAGCAGTTTTGAAATGCTCTTTTTGTGGAATCTGCAAGTGGATATTTGGCTAGTTTTGAGGATTTCGTTGGAAGCGGGAATTCATACAAATTGCAGACTGCAGCGTTCTGAGAAACATCTTTGTGATGTTTGTATTCAGGACAGAGAGTTGAACATTCCCTATCATAGAGCAGGTTGGAATCACTCCTTTTGTAGTATCTGGAAGTGGACATTTGGAGCGCTTACAGGCCTATGTTGAAAAAGGAAATATCTTCCCATAACAACTAGACACAAGCATTCTCAGAAACTTGTTTGTGATGTGTGCCCTCTACTGACAGAGTTGAACCTTTCTTTTCATAGAGCAGTTTTGAAACACTCTTTTTGTAGAATCTGCAAGAGGATATTTGCATAGCTTTGAGGATTTCGTGGGAAACGGGATTGTCTTCAGGTAAAATCTAGACAGAAGCATTCTCAGAAACTTCTTTGGGATGTTTGCATTCAAGTCACAGAGTAGAACATTCCCTTTGGTAGAGTAGGTTTGAAACACTCTTTTTGTAGTATCTGGAAGTGGACATTTGGAGCGCTTTCAGGCCCATGTTGGAAAGGGAAATATCTTCCCGTAACAACTAGGCAGAAGCATTCTCAGAAACTTATTTGAGATGTGTGTACTCAACTAAGAGAATTGAAAACCGTTTTGAAGGAGCAGTTTTAAAACACTCTTTTTCTGGAATCTGAAAGAGTATATTTGCCTAGCCTTGAGGATTTCGTTGGAAACGGGATTGTCTTCAGATAAAATCTAGACAGAAGCATTCTCAGAAACTTCTTTGGGATGTTTGCATTCAAGTCACAGAGTAGAACATTCCCTTTGGTAGAGCAGGTTTGAAACACTCTTTTTGTAGTATCTGGAAGTGGACATTTGGAGCGCTTTCAGGCCTACGTTGGAAAAGGAAATATCTTCCCATAACAACTAGACAGAAGCATTCTCAGAAACTAGTTTCTGATGTGTGTCCTCAACTAACACAGTTGAACATTTCTTTAGACAGAACAGTTTTGAAACACTCTTTTTGTGGAATCTGCAAGTGGCTATTTGGCTAGATTTGAGGATTTCGTTGGAAACGGGATTACATATAAAAAGCAGTCAGCAGCATTCTCAGAAAGTTCTTTGTGATGATTGCATTCAAGTCACAGAATTCAACATTCCCTTTCACAGAGCAGGTTTGAAACACTCTTTTTGTAGTGTGTGTAAGTGGACATTTGGAGCACTTACCGGCCTAAGGTGAAAAAGGAAATATCTTCCCATAAAAACTAGACAGAAGCATTCTCAGAAACTTACTCGTGATGTGTGTCCTCAACTAAAGGAGTAGAACCTTTCTTTTCATAGAGAAGTTTTGAAACGCTCTTTTTGTGGAATCTGCAAGTGGATATTTGGCTAGTTTTGAGGATTTCGTTGGAAGCGGGAATTCATACAAATTGCAGACTGCAGCGTTCTGAGAAACTGCTTTCTGATGTTTGCATTCAAGTCAAAAGTTGAACACTCCCTTTCATAGAGCAGTCTTGAAACACCCCTTTTGTAGTATCTGGAACTGGACTTTTGGAGCGATTTCAGGGCTAAGGTGAAAAAGGAAATATCTTCCCATAAAAACTGGACAGAAGCATTCTCAGAAACTTGTTTATGCTGTATCTACTCAACTAACAAAGTTGAACCTTTCTTTTGATAGAGCAGTTTTGAAATGGTCTTTTTGTGGAATCTGCAAGTGGATATTTGGCTAGTTTTGAGGATTTCGTTGGAAGCGGGAATTCATACAAATTGCAGACTGCAGCGTTCTGAGAAACATCTTTGTGATGTTTGTATTCAGGACACAGAGTTGAACATTCCCTATCATAGAGCAGGTTGGAATCACTCCTTTTGTAGTATCTGGAAGTGGACATTTGGAGCGCTTTCAGGCCTATGTTGGAAAAGGAAATATCTTCCCATAACAACTAGACAGAAGCATTCTTAGAAACTTGTTTGTGATGTGTGCCCTCTACTGACAGAGTTGAACCTTTCTTTTCATAGAGCAGTTTTGAAACACTCTTTTTGTAGAATCCGCAAGAGGATATTTGCATAACTTTGAGGATTTCGTGGGAAACGGGATTGTCTTCAGGTAAAATCTAGACAGAAGCATTCTCAGAAACTTTTTTGGGATGTTTGCATTCAAGTCACAGAGTAGAACATTCCCTTTGGTAGAGCAGGTTTGAAACACTCTTTTTGTAGTATCTGGAAGTGGACATTTGGAGCACTATCAGGCCCATGTTGGAAAGGGAAATATCTTCCCGTAACAACTAGGCAGAAGCATTCTCAGAAACTTATTTGAGATGTGTGTACTCAACTAAGAGAATTGAACCACCGTTTTGAAGGAGCAGTTTTGAAACCCTCTTTTTCTGGAATCTGCAAGAGTATATTTGCCTAGCCTTGAGGATTTCGTTGGAAACGGGATTGTCTTCAGATAAAATCTAGACAGAAGCATTCTCAGAAACTTCTTTGGGATGTTTGCATTCAAGTCACAGAGTAGAACATTCCCTTTGGTAGAGCAGGTTTGAAACACTCTTTTTTTAGTATATGGAAGTGGACATTTGGAGCGCTTTCAGGCCTACGTTGGAAAAGGAAATATCTTCCCATAACAACTAGACAGAAGCATTCTCAGTAAACTAGTTTCTGATGTGTGTCCTCAACTAACACAGTTGTACATTTCTTTAGACAGAACAGTTTTGAAACACTCTTTTTGTGGAATCTGCAAGTGGCTATTTGGCTAGATTTGAGGATTTCGTTGGAAACGGGATTACATATAAAAAGCAGACAGCAGCATTCTCAGAAAGTTCTTTGTGATGATTGCATTCAAGTCACAGAATTGAACATTCCCTTTCACAGAGCAGGTTTGAAACACTCTTTTTGTAGTGTGTGTAAGTGGACATTTGGAGCACTTTCTGGCCTAAGGTGAAAAAGGAAATATCTTCCCATAAAAACTAGACAGAAGCATTCTCAGAAACTTACTCGTGATGTGTGTCCTCAACTAAAGGAGTAGAACCTTTCTATTCATAGAGAAGTTTTGAAACGCTCTTTTTGTGGAATCTCCAAGTGGATATTTGGCTAGTGTTGAGGATTTCGTTGGAAGCGGGAATTCATACAAATTGCAGACTGCAGCGTTCTGAGAAACTGCTTTCTGATGTTTGCATTCAAGTCAAAAGTTGAACACTCCCTTTCATAGAGCAGTCTTGAAACACCCCTTTTGTAGTATCTGGAACTGGACTTTTGGAGCGATTTCAGGGCTAAGGTGAAAAAGGAAATATCTTCCCATAAAAACTGGACAGAAGCATTCTCAGAAACTTGTTTATGCTGTATCTACTCAACTAACAAAGTTGAACCTTTCTTTTGATAGAGCAGTTTTGAAATGCTCTTTTTGTGGAATCTGCAAGTGGATATTTGGCTAGTTTTGAGGATTTCGTTGGAAGCGGGAATTCATACAAATTGCAGACTGCAGCGTTCTGAGAAACATCTTTGTGATGTTTGTATTCAGGACACAGAGTTGAACATTCCCTATCATAGAGCAGGTTGGAATCACTCCTTTTGTAGTATCTGGAAGTGGACATTTGGAGCGCTTTCAGGCCTATGTTGAAAAAGGAAATATCTTCCCATAACAAGTAGACACAAGCATTCTCAGAAACTTGTTTGTGATGTGTGCCCTCTACTGACAGAGTTGAACCTTTCTTTTCATAGAGCAGTTTTGAAACACTCTTTTTGTAGAATCCGCAAGAGGATATTTGCATAGCTTTGAGGATTTCGTGGGAAACGGGATTGTCTTCAGGTAAAATCTAGACAGAAGCATTCTCAGAAACTTCTTTGGGGATGTTTGCATTCAAGTCACAGAGTAGAACATTCCCTTTGGTAGAGCAGGTTTGAAACACTCTTTTTGTAGTATCTGGAAGTGGACATTTGGAGCGCTTTCAGGCCCATGTTGGAAAGGGAAATATCTTCCCGTAACAACTAGGCAGAAGCATTCTCAGAAACTTATTTGAGATGTGTGTACTCAACTAAGAGAATTGAACCACCGTTTTGAAGGAGCAGTTTTGAAACACTCTTTTTCTGGAATCTGCTAGAGGATATTTGCCTAGCCTTGAGGATTTCGTTGGAAACGGGATTGTCTTCAGATCAAATCTAGACAGAAGCATTCTCAGAAACTTCTTTGGGATGTCTGCATTCAACTCACAGAGTAGAACATTCCCTTTGGTAGAGCAGGTTTGAAACACTCTTTTTTTCGTATATGGAAGTGGACATTTGGAGCGCTTTCAGGCCTACGTTGGAAAAGGAAATATCTTCCCATAACAACTAGACAGAAGCATTCTCAGAAACTAGTTTCTGATGTGTGTCCTCAACTAACACAGTTGAACATTTCTTTAGACAGAACAGTTTTGAAACACTCTTTTTGTGGAATCTGCAAGTGGCTATTTGGCTAGATTTGAGGATTTCGTTGGAAACGGGATTACATATAAAAAGCAGACAGCAGCATTCTCAGAAAGTTCTTTGTGATGATTGCATTCAAGTCACAGAATTGAACATTCCCTTTCACAGAGCAGGTTTGAAACACTCTTTTTGTAGTGTGTGTAAGTGGACATTTTGAGCACTTTCCGGCCTAAGGTGATAAAGGAAATATCTTCCCATAAAAACTAGACAGAAGCATTCTCAGAAACTTACTCGTGATGTGTGTCCTCAACTAAAGGAGTAGAACCTTCCTTTTCATAGAGAAGTTTTGAAACGCTCTTTTTGTGGAATCTGCAAGTGGATATTTGGCTAGTTTTGAGGATTTCGTTGGAAGCGGGAATTCATACAAATTGCAGACTGCAGCGTTCTGAGAAACTGCTTTCTGATGTTTGCATTCAAGTCAAAAGTTGAACACTCCCTTTCATAGAGCAGTCTTGAAACACCCCTTTTCTAGTATCTGGAACTGGACATTTGGAGCGCTTTCAGGGCTAAGGTGAAAAAGGAAATATCTTCCCATAAAAACTGGACAGAAGCATTCTCAGAAACTTATTTGAGATGTGTGTACTCAACTAAGAGAATTGAACCACCGTTTTGAAGGAGCAGTTTTGAAACTCTCTTTTTCTGGAATCTGCAAGTGGATATTTGGCTAGCTTTGGGGATTTCGCTGGAAGCGGGAATACATATAAAAAGCACACAGCAGCGTTCTGAGAAACTGCTTTCTGATGTTTGCATTCAAGTCAAAAGTTGAACACTCCCTTTCATAGAGCAGTCTTGAAACACCCCTTTTGTAGTATCTGGAACTGGACTTTTGGAGCGATTTCAGGGCTAAGGTGAAAAAGGAAATATCTTCCCATAAAAACTGGACAGAAGCATTCTCAGAAACTTGTTTATGCTGTATCTACTCAACTAACAAAGTTGAACCTTTCTTTTGATAGAGCAGTTTTGAAATGGTCTTTTTGTGGAATCTGCAAGTGGATATTTGGCTAGTTTTGAGGATTTCGTTGGAAGCGGGAATTCATACAAATTGCAGACTGCAGCGTTCTGAGAAACATCTTTGTGATGTTTGTATTCAGGACAGAGAGTTGAACATTCCCTATCATAGAGCAGGTTGGAATCACTCCTTTTGTAGTATCTGGAAGTGGACATTTGGAGCGCTTTCAGGCCTATGTTGAAAAAGGAAATATCTTCCCATAACAACTAGACACAAGCATTCTCAGAAACTTGTTTGTGATGTGTGCCCTCTACTGACAGAGTTGAACCTTTCTTTTCATAGAGCAGTTTTGAAACACTCTTTTTGTAGAATCTGCAAGAGGATATTTGCATAGCTTTGAGGATTTCGTGGGAAACGGGATTGTCTTCAGGTAAAATCTAGACAGAAGCATTCTCAGAAACTTCTTTGGGATGTTTGCATTCAAGTCACAGAGTAGAACATTCCCTTTGGTAGAGCAGGTTTGAAACACTCTTTTTGTAGTATCTGGAAGTGGACATTTGGAGCGCTTTCAGGCCTATGTTGGAAAGGGAAATATCTTCCGGTAACAACTAGGCAGAAGCATTCTCAGAAACTTATTTGAGATGTGTGTACTCAACTAAGAGAATTGAACCACCGTTTTGAAGGAGCAGTTTTGAAACACTCTTTTTCTGGAATCTGCAAGAGGATATTTGCCTAGCTTTGAGGATTTCGTTGGAAACGGGATTGTGTTCAGATCAAATCTAGACAGAAGCATTCTCAGAAACTTCTTTGGGATGTTTGCATTCAAGTCACAGAGTAGAACATTCCCTTTGGTAGAGCAGGTGTGAAACACTCTTTTTTTAGTATATGGAAGTGGACATTTGGAGCGCTTTCAGGCCTACGTTGGAAAAGGAAATATCTTCCCATAACAACTAGACAGAAGCATTCTCAGAAACTAGTTTCTGATGTGTGTCCTCAACTAACACAGTTGTACATTTCTTTATACAGAACAGTTTTGAAACACTCTTTTTGTGGAATCTGCAAGTGGATATTGGGCTAGATTTGAGGATTTCGTTGGAAACGGGATTACATATAAAAAGCAGACAGCAGCATTCTCAGAAAGTTCTTTGTGATGATTGCATTCAAGTCACAGAATTGAACATTCCCTTTCACAGAGCAGGTTTGAAACACTCTTTTTGTAGTGTGTGTAAGTGGACATTTGGAGCGCTTTCCGGCCTAAGGTGAAAAAGGAAATATCTTCCCATAAAAACTAGACAGAAGCATTCTCAGAAACTTACTCGTGATGTGTGTCCTCAACTAAAGGAGTAGAACCTTTCTATTCATAGAGAAGTTTTGAAACGCTCTTTTTGTGGAATCTCCAAGTGGATATTTGGCTAGTTTTGAGGATTTCGTTGGAAGCGGGAATTCATACAAATTGCAGACTGCAGCGTTTTGAGAACCATCTTTGTGATGTTTGTATTCAAGACACAGAGATGAACATTCCCTATCATAGAGCAGGTTGGAATCACTCCTTTTGTAGTATCTGGAAGTGGACATTTGGAGCGCTTTCAGGCCTATGTTGAAAAAGGAAATATCTTCCCATAACAACTAGACACAAGCATTCTCAGAAACTTGTTTGTGATGTGTGCCCTCTACTGACAGAGTTGAACCTTTCTTTTCATAGAGCAGTTTTGAAACACTCTTTTTGTAGAATCCGCAAGAGGATATTTGCATAGCTTTGAGGATTTCGGGGGAAACGGGATTGTCTTCAGGTAAAATCTAGACAGAAGCATTCTCAGAAACTTCTTTGGGATGTTTGCATTCAAGTCACAGAGTAGAACATTCCCTTTGGTAGAGCAGGTTTGAAACACTCTTTTTGTAGTATCTGGAAGTGGACATTTGGAGCGCTTTCAGGCCCATGTTGGAAAGGGAAATATCTTCCCGTAACAACTAGGCAGAAGCATTCTCAGAAACTTATTTGAGATGTGTGTACTCAACTAAGAGAATTGAACCACCGTTTTGAAGGAGCAGTTTTGAAACACTCTTTTTCTGGAATCTGCAAGAGTATATTTGCCTAGCCTTGAGGATTTCGTTGGAAACGGGATTGTATTCAGAGAAAATCTAGACAGAAGCATTCTCAGAAACTTCTTTGGGATGCTTGCATTCAAGTCACAGAGTAGAACATTCCCTTTGGTAGAGCAGGTTTGAAACACTCTTTTTGTAGTATCTGGAAGTGGACATTTGGAGCGCTTTCAGGCCTACGTTGGAAAAGGAAATATCTTCCCATAACAACTAGACAGAAGCATTCTCAGAAACTAGTTTCTGATGTGTGTCCTCAACTAACACAGTTGAACATTTCTTTAGACAGAACAGTTTTGAAACACTCTTTTTGTGGAATCTGCAAGTGGCTATTTGGCTAGATTTGAGGATTTCGTTGGAAACGGGATTACATATAAAAAGCAGTCAGCAGCATTCTCAGAAAGTTCTTTGTGATGATTGCATTCAAGTCACAGAATTGAACATTCCCTTTCACAGAGCAGGTTTGAAACACTCTTTTTGTAGTGTGTGTAAGTGGACATTTGGAGCACTTACCGGCCTAAGGTGAAAAAGGAAATAATCTTCCCATAAAAACTAGACAGAAGCATTCTCAGAAACTTACTCGTGATGTGTGTCCTCAACTAAAGGAGTAGAACCTTTCTTTTCATAGAGAAGTTTTGAAACGCTCTTTTTGTGGAATCTGCAAGTGGATATTTGGCTAGTTTTGAGGATTTCGTTGGAAGCGGGAATTCATACAAATTGCAGACTGCAGCATTCTCAGAAACTTGTTTATGCTGTATCTACTCAACTAACAAAGTTGAACCTTTCTTTTGATAGAGCAGTTTTGAAATGCTCTTTTTGTGGAATCTGCAAGTGGATATTTGGCTAGTTTTGAGGATTTCGTTGGAAGCGGGAATTCATACAAATTGCAGACTGCAGCGTTCTGAGAAACATCTTTGTGATGTTTGTATTCAGGACACAGAGTTGAACATTCCCTATCATAGAGCAGGTTGGAATCACTCCTTTTGTAGTATCTGGAAGTGGACATTTGGAGCGCTTTCAGGCCTATTTTGGAAAGGGAAATATCTTCCCGTAACAACTATGCAGAAGCATTCTCAGAAACTTGTTTGTGATGTGTGCCCTCTACTGACAGAGTTGAACCTTTCTTTTCATAGAGCAGTTTTGAAACACTCTTTTTGTAGAATCTGCAAGAGGATATTTGCATAGCTTTGAGGATTTCGTGGGAAACGGGATTGTCTTCAGGTAAAATCTAGACAGAAGCATTCTCAGAAACTTCTTTGGGATGTTTGCATTCAAGTCACAGAGTAGAACATTCCCTTTGGTAGAGCAGGTTTGAAACACTCTTTTTATAGTATCTGGAAGTGGACATTTGGAGCGCTTTCAGGCCTATGTTGGAAAGGGAAATATCTTCCCGTAACAACTAGGCAGAAGCATTCTCAGAAACTTATTTGAGATGTGTGTACTCAACTAAGAGAATTGAACCACCGTTTTGAAGGAGCAGTTTTGAAACACTCTTTTTCTGGAATCTGCAAGAGGATATTTGCCTAGCTTTGAGGATTTCGTTGGAAACGGGATTGTGTTCAGATCAAATCTAGACAGAAGCATTCTCAGAAACTTCTTTGGGATGTTTGCATTCAAGTCACAGAGTAGAACATTCCCTTTGGTAGAGCAGGTTTGAAACACTCTTTTTTTAGTATATGGAAGTGGACATTTGGAGCGCTTTCAGGCCTACGTTGGAAAAGGAAATATTTTCCGATAACAACTAGACAGAAGCATTCTCAGAAACTAGTTTCTGATGTGTGTCCTCAACTAACACAGTTGTACATTTCTTTACACAGAACAGTTTTGAAACACTCTTTTTGTGGAATCTGCAAGTGGATATTGGGCTAGATTTGAGGATTTCGTTGGAAACGGGATTACATATAAAAAGCAGTCAGCAGCATTCTCAGAAAGTTCTTTGTGATGATTGCATTCAAGTCACAGAATTGAACATTCCCTTTCACAGAGCAGGTTTGAAACACTCTTTTTGTAGTGTGTGTAAGTGGACATTTGGAGCACTTACCGGCCTAAGGTGAAAAAGGAAATATCTTCCCATAAAAACTAGACAGAAGCATTCTCAGAAACTTACTCGTGATGTGTGTCCTCAACTAAAGGAGTAGAACCTTTGTTTTCATAGAGAAGTTTTGAAACGCTCTTTTTGTGGAATCTGCAAGTGGATATTTGTCTAGTTTTGAGGATTTCGTTGGAAGCGGGAATTCATACAAATTGCAGACTGCAGCGTTCTGAGAAACATCTTTGTGATGTTTGTATTCAGGACACAGAGTTGAACATTCCCTATCATAGAGCAGGTTGGAATCACTCCTTTTGTAGTATCTGGAAGTGGACATTTGGAGCGCTTTCAGGCCTATGTTGGAAAAGGAAATATCTTCCCATAACAACTAGACAGAAGCATTCTCAGAAACTTATTTGAGATGTGTGTACTCAACTAAGAGAATTGAACCACCGTTTTGAAGGAGCAGTTTTGAAACTCTCTTTTTCTGGAATCTGCAAGTGGATATTTGGCTAGCTTTGGGGATTTCGCTGGAAGCGGGAATACATATAAAAAGCACACAGCAGCGTTCTGAGAAACTGCTTTCTGATGTTTGCATTCAAGTCAAAAGTTGAACACTCCCTTTCATAGAGCAGTCCTGAAACACCCCTTTTGTAGTATCTGGAACTGGACTTTTGGAGCGATTTCAGGGCTAAGGTGAAAAAGGAAATATCTTCCCATAAAAACTGGACAGAAGCATTCTCAGAAACTTGTTTATGCTGTATCTACTCAACTAACAAAGTTGAACCTTTCTTTTGATAGAGCAGTTTTGAAATGGTCTTTTTGTGGAATCTGCAAGTGGATATTTGGCTAGTTTTGAGGATTTCGTTGGAAGCGGGAATTCATACAAATTGCAGACTGCAGCGTTCTGAGAAACATCTTTGTGATGTTTGTATTCAGGACACAGAGATGAACATTCCCTATCATAGAGCAGGTTGGAATCACTCCTTTTGTAGTATCTGGAAGTGGACATTTGGAGCGCTTTCAGGCCTATGTTGAAAAAGGAAATATCTTCCCATAACAACTAGACACAAGCATTCTCAGAAACTTGTTTGTGATGTGTGCCCTCTACTGACAGAGTTGAACCTTTCTTTTCATAGAGCAGTTTTGAAACACTCTTTTTGTAGAATCCGCAAGAGGATATTTGCATAGCATTGAGGATTTCGTGGGAAACGGGATTGTCTTCAGGTAAAATCTAGACAGAAGCATTCTCAGAAACTTCTTTGGGATGTTTGCATTCAAGTCACAGAGTAGAACATTCCCTTTGGTAGAGCAGGTTTGAAACACTCTTTTTGTAGTATCTGGAAGTGGACATTTGGAGCGCTTTCAGGACCATGTTGGAAAGGGAAATATCTTCCCGTAACAACTAGGCAGAAGCATTCTCGGAAACTTATTTGAGATGTGTGTACTCAACTAAGAGAATTGAACCACCCTTTTGAAGGAGCAGTTTTGAAACACTCTTTTTCTGGAATCTGCAAGAGTATATTTGCCTAGCTTTGAGGATTTCCGTTGGAAACGGGATTGTCTTCAGATCAAATCTAGACAGAAGCATTCTCAGAAACTTCTTTGGGATGTTTGCATTCAAGTCACAGAGTAGAACATTCCCTTTGGTAGAGCAGGTTTGAAACACTCTTTTTTTAGTATATGGAAGTGGACATTTGGAGCGCTTTCAGGCCTACGTTGGAAAAGGAAATATCTTCCCATAACAACTAGACAGAAGCATTCTCAGAAACTAGTTTCTGATGTGTGTCCTCAACTAACACAGTTGAACATTTCTTTAGACAGAACAGTTTTGAAACACTCTTTTTGTGGAATCTGCAAGTGGCTATTTTGCTAGATTTGAGGATTTCGTTGGAAACGGGATTGCATATAAAAAGCAGACAGCAGCATTCTCAGAAAGTTCTTTGTGATGATTGCATTCAAGTCACAGAATTGAACATTCCCTTTCACAGAGCAGGTTTGAAACACTCTTTTTGTAGTGTGTGTAAGTGGACATTTGGAGCACTTTCCGGCCTAAGGTGAACAAGGAAATATCTTCCCATAAAAACTAGACAGAAGCATTCTCAGAAACTTACTCGTGATGTGTGTCCTCAACTAAAGGAGTAGAACCTTTCTTTTCATAGAGAAGTTTTGAAACGCTCTTTTTGTGGAATCTGCAAGTGGATATTTGGCTAGTTTGGAGGATTTCGTTGGAAGCGGGAATTCATACAAATTGCAGACTGCAGCGTTCTGAGAAACATCTTTGTGATGTTTGTATTCAGGACACAGAGTTGAACATTCCCTATCATAGAGCAGGTTTGAATCACTCCTTTTGTAGTATCTGGAAGTGGACATTTGGAGCGCTTTCAGGCCTATGTTGGAAAAGGAAATATCTTCTCATAACAACTAGACAGAAGCATTCTCAGAAACTTATTTGAGATGTGTGTACTCAACTAAGAGAATTGAACCACCGTTTTGAAGGAGCAGTTTTGAAACACTCTTTTTCTGGAATCTGCAAGTGGATATTTGGCTAGCTTTGGGGATTTCGCTGGGAAGCGGGAATACATATAAAAAGCACACAGCAGCGTTCTGAGAAACTGCTTTCTGATGTTTGCATTCAAGTCAAAAGTTGAACACTCCCTTTCATAGAGCAGTCTTGAAACACCCCTTTTGTAGTATCTGGAACTGGACTTTTGGAGCGATTTCAGGGCTAAGGTGAAAAAGGAAATATCTTCCCATAAAAACTGGACAGAAGCATTCTCAGGAAACTTGGTTATGCTGTATCTACTCAACTAACAAAGTTGAACCTTTCTTTTGATAGAGCAGTTTTGAAATGGTCTTTTTGTGGAATCTGCAAGTGGATATTTGGCTAGTTTTGAGGATTTCGTTGGAAGCGGGAATTCATACAAATTGCAGACTGCCAGCGTTCTGAGAAACATCTTTGTGATGTTTGTATTCAGGACACAGAGTTGAACATTCCCTATCATAGAGCAGGTTGGAATCACTCCTTTTGTAGTATCTGGAAGTGGACATTTGGAGCGCTTTCAGGCCTATTTTGGAAAGGGAAATATCTTCCCGTAACAACTATGCAGAGCATTCTCAGAAACTTGTTTGTGATGTGTGCCCTCTACTGACAGAGTTGAACCTTTCTTTTCATAGAGCAGTTTTGAAACACTCTTTTTGTAGAATCTGCAAGAGGATATTTGCATAGCTTTGAGGATTTCGTGGGAAACGGGATTGTCTTCAGGTAAAATCTAGACAGAAGCATTCTCAGAAACTTCTTTGGGATGTTTGCATTCAAGTCACAGAGCAGAACATTCCCTTTGGTAGAGCAGGTTTGAAACACTCTTTTTGTAGTATCTGGAAGTGGACATTTGGAGTGCTTTCAGGCCTATGTTGGAAAGGGAAATATCTTCCCGTAACAACTAGGCAGAAGCATTCTCAGAAACTTATTTGAGATGTGTGTACTCAACTAAGAGAATTGAACCACCGTTTTGAAGGAGCAGTTTTGAAACACTCTTTTTCTGGAATCTGCAAGAGGATATTTGCCTAGCCTTGAGGATTTCGTTGGAAACGGGATTGTCTTCAGATCAAATCTAGACAGAAGCATTCTCAGAAACTTCTTTGGGATGTTTGCATTCAAGTCACAGAGTAGAACATTCCCTTTGGTAGAGCAGGTTTGAAACACTCTTTTTTTAGTATATGGAAGTGGACATTTGGAGCGCTTTCAGGCCTACGTTGGAAAAGGAAATATCTTCCCATAACAAGTAGACAGAAGCATTCTCAGAAACTAGTTTCTGATGTGTGTCCTCAACTAACACAGTTGAACATTTCTTTAGACAGAACAGTTTTGAAACACTCTTTTTGTGGAATCTGCAAGTGGCTATTTGGCTAGATTTGAGGATTTCGTTGGAAACGGGATTACATATAAAAAGCAGACAGCAGCATTCTCAGAAAGTTCTTTGTGATGATTGCATTCAAGTCACAGAATTGAACATTCCCTTTCACAGAACAGGTTTGAAACACTCTTTTTGTAGTGTGTGTAAGTGGACATTTGGAGCACTTTCCGGCCTAAGGTGAAAAAGGAAATATCTTCCCATAAAAACTAGACAGAAGCATTCTCAGAAACTTACTCGTGATGTGTGTCCTCAACTAAAGGAGTAGAACCTTTCTTTTCATAGAGAAGTTTTGAAACGCTCTTTTTGTGGAATCTGCAAGTGGATATTTGGCTAGTTTTGAGGATTTCGTTGGAAGCGGGAATTCATACAAATTGCAGACTGCAGCGTTCTGAGAAACATCTTTGTGATGTTTGTATTCAGGACACAGAGATGAACATTCCCTATCATAGAGCAGGTTGGAATCACGCCTTTTGTAGTATCTGGAAGTGGACATTTGGAGCGCTTTCAGGCCTATGTTGAAAAAGGAAATATCTTCCCATAACAACTAGACACAAGCATTCTCAGAAACTTGTTTGTGATGTGTGCCCTCTACTGACAGAGTTGAACCTTTCTTTTCATAGAGCAGTTTTGAAACACTCTTTTTGTAGAATCTGCAAGAGGATATTTGCATAGCTTTGAGGATTTCGTGGGAAACGGGATTGTCTTCAGGTAAAATCTAGACAGAAGCATTCTCAGAAACTTCTTTGGGATGTTTGCATTCAAGTCACAGAGCAGAACATTCCCTTTGGTAGAGCAGGTTTGAAACACTCTTTTTGTAGTATCTGGAAGTGGACATTTGGAGTGCTTTCAGGCCTATGTTGGAAAGGGAAATATCTTCCCGTAACAACTACGCAGAAGCATTCTCAGAAACTTATTTGAGATGTGTGTACTCAACTAAGAGAATTGAACCACCGTTTTGAAGGAGCAGTTTTGAAACACTCTTTTTCTGGAATCTGCAAGAGGATATTTGCCTAGCCTTGAGGATTTCGTTGGAAACGGGATTGTCTTCAGATCAAATCTAGACAGAAGCATTCTCAGAAACTTCTTTGGGATGTTTGCATTCAAGTCACAGAGTAGAACATTCCCTTTGGTAGAGCAGGTTTGAAACACTCTTTTTTTAGTATATGGAAGTGGACATTTGGAGCGCTTTCAGGCCTACGTTGGAAAAGGAGATATCTTCCCATAACAACTAGACAGAAGCATTCTCAGAAACTAGTTTCTGATGTGTGTCCTCAACTAACACAGTTGAACATTTCTTTAGACAGAACAGTTTTGAAACATTCTTTTTGTGGAATCTGCAAGTGGCTATTTGGCTAGATTTGAGGATTTCGTTGGAAACGGGATTACATATAAAAAGCAGACAGCAGCATTCTCAGAAACTTCTTTGTGATGATTGCATTCAAGTCACAGAATTGAACATTCCCTTTCACAGAGCAGGTTTGAAACACTCTTTTTGTAGTGTGTGTAAGTGGACATTTGGAGCGCTTTCCGGCCTAAGGTGAACAAGGAAATATCTTCCCATAAAAACTAGACAGAAGCATTCTCAGAAACTTACTCGTGATGTGTGTCCTCAACTAAAGGAGTAGAACCTTTCTTTTCATAGAGAAGTTTTGAAACGCTCTTTTTGTGGACTCTGCAAGTGGATATTTGGCTAGTTTGGAGGATTTCGTTGGAAGCGGGAATTCATACAAATTGCAGACTGCAGCATTCTCAGAAACTTGTTTATGCTGTATCTACTCAACTAACAAAGTTGAACCTTTCTTTTGATAGAGCAGTTTTGAAATGCTCTTTTTGTGGAATCTGCAAGTGGATATTTGGCTAGTTTTGAGGATTTCGCTGGAAGCGGGAATTCATACAAATTGCAGACTGCAGCGTTCTGAGAAACATCTTTGTGATGTTTGTATTCAGGACAGAGAGTTGAACATTCCCTATCATAGAGCAGGTTGGAATCACTCCTTTTGTAGTATCTGGAAGTGGACATTTGGAGCGCTTTCAGGCCTATGTTGAAAAAGGAAATATCTTCCCATAACAACTAGACACAAGCATTCTCAGAAACTTGTTTGTGATGTGTGCCCTCTACTGACAGAGTTGAACCTTTCTTTTCATAGAGCAGTTTTGAAACACTCTTTTTGTAGAATCTGCAAGAGGATATTTGCATAGCTTTGAGGATTTCGTGGGAAACGGGATTGTCTTCAGGTAAAATCTAGACAGAAGCATTCTCAGAAACTTCTTTGGGATGTTTGCATTCAAGTCACAGAGTAGAACATTCCCTTTGGTAGAGCAGGTTTGAAACACTCTTTTTGTAGTATCTGGAAGTGGACATTTGGAGCGCTTTCAGGCCTATGTTGGAAAGGGAAATATCTTCCCGTAACAACTAGGCAGAAGCATTCTCAGAAACTTATTTGAGATGTGTGTACTCAACTAAGAGAATTGAACCACCGTTTTGAAGGAGCAGTTTTGAAACACTCTTTTTCTGGAATCTGCAAGAGGATATTTGCCTAGCTTTGAGGATTCCGTTGGAAACGGGATTGTCTTCAGATCAAATCTAGACAGAAGCATTCTCAGAAACTTCTTTGGGATGTTTGCATTCAAGTCACAGAGTAGAACATTCCCTTTGGTAGAGCAGGTTTGAAACACTCTTTTTTTCGTATATGGAAGTGGACATTTGGAGCGCTTTCAGGCCTACTTTGGAAAAGGAAATATCTTCCCATAACAACTAGACAGAAGCATTCTCAGAAACTAGTTTCTGATGTGTGTCCTCAACTAACACAGTTGAACTTTTCTTTAGACAGAACAGTTTTGAAACACTCTTTTTGTGGAATCTGCAAGTGGATATTTGGCTAGATTTGAGGATTTCGTTGGAAACGGGATTACATATAAAAAGCAGACAGCAGCATTCTCAGAAAGTTCTTTGTGATGATTGCATTCAAGTCACAGAATTGAACATTCCCTTTCACAGAGCAGGTTTGAAACACTCTTTTTGTAGTGTGTGTAAGTGGACATTTGGAGCACTTACCGGCCTAAGGTGAAAAAGGAAATATCTTCCCATAAAAACTAGACAGATAAGCATTCTCAGCAAACTTACTCGTGATGTGTGTCCTCAACTAAAGGAGTAGAACCTTTCTTTTCATAGAGAAGTTTTGAAACGCTCTTTTTGTGGAATCTGCAAGTGGATATTTGGCTAGTTTTGAGGATTTCGTTGGAAGCGGGAATTCATACAAATTGCAGACTGCAGCGTTCTGAGAAACATCTTTGTGATGTTTGTATTCAGGACACAGAGTTGAACATTCCCTATCATAGAGCAGGTTTGAATCACTCCTTTTGTAGTATCTGGAAGTGGACATTTGGAGCGCTTTCCGGCCTCAGGTGAAAAAGGAAATATCTTCCCATAAAAACTAGACAGAAGCATTCTCAGAAACTTACTCGTGATGGGTGTCCTCAACTCAAGGAGTAGAACCTTTCTTTTCATAGAGAAGTTTTGAAACGCTCTTTTTGTGGAATCTGCAAGTGGATATTTGGCTAGTTTTGAGGATTTCGTTGGAAGCGGGAATTCATACAAATTGCAGACTGCAGCGTTCTGAGAAACATCTTTGTGATGTTTGTATTCAGGACACAGAGTTGAACATTCCCTATCATAGAGCAGGTTGGAATCACTCCTTTTGTCGTATCTGGAAGTGGACGTTTGGAGCGCTTTCAGGCCTATGTTGGAAAAGGAAATATCCTCCCATAACAGCTAGACAGAAGCATTCTCAGAAACCTATTTGAGATGTGTGTACTCAACTAGGAGAATTGAACCACCGTTTTGAAGGAGCAGTTTTGAAACACTCGTTTTCTGGAATCTGCAAGTGGATATTAGGCTAGCTTTGGGGATTTCGCTGGAAGCGGGAATACATATAAAAAGCACACAGCAGCGTTCTGAGAAACTGCTTTCTGATGTTTGCATTCAAGTCAAAAGTTGAACAGTCCCTTTCATAGAGCAGGCCTGAAACACCCCTTTTGTAGTATCTGGAAGTGGACATTGGGAGCGCTTTCAGGGCTAAGGTGAAAAACGAAATATCTTCCCATAAAAACTGGACAGAAGCATTCTCAGAAACTTGTTTATGCTGTATCTACTCAACTAACAAAGTTGAACCTTTCTTTTGATAGAGCAGTTTTGAAATGCTCTTTTTGTGGAATCTGCAAGTGGATATTTGGCTAGTTTTGAGGATTTCGTTGGAAGCGGGAATTCATACAAATTGCAGACTGCAGCGTTCTGAGAAACATCTTTGTGATGTTTGTATTCAGGACACAGAGTTGAACATTCCCTATCATAGAGCAGGTTGGGATCACTCCTTTTGTAGTATCTGGAAGTGGACATTTGGAGCGCTTTCAGGCCTATGTTGAAAAAGGAAAAATCTTCCCATAACAACTAGACAGAAGCATTCTCAGAAACTTGTTGGTGATGTGTTTCCTCTACTGACAGAGTTGAACCTTTCTTTTCATAGAGCAGTTTTGAAACACTCTTTTTGTAGAATCTGCAAGAGGATATTTGCATAGCTCTGAGGATTTCGTGGGAAACGGGATTGTCTTCAGGTAAAATCTAGACAGAAGCATTCTCAGAAACTTCTTCGGGATGTTTGCATTCAAGTCACAGAGTAGAACATTCCCTTTGGTAGAGCAGGTTTGAAACACTCTTTTTGTCGTATCTGGAAGTGGACATTTGTTGCGCTTTCAGGCCTATGTTGGAAAGGGAAATATCTTCCCGTAACAACTAGGCAGAAGCATTCTCAGAAACTTATTTGAGATGTGTGTACTCAACTAAGAGAATTGAACCACCGTTTTGAAGGAGCAGTTTGGAAACACTCTTTTTCTGGAATCTGCAAGAGGATATTTGCCTAGCTTTGAGGATTTCGTTGGAAAAGGGATTGTCTTCAGATCAAATCTAGACAGAAGCATTCTCAGAAACTTCTTTGAGATGTTTGCATTCAAGTCACAGAGTAGAACATTCCTTTGGTAGAGCAGGTTTGAAACACTCTTTTTTTAGTATATGGAAGTGGACATTTGGAGCGCTTTCAGGCCTACGTTGGAAAAGGAAATATCTTCCCATAACAACTAGACAGAAGCATTCTCAGAAACTAGTTTCTGATGTGTGTCCTCAACTAACACAGTTGAACATTTCTTTAGACAGAATAGTTTTGAAACACTCTTTTTGTGGAATCTGCAAGTGGATATTTGGCTAGATTTGAGGATTTCGTTGGAAACGGGATTACATATAAAAAGCAGACAGCAGCATTCTCAGAAACTTCTTTGTGATGATTGCATTCAAGTCACAGAATTGAACATTCCCTTTCACAGAGCAGGTTTGAAACACTCTTTTTGTAGTGTGTGTAAGTGGACATTTGGAGCGCTTTTCGGCCTAAGGTGAACAAGGAAATATCTTCCCATAAAAACTAGACAGAAGCATTCTCAGAAACTTACTCGTGATGTGTGTCCTCAACTAAAGGAGTAGAACCTTTCTTTTCATAGAGAAGTTTTGAAACGCTCTTTTTGTGGAATCTGCAAGTGGATATTTGGCTAGTTTGGAGGATTTCGTTGGAAGCGGGAATTGATACAAATTGCAGACTGCAGCATTCTCAGAAACTTATTTGAGATGTGTGTACTCAACTAAGAGAATTGAACCACCGTTTTGAAGGAGCAGTTTTGAAACTCTCTTTTTCTGGAATCTGCAAGTGGATATTTGGCTAGCTTTGGGGATTTCGCTGGAAGCGGGAATACATATAAAAAGCACACAGCAGCGTTCTGAGAAACTGCTTTCTGATGTTTGCATTCAAGTCAAAAGTTGAACACTCCCTTTCATAGAGCAGTCTTGAAACACCCGTTTTGTAGTATCTGGAACTGGACTTTTGGAGCGATTTCAGGGCTAAGGTGAAAAAGGAAATATCTTCCCATAAAAACTGGACAGAAAGCATTCTCAGAAACTTATTTGAGATGTGTGTACTCAACTAAGAGAATTGAACCACCGTTTTGAAGGAGCAGTTTTGAAACTCTCTTTTTCTGAAATCTGCAAGTGGATATTTGGCTAGCTTTGGGGATTTCGCTGGAAGCGGGAATACATATAAAAAGCACACAGCAGCGTTCTGAGAAACTGCTTTCTGATGTTTGCATTCAAGTCAAAAGTTGAACACTCCCTTTCATAGTAGCAGTCCTGAAACACCCCTTTTGTAGTATCTGGAACTGGACTTTTGGAGCGATTTCAGGGCTAAGGTGAAAAAGGAAATATCTTCCCATAAAAACTGGACAGAAGCATTCTCAGAAACTTGTTTATGCTGTATCTACTCAACTAACAAAGTTGAACCTTTCTTTTGATAGAGCAGTTTTGAAATGGTCTTTTTGTGGAATCTGCAAGTGGATATTTGGCTAGTTTTGAGGATTTCGTTGGAAGCGGGAATTCATACAAATTGCAGACTGCAGCGTTCTGAGAAACATCTTTGAGATGTTTGTATTCAGGACACAGAGATGAACATTCCCTATCATAGAGCAGGTTGGAATCACTCTTTTTGTAGTATCTGGAAGTGGACATTTGGAGCGTTTTCAGGCCTATGTTGAAAAAGGAAATATCTTCCCATAACAACTAGACACAAGCATTCTCAGAAACTTGTTTGTGATGTGTGCCCTCTACTGACAGAGTTGAACCTTTCTTTTCATAGAGCAGTTTCGAAACACTCTTTTTGTAGAATCTGCAAGAGGATATTTGCATAGATTTGAGGATTTCGTGGGAAACGGGATTGTCTTCAGGTAAAATCTAGACGGAAGCATTCTCAGGAACTTCTTCGGGATGTTTGCATTCAAGTCACAGAGTAGAACATTCCCTTCGGTAGAGCAGGTTTGAAACACTCTTTTTGTAGTATCTGGAAGTGGACATTTGGAGCGCTTTCAGGCCTATGTTGGAAAGGGAAATTTCTTCCTGTAACAACTAGGCAGAAGCATTCTCAGAAACTTATTTGAGATGTGTGTACTCAACTAAGAGAATTGAACCATCGTTTTGAAGGAGTAGTTTTGAAACACTCTTTTTCTGGAATCTGCAAGAGAATATTTGCATAGCTTTGAGGATTTCGTTGGAAACGGGATTGTCTTCAGATAAAATCTAGACAGAAGCATTCTCAGAAACTTCTTTGGGATGTTTGCATTCAAGTCACAGAGTAGAACATTCCCTTTGGTAGAGCAGGTTTGAAACACTCTTTTTTTAGTATATGGAAGTGGACATTTGGAGCGCTTTCAGGCCTACGTTGGAAAAGGAAATATCTTCCCATAACAACTAGACAGAAGCATTCTCAGAAACTAGATTCTGATGTGTGTCCTCAACTAACACAGTTGTACATTTCTTTAGACAGAACAGTTTTGAAACAGTCTTTTTGTGGAATCTGCAAGTGCATATTTGGCCAGATTTGAGGATTTCGTTGGAAACGGGATTACGTATAAAAAGCAGTCAGCAGCATTCTCAGAAAGTTCTTTGTGATGATTGCATTCAAGTCACAGAATTGAACATTCCCTTTCACAGAGCAGGTTTGAAACACTCTTTTTGTAGTGTGTGTAAGTGGACATTTGGAGCACTTACCGGCCTAAGGTGAAAAAGGAAATATCTTCCCATAAAAACTAGACAGAAGCATTCTCAGAAACTTACTCGTGATGTGTGTCCTCAACTAAAGGGGTAGAACCTTTCTTTTCATAGAGAAGTTTTGAAACGCTCTTTTTGTGGAATCTGCAAGTGGATATTTGGCTAGTTTTGAGGATTTCGTTGGAAGCGGGAATTCATACAAATTGCAGACTGCAGCGTTCTGAGAAACATCTTTGTGATGTTTGTATTCAGGACACAGAGTTGAACATTCCCTATCATAGAGCAGGTTTGAATCACTCCTTTTGTAGTATCTGGAAGTGGACATTTGGAGCGCTTTCAGGCCTATGTTGGAAAAGGAAATATCTTCCCATAACAACTAGACAGAAGCATTCTCAGAAACTTATTTGAGATGTGTGTACTCAACTAAGAGAATTGAACCACCGTTTTGAAGGAGCAGTTTTGAAACACTCTTTTTCTGGAATCTGCAAGTGGATATTTGGCTAGCTTTGGGGATTTCGCTGGAAGCGGGAATACATATAAAAAGCACACAGCAGCGTTCTGAGAAACTGCTTTCTGATGTTTGCATTCAAGTCAAAAGTTGAACACTCCCTTTCATAGAGCAGTCCTGAAACACTCCTTTTGTAGTATCTGGAACTGGACTTTTGGAGCGCTTTCAGGGCTAAGGTGAAAAAGGAAATATCTTCCCATAAAAACTGGACAGAAAGCATTCTCAGAAACTTGTTTATGCTGTATCTACTCTACTAACAAAGTTGAACCTTTCTTTTGATAGAGCAGTTTTGAAATGCTCTTTTTGTGGAATCTGCAAGTGGATATTTGGCTAGTTTTGAGGATTTCGTTGGAAGCTGGAATTCATGCAAATTGCAGACTGCAGCGTTCTGAGAAACATCTTTGTGATGTTTGTATTCAGGACAGAGAGTTGAACATTCCCTATCATAGAGCAGGTTGGAATCACTCCTTTTGTAGTATCTGGAAGTGGACATTTGGAGCGCTTTCAGGCCTATGTTGAAAAAGGAAATATCTTCCCATAACAACTAGACACAAGCATTCTCAGAAACTTGTTTGTGATGTGTGCCCTCTACTGACAGAGTTGAACCTTTCTTTTCATAGAGCAGTTTTGAAACACTCTTTTTGTAGAATCTGCAAGAGGATATTTGCATAGCTTTGAGGATTTCGTGGGAAACGGGATTGTCTTCAGGTAAAATCTAGACAGAAGCATTCTCAGAAACTTCTTTGGGATGTTTGCATTCAAGTCACAGAGTAGAACATTCCCTTTGGTAGAGCAGGTTTGAAACACTCTTTTTGTAGTATCTGGAAGTGGACATTTGGAGCGCTTTCAGGCCCATGCTGGAAAGGGAAATATCTTCCCGTAACAACTAGGCAGAAGCATTCTCAGAAACTTATTTGAGATGTGTGTACTCAACTAAGAGAATTGAACCACCGTTTTGAAGGAGCAGTTTTGAAACACTCTTTTTCTGGAATCTGCAAGAGGATATTTGCCTAGCCTTGAGGATTTCGTTGGAAACGGGATTGTCTTCAGATCAAATCTAGACAGAAGCATTCTCAGAAACTTCTTTGGGATGTTTGAATTCAAGTCACAGAGTAGAACATTCCCTTTGGTAGAGCAGGTTTGAAACACTCTTTTTTTAGTATATGGAAGTGGACATTTGGAGCGCTTTCAGGCCTACGTTGGAAAAGGAAATATCTTCCCATAACAACTAGACAGAAGCATTCTCAGAAACTAGTTTCTGATGTGTGTCCTCAACTAACACAGTTGAACATTTCTTTAGACAGAACAGTTTTGAAACACTCTTTTTGTGGAATCTGCAAGTGGATATTTGGCTACATTTGAGGATTTCGTTGGAAACGGGATTACATATAAAAAGCAGACAGCAGCATTCTCAGAAAGTTCTTTGTGATGATTGCATTCAAGTCACAGAATTGAACATTCCCTTTCACAGAGCAGGTTTGAAACACTCTTTTTGTAGTGTGTGTAAGTGGACATTTGGAGCACTTTCCGGCCTAAGGTGAAAAAGGAAATATCTTCCCATAAAAACTAGACAGAAGCATTCTCAGAAACTTACTCGTGATGTGTGTCCTCAACTAAAGGAGTAGAACCTTTCTTTCATAGAGAAGTTTTGAAACGCTCTTTTTGTGGAATCTGCAAGTGGATATTTGGCTAGTTTGGAGGATTTCGTTGGAAGCGGGAATTCATACAAATTGCAGACTGCAGCATTCTCAGAAACTTATTTGAGATGTGTGTACTCAACTAAGAGAATTGAACCACCGTTTTGAAGGAGCAGTTTTGAAACACTCTTTTTCTGGAATCTGCAAGTGGATATTTGGCTAGCTTTGGGGATTTCGCTGGAAGCGGGAATACATATAAAAAGCACACAGCAGCGTTCTGAGAAACTGCTTTCTGATGTTTGCATTCAAGTCAAAAGTTGAACACTCCCTTTCATAGTGCAGTCTGAAACACTCCTTTTGTAGTATCTGGAACTGGACTTTTGGAGCGCTTTCAGGGCTAAGGTGAAAAAGGAAATATCTTCCCATAAAAACTGGACAGAAGCATTCTCAGAAACTTGTTTATGCTGTATCTACTCAACTAACAAAGTTGAACCTTTCTTTTGATAGAGCAGTTTTGAAATGCTCTTTTTGTGGAATCTGCAAGTGGATATTTGGCTAGTTTTGAGGATTTCGTTGGAAGCGGGAATTCATACAAATTGCAGACTGCAGCGTTCTGAGAAACATCTTTGTGATGTTTGTATTCAGGACACAGAGTTGAACATTCCCTATCATAGAGGAGGTTGGAATCACTCCTTTTGTCGTATCTGGAAGTGGACATTTGGAGCGCTTTCAGGCCTATGTTGAAAAAGGAAATATCTTCCCATAACAACTAGACACAAGCATTCTCAGAAACTTGTTTGTGATGTGTGCCCTCTACTGACAGAGTTGAACCTTTCTTTTCTTAGAGCAGTTTTGAAACACTCTTTTTGTAGAATCTGCAAGAGGATATTTGCATAGCTTTGAGGATTTCGTGGGAAACGGGATTGTCCTTCAGGTAAAATCTAGACAGAAGCATTCTCAGAAACTTCTTTGGGATGTTTGCATTCAAGTCACAGAGTAGAACATTCCCTTTGGTAGAGCAGGTTTGAAACACTCTTTTTGTAGTATCTGGAAGTGGACATTTGGAGCGCTTTCAGGCCCATGTTGGAAAGGGAAATATCTTCCCGTAACAACTAGGCAGAAGCATTCTCAGAAACTTATTTGAGATGTGTGTACTCAACTAAGAGAATTGAACCACCGTTTTGAAGGAGCAGTTTTGAAACCCTCTTTTTCTGGAATCTGCAAGAGTATATTTGCCTAGCCTTGAGGATTTCGTTGGAAACGGGATTGTCTTCAGATAAAATCTAGACAGAAGCATTCTCAGAAACTTCTTTGGGATGTTTGCATTCAAGTCACAGAGTAGAACATTCCCTTTGGTAGAGCAGGTTTGAAACACTCTTTTTTTAGTATATGGAAGGACATTTGGAGCGCTTTCAGGCCTACGTTGGAAAAGGAAATCTCTTCCCATAACAACTAGACAGAAGCATTCTCAGAAACTAGTTTCTGATGTGTGTCCTCAACTAACACAGTTGAACATTTCTTTAGACAGAACAGTTTTGAAACACTCTTTTTGTGGAATCTGCAAGTGGCTATTTGGCTAGATTTGAGGATTTCGTTGGAAACGGGATTACATATAAAAAGCAGTCAGCAGCATTCTCAGAAAGTTCTTTGTGATGATTGCATTCAAGTCACAGAATTGAACATTCCCTTTCACAGAGCAGGTTTGAAACACTCTTTTTGTAGTGTGTGTAAGTGGACATTTGGAGCACTTACCGGCCTAAGGTGAAAAAGGAAATATCTTCCCATAAAAACTAGACAGAAGCATTCTCAGAAACTTACTCGTGATGTGTGTCCTCAACTAAAGGAGTAGAACCTTTCTTTTCATAGAGAAGGTTTGAAACGCTCTTTTTGTGGAATCTGCAAGTGGATATTTGGCTAGTTTTGAGGATTTCGTTGGAAGCGGGAATTCATACAAATTGCAGACTGCAGCGTTCTGAGAAACATCTTTGTGATGTTTGTATTCAGGACACAGAGATGAACATTCCCTATCATAGAGCAGGTTGGAATCACTCCTTTTGTAGTATCTGGAAGTGGACATTTGGAGCGCTTTCAGGCCTATGTTGAAAAAGGAAATATCTTCCCATAACAACTAGACACAAGCATTCTCAGAAACTTATTTGAGATGTGTGTACTCAACTAAGAGAATTGAACCACCGTTTTGAAGGAGCAGTTTTGAAACACTCTTTTTCTGGAATCTGCAAGTGGATATTTGGCTAGCTTTGGGGATTTCGCTGGAAGCGGGAATACATATAAAAAGCACACAGCAGCGTTCTGAGAAACTGCTTTCTGATGTTTGCATTCAAGTCAAAAGTTGAACACTCCCTTTCATAGAGCAGTCTTGAAACACCCCTTTTGTAGTATCTGGAACTGGACTTTTGGAGCGATTTCAGGGCTAAGGTGAAAAAGGAAATATCTTCCCATAAAAACTGGACAGAAGCATTCTCAGAAACTTGGTTATGCTGTATCTACTCAACTAACAAAGTTGAACCTTTCTTTTGATAGAGCAGTTTTGAAATGGTCTTTTTGTGGAATCTGCAAGTGGATATTTGGCTAGTTTTGAGGATTTCGTTGGAAGCGGGAATTCATACAAATTGCAGACTGCAGCGTTCTGAGAAACATCTTTGTGATGTTTGTATTCAGGACACAGAGTTGAACATTCCCTATCATAGAGCAGGTTGGAATCACTCCTTTTGTAGTATCTGGAAGTGGACATTTGGAGCGCTTTCAGGCCTATTTTGGAAAGGGAAATATCTTCCCGTAACAACTATGCAGAAGCATTCTCAGAAACTTGTTTGTGATGTGTGCCCTCTACTGACAGAGTTGAACCTTTCTTTTCATAGAGCAGTTTTGAAACACTCTTTTTGTAGAATCTGCAACAGGATATTTGCATAGCTTTGAGGATTTCGTGGGAAACGGGATTGTCTTCAGGTAAAATCTAGACAGAAGCATTCTCAGAAACTTCTTTGGGATGTTTGCATTCAAGTCACAGAGTAGAACATTCCCTTTGGTAGAGCAGGTTTGAAACACTCTTTTTGTAGTATCTGGAAGTGGACATATGGAGCGCTTTCAGGCTCATGTTGGAAAGGGAAATATCTTCCCTTAACAACTAGGCAGAAGCATTCTCAGAAACTTATTTGAGATGTGTGTACTCAACTAAGAGAATTGAACCACCGTTTTGAAGGAGCAGTTTTGAAACACTCTTTTTCTGGATTCTGCAAGAATATATTTGCCTAGCCTTGAGGATTTCGTTGGAAACTGGATTGTCTTCAGATAAAATCTAGACAGAAGCATTCTCAGAAACTTCTTTGGGATGTTTGCATTCAAGTCACAGAGTAGAACATTCCCTTTGGTAGAGCAGGTTTGAAACACTCTTTTTTTAGTATATGGAAGTGGACATTTGGAGCGCTTTCAGGCCTACGTTGGAAAAGGAAATATCTTCCCATAACAACTAGACAGAAGCATTCTCAGAAACTAGTTTCTGATGTGTGTCCTCAACTAACACAGTTGAACTTTTCTTTAGACAGAACAGTTTTGAAACACTCTTTTTGTGGAATCTGCAAGTGGATATTGGGCTAGATTTGAGGATTTCGTTGGAAACGGGATTACATATAAAAAGCAGTCAGCAGCATTCTCAGAAAGTTCTTTGTGATGATTGCATTCAAGTCACAGAATTGAACATTCCCTTTCACAGAGCAGGTTTGAAACACTCTTTTTGTAGTGTGTGTATTTGGACATTTGGAGCGCTTTCCGGCCTAAGGTGAAAAAGGACATATCTTCCCATAAAAACTAGACAGAAGCATTCTCAGAAACTTACTCGTGATGTGTGTCCTCAACTAAAGGAGTAGAACCTTTCTTTTCATAGAGAAGTTTTGAAACGCTCTTTTTGTGGAATCTGCAAGTGGATATTTGGCTAGTTTTGAGGATTTCGTTGGAAGCGGGAATTCATACAAATTGCAGACTGCAGCGTTCTGAGAAACTGCTTTCTGATGTTTGCATTCAAGTCAAAAGTTGAACACTCCCTTTCATAGAGCAGTCTTGAAACACCCCTTTTGTAGTATCTGGAACTGGACTTTTGGAGCGATTTCAGGGCTAAGGTGAAAAAGGAAATATCTTCCCATAAAAACTGGACAGAAGCATTCTCAGAAACTTGTTTATGCTGTATCTACTCAACTAACAAAGTTGAACCTTTCTTTTGATAGAGCAGTTTTGAAATGGTCTTTTTGTGGAATCTGCAAGTGGATATTTGGCTAGTTTTGAGGATTTCGTTGGAAGCGGGAATTCATACAAATTGCAGACTGCAGCGTTCTGAGAAACATCTTTGTGATGTTTGTATTCAGGACACAGAGTTGAACATTCCCTATCATAGAGCAGGTTGGAATCACTCCTTTTGTAGTATCTGGAAGTGGACATTTGGAGCGCTTTCAGGCCTATGTTGAAAAAGGAAATATCTTCCCATAACAACTAGACACAAGCATTCTCAGAAACTTGTTTGTGATGTGTGCCCTCTACTGACAGAGTTGAACCTTTCTTTTCATAGAGCAGTTTTGAAACACTCTTTTTGTAGAATCTGCAAGAGGATATTTGCATAGCTTTGAGGATTTCGTGGGAAACGGGATTGTCTTCAGGTAAAATCTAGACAGAAGCATTCTTAGAAACTTCTTTGGGATGTTTGCATTCAAGTCACAGAGTAGAACATTCCCTTTGGTAGAGCAGGTTTGAAACACTCTTTTTGTAGTATCTGGAAGTGGACATTTGGAGCGCTTTCAGGCCCATGTTGGAAAGGGAAATATCTTCCCGTAACAACTAGGCAGAAGCATTCTCAGAAACTTATTTGAGATGTGTGTACTCAACTAAGAGAATTGAACCACCGTTTTGAAGGAGCAGTTTTGAAACACTCTTTTTCTGGAATCTGCAAGAGTATATTTGCCTAGCCTTGAGGATTTCGTTGGAAACGGGATTGTCTTCAGAGAAAATCTAGACAGAAGCATTCTCAGAAACTTCTTTGGGATGTTTGCATTCAAGTCACAGAGTAGAACATTCCCTTTGGTAGAGCAGGTTTGAAACACTCTTTTTTTAGTATATGGAAGTGGACATTTGGAGCGCTTTCAGGCCTACGTTGGAAAAGGAAATATCTTCCCATAACAACTAGACAGAAGCATTCTCAGAAACTAGTTTCTGATGTGTGTCCTCAACTAACACAGTTGAACATTTCTTTAGACAGAACAGTTTTGAAACACTCTTTTTGTGGAATCTGCAAGTGGCTATTTGGCTAGATTTGAGGATTTCGTTGGAAACGGGATTACATATAAAAAGCAGTCAGCAGCATTCTCAGAAAGTTCTTTGTGATGATTGCATTCAAGTCACAGAATTGAACATTCCCTTTCACAGAGCAGGTTTGAAACACTCTTTTTGTAGTGTGTGTAAGTGGACATTTGGAGCACTTACCGGCCTAAGGTGAAAAAGGAAATAATCTTCCCATAAAAACTAGACAGAAGCATTCTCAGAAACTTACTCGTGATGTGTGTCCTCAACTAAAGGAGTAGAACCTTTCTATTCATAGAGAAGTTTTGAAACGCTCTTTTTGTGGAATCTCCAAGTGGATATTTGGCTAGTTTTGAGGATTTCGTTGGAAGCGGGAATTCATACAAATTGCAGACTGCAGCGTTCTGAGAAACATCTTTGTGATGTTTGTATTCAGGACACAGAGATGAACATTCCCTATCATAGAGCAGGTTGGAATCACTCCTTTTGTAGTATCTGGAAGTGGACATTTGGAGCGCTTTCAGGCCTATGTTGAAAAAGGAAATATCTTCCCATAACAACTAGACACAAGCATTCCCAGAAACTTATTTGAGATGTGTGTACTCAACTAAGAGAATTGAACCACCGTTTTGAAGGAGCAGTTTGGAAACACTCTTTTTCTGGAATCTGCAAGTGGATATTTGGCTAGCTATGGGGATTTCGCTGGAAGCGGGAATACATATAAAAAGCACACAGCAGCGTTCTGAGAAACTGCTTTCTGATGTTTGCATTCAAGTCAAAAGTTGAACACTCCCTTTCATAGAGCAGTCTTGAAACACCCCTTTTGTAGTATCTGGAACTGGACTTTTGGAGCGATTTCAGGGCTAAGGTGAAAAAGGAAATATCTTCCCATAAAAACTGGACAGAAGCATTCTCAGAAACTTGTTAATGCTGTATCTACTCAACTAACAAAGTTGAACCTTTCTTTTGATAGAGCAGTTTTGAAATGGTCTTTTTGTGGAATCTGCAAGTGGATATTTGGCTAGTTTTGAGGATTTCGTTGGAAGCGGGAATTCATACAAATTGCAGACTGCAGCGTTCTGAGAAACATCTTTGTGATGTTTGTATTCAAGACACAGAGATGAACATTCCCTATCATAGAGCATGTTGGAATCACTCCTTTTGTACTATCTGGAAGTGGACATTTGGAGCGCTTTCAGGCCTATGTTGAAAAAGGAAATATCTTCCCATAACAACTAGACACAAGCATTCTCAGAAACTTGTTTGTGATGTGTGCCCTCTACTGACAGAGTTGAACCTTTCTTTTCATAGAGCAGTTTTGAAACACTCTTTTTGTAGAATCTGCAAGAGGATATTTGCATAGCTTTGAGGATTTCGTGGGAAACGGGATTGTCTTCAGGTAAAATCTAGACAGAAGCATTCTCAGAAACTTCTTTGGGATGTTTCCATTCAAGTCACAGAGTAGAACATTCCCTTTGGTAGAGCAGGTTTGAAACACTCTTTTTGTAGTATCTGGAAGTGGACATTTGGAGCGCTTTCAGGCCCATGTTGGAAAGGGAAATATCTTCCCGTAACAACTAGGCAGAAGCATTCTCAGAAACTTATTTGAGATGTGTGTACTCAACTAAGAGAATTGAACCACCGTTTTGAAGGAGCAGTTTTGAAACACTCTTTTTCTGGAATCTGCAAGAGTATATTTGCCTAGCCTTGAGGATTTCGTTGGAAACGGGATTGTCTTCAGATCAAATCTAGACAGAAGCATTCTCAGAAACTTCTTTGGGATGTTTGCATTCAAGTCACAGAGTAGAACATTCCCTTTGGTAGAGCAGGTTTGAAACACTCTTTTTTTAGTATATGGAAGTGGACATTTGGAGCGCTTTCAGGCCTACGTTGGAAAAGGAAATATCTTCCCATAACAACTAGACAGAAGCATTCTCAGAAACTAGTTTCTGATGTGTGTCCTCAACTAACACAGTTGAACATTTCTTTAGACAGAAGAGTTTTGAAACACTCTTTTTGTGGAATCTACAAGTGGATATTTGGCTAGATTTGAGGATTTCGTTGGAAACGGGATTACATATAAAAAGCAGACAGCCAGCATTCTCAGAAAGTTCTTTGTGATGATTGCATTCAAGTCACAGAATTGAACATTCCCTTTCACAGAGCAGGTTTGAAACACTCTTTTTGTAGTGTGTGTAAGTGGACATTTGGAGCACTTTCCGGCCTAAGGTGAAAAAGGAAATATCTTCCCATAAAAACTAGACAGAGCATTCTCAGAAACTTACTCGTGATGTGTGTCCTCAACTAAAGGAGTAGAACCTTTCTTTTCATAGAGAAGTTTTGAAACGCTCTTTTTGTGGAATCTGCAAGTGGATATTTGGCTAGTTTTGAAGATTTCGTTGGAAGCGGGAATTCATACAAATTGCAGACTGCAGCGTTCTGAGAAACATCTTTGTGATGTTTGTATTCAGGACACAGAGTTGAACATTCCCTATCATAGAGCAGGTTTGAATCACTCCTTTTGTAGTATCTGGAAGTGGACATTTGGAGCACTTTCAGGCCTATGTTGGAAAAGGAAATATCTTCCCATAACAACTAGACAGAAGCATTCTCAGAAACTTATTTGAGATGTGTGTACTCAACTAAGAGAATTGAACCACCGTTTTGAAGGAGCAGTTTTGAAACACTCTTTTTCTGGAATCTGCAAGTGGATATTTGGCTAGCTTTGGGGATTTCGCTGGAAGCGGGAATACATATAAAAAGCACACAGCAGCGTTCTGAGAAACTGCTTTCTGATGTTTGCATTCAAGTCAAAAGTTGAACACTCCCTTTCATAGAGCAGTCTTGAAACACCCCTTTTGTAGTATCTGGAACTGGACTTTTGGAGCGATTTCAGGGCTAAGGTGAAAAAGGAAATATCTTCCCATAAAAACTGGACAGAAGCATTCTCAGAAACTTGTTTATGCTGTATCTACTCAACTAACAAAGTTGAACCTTTCTTTTGATAGAGCAGTTTTGAAATGGTCTTTTTGTGGAATCTGCAAGTGGATATTTGGCTAGTTTTGAGGATTTCGTTGGAAGCGGGAATTCATACAAATTGCAGACTGCAGCGTTCTGAGAAACATCTTTGTGATGTTTGTATTCAGGACACAGAGTTGAACATTCCCTATCATAGAGCAGGTTGGAATCACTCCTTTTGTAGTATCTGGAAGTGGACATTTGGAGCGCTTTCAGGCCTATGTTGATAAAGGAAATATCTTCCCATAACAACTAGACACAAGCATTCTCAGAAACTTGTTTGTGATGTGTGCCCTCTACTGACAGAGTTGAACCTTTCTTTTCATAGAGCAGTTTTGAAACACTCTTTTTGTAGAATCTGCAAGAGGATATTTGCATAGCTTTGAGGATTTCGTGGGAAACGGGATTGTCTTCAGGTAAAATCTAGACAGAAGCATTCTCAGAAACTTCTTTGGGATGTTTGCATTCAAGTCACAGAGTAGAACATTCCCTTTGGTAGAGCAGGTTTGAAACACTCTTTTTGTAGTATCTGGAAGTGGACATTTGGAGCGCTTTCAGGCCCATGTTGGAAAGGGAAATATCTTCCCGTAACAACTAGGCAGAAGCATTCTCAGAAACTTATTTGAGATGTGTGTACTCAACTAAGAGAATTGAACCACCGTTTTGAAGGAGCAGTTTTGAAACCCTCTTTTTCTGGAATCTGCAAGAGTATATTTGCCTAGCCTTGAGGATTTCGTTGGAAACGGGATTGTCTTCAGATAAAATCTAGACAGAAGCATTCTCAGAAACTTCTTTGGGATGTTTGCATTCAAGTCACAGAGTAGAACATTCCCTTTGGTAGAGCAGGTTTGAAACACTCTTTTTTTAGTATATGGAAGTGGACATTTGGAGCGCTTTCAGGCCTACGTTGGAAAAGGAAATATCTTCCCATAACAACTAGACAGAAGCATTCTCAGAAACTAGTTTCTGATGTGTGTCCTCAACTAACACAGTTGAACATTTCTTTAGACAGAACAGTTTTGAAACACTCTTTTTGTGGAATCTGCAAGTGGCTATTTGGCTAGATTTGAGGATTTCGTTGGAAACGGGATTACATATAAAAAGCAGTCAGCAGCATTCTCAGAAAGTTCTTTGTGATGATTGCATTCAAGTCACAGAATTGAACATTCCTTTTCACAGAGCAGGTTTGAAACACTCTTTTTGTAGTGTGTGTAAGTGGACATTTGGAGCGCTTTCCGGCCTAAGGTGAAAAAGGAAATATCTTCCCATAAAAACTAGACAGAAGCATTCTCAGAAACTTACTCGTGATGTGTGTCCTCAACTAAAGGAGTAGAACCTTTCTTTTCATAGAGAAGTTTTGAAACGCTCTTTTTGTGGAATCTGCAAGTGGATATTTGGCTAGTTTTGAGGATTTCGTTGGAAGCGGGAATTCATACAAATTGCAGACTGCAGCATTCTCAGAAACTTATTTGAGATGTGTGTACTCAACTAAGAGAATTGAACCACCGTTTTGAAGGAGCAGTTTTGAAACTCTCTTTTTCTGGAATCTGCAAGTGGATATTTGGCTAGCTTTGGGGATTTTGCTGGAAGCGGGAATACATATAAAAAGCACAAAGCAGCATTCTCAGAAACTTATTTGAGATGTGTGTACTCAACTAAGAGAATTGAACCACCGTTTTGAAGGAGCAGTTTTGAAACTCTCTTTTTCTGGAATCTGCAAGTGGATATTTGGCTAGCTTTGGGGATTTCGCTGGAAGCGGGAATACATATAAAAAGCACACAGCAGCGTTCTGAGAAACTGCTTTCTGATGTTTGCATTCAAGTCAAAAGTTGAACACTCCCTTTCATAGAGCAGTCCTGAAACACCCCTTTCGTAGTATCTGGAACTGGACTTTTGGAGCGATTTCAGGGCTAAGGTGAAAAAGGAAATATCTTCCCATAAAAACTGGACAGAAGCATTCTCAGAAACTTGTTTATGCTGTATCTACTCAACTAACAAAGTTGAACCTTTCTTTTGATAGAGCAGTTTTGAAATGGTCTTTTTGTGGAATCTGCAAGTGGATATTTGGCTAGTTTTGAGGATTTCGTTGGAAGCGGGAATTCATACAAATTGCAGACTGCAGCGTTCTGAGGAAACATCTTTGTGATGTTTGTATTCAGGACACAGAGTTGAACATTCCCTATCATAGAGCAGGTTTGAATCACTCCTTTTGTAGTATCTGGAAGTGGACATTTGGAGCGCTTTCAGGCCTATGTTGGAAAAGGAAATATCTTCCCATAACAACTAGACAGAAGCATTCTCAGAAACTTATTTGAGATGTGTGTACTCAACTAAGAGAATTGAACCACCGTTTTGAAGGAGCAGTTTTGAAACTCTCTTTTTCTGGAATCTGCAAGTGGATATTTGGCTAGCTTTGGGGATTTCGCTGGAAGCGGGAATACATATAAAAAGCACACAGCAGCGTTCTGAGAAACTGCTTTCTGATGTTTGCATTCAAGTCAAAAGTTGAACACTCCCTTTCATAGAGCAGTCTTGAAACACCCCTTTTGTAGTATCTGGAACTGGACTTTTGGAGCGATTTCAGGGCTAAGGTGAAAAAGGAAATATCTTCCCATAAAAACTGGACAGAAGCATTCTCAGAAACTTGTTTATGCTGTATCTACTCAACTAACAAAGTTGAACCTTTCTTTTGATAGAGCAGTTTTGAAATGGTCTTTTTGTGGAATCTGCAAGTGGATATTTGGCTAGTTTTGAGGATTTCGTTGGAAGCGGGAATTCATACAAATTGCAGACTGCAGCGTTCTGAGAAACATCTTTGTGATGTTTGTATTCAGGACACAGAGTTGAACATTCCCTATCATAGAGCAGGTTGGAATCACTCCTTTTGTAGTATCTGGAAGTGGACATTTGGAGCGCTTTCAGGCCTATGTTGGAAAGGGAAATATCTTCCCGTAACAACTATGCAGAAGCATTCTCAGAAACTTGTTTGTGATGTGTGCCCTCTACTGACAGAGTTGAACCTTTCTTTTCATAGAGCAGTTTTGAAACACTCTTTTTGTAGAATCTGCAAGAGGATATTTGCATAGCTTTGAGGATTTCGTGGGAAACGGGATTGTCTTCAGGTAAAATCTAGACAGAAGCATTCTCAGAAACTTCTTTGGGATGTTTGCATTCAAGTCACAGAGTAGAACATTCCCTTTGGTAGAGCAGGTTTGAAACACTCTTTTTGTAGTGTGTGTAAGTGGACATTTGGAGCGCTTTCAGGCCTACGTTGGAAAAGGAAATATCTTCCCATAACAACTAGACAGAAGCATTCTCAGAAACTAGTTTCTGATGTGTGTCCTCAACTAACACAGTTGAACTTTTCTTTAGACAGAACAGTTTTGAAACACTCTTTTGTGGAATCTGCAAGTGGATATTTGGCTAGATTTGAGGATTTCGTTGGAAAAGGGATTACATATAAAAAGCAGACAGCGGCATTCTCAGAAAGTTCTTTGTGATGATTGCATTCAAGTCACAGAATTGAACATTCCCTTTCACAGAGCAGGTTTGAAACACTCTTTTTGTAGTGTGTGTAAGTGGACATTTGGAGCACTTACCGGCCTAAGGTGAAAAAGGAAATATCTTCCCATAAAAACTAGACAGAAGCATTCTCAGAAACTTACTCGTGATGTGTGTCCTCAACTAAAGGAGTAGAACCTTTCTTTTCATAGAGAAGTTTTGAAACGCTCTTTTTGTGGAATCTGCAAGTGGATATTTGGCTAGTTTTGAGGATTTCGTTGGAAGCGGGAATTCATACAAATTGCAGACTGCAGCGTTCTGAGAAACATCTTTGTGATGTTTGTATTCAGGACACAGAGTTGAACATTCCCTATCATAGAGCAGGTTGGAATCACTCCTTTTGTAGTATCTGGAAGTGGACATTTGGAGCGCTTTCAGGCCTATGTTGGAAAAGGAAATATCTTCCCATAACAACTAGACAGAAGCATTCTCAGAAACTTATTTGAGATGTGTGTACTCAACTAAGAGAATTGAACCACCGTTTTGAAGGAGCAGTTTTGAAACACTCTTTTTCTGGAATCTGCAAGTGGATATTTGGCTAGCTTTGGGGATTTCGCTGGAAGCGGGAATACATATAAAAAGCACACAGCAGCGTTCTGAGAAACTGCTTTCTGATGTTTGCATTCAAGTCAAAAGTTGAACACTCCCTTTCATAGAGCAGTCTTGAAACACCCCTTTTGTAGTATCTGGAACTGGACTTTTGGAGCGATTTCAGGGCTAAGGTGAAAAAGGAAATATCTTCCCATAAAAACTGGACAGAAGCATTCTCAGCAAACTTGTTTATGCTGTATCTACTCAACTAACAAAGTTGAACCTTTCTTTTGATAGAGCAGTTTTGAAATGCTCTTTTTGTGGAATCTGCAAGTGGATATTTGGCTAGTTTTGAGGATTTCGTTGGAAGCGGGAATTCATACAAATTGCAGACTGCAGCGTTCTGAGAAACATCTTTGTGATGTTTGTATTCAGGACACAGAGTTGAACATTCCCTATCATAGAGCAGGTTGGAATCACTCCTTTTGTAGTATCTGGAAGTGGACATTTGGAGCGTTTTCAGGCCTATGTTGAAAAAGGAAATATCTTCCCATAACAACTAGACACAAGCATTCTCAGAAACTTGTTTGTGATGTGTGCCCTCTACTGACAGAGTTGAACCTTTCTTTTCATAGAGCAGTTTTGAAACACTCTTTTTGTAGAATCTGCAAGAGGATATTTGCATAGCTTTGAGGATTTCGTGGGAAACGGGATTGTCTTCAGGTAAAATCTAGACAGAAGCATTCTCAGAAACTTCTTTGGGATGTTTGTATTCAAGTCACAGAGTAGAACATTCCCTTTGGTAGAGCAGGTTTGAAACACTCTTTTTGTAGTATCTGGAAGTGGACATTTGGAGCGCTTTCAGGCCCATGTTGGAAAGGGAAATATCTTCCCGTAACAACTAGGCAGAAGCATTCTCAGAAACTTATTTGAGATGTGTGTACTCAACTAAGAGAATTGAACCACCGTTTTGAAGGAGCAGTTTTGAAACACTCTTTTTCTGGAATCTGCAAGAGTATATTTGCCTAGCCTTGAGGATTTCGTTGGAAACGGGATTGTCTTCAGAGAAAATCTAGACAGAAGCATTCTCAGAAACTTCTTTGGGATGTTTGCATTCAAGTCACAGAGTAGAACATTCCCTTTGGTAGAGCAGGTTTGAAACACTCTTTTTTTAGTATATGGAAGTGGACATTTGGAGCGCTTTCAGGCCTACGTTGGAAAAGGAAATATCTTCCCATAACAACTAGACAGAAGCATTCTCAGAAACTAGTTTCTGATGTGTGTCCTCAACTAACACAGTTGAACATTTCTTTAGACAGAACAGTTTTGAAACACTCTTTTTGTGGAATCTGCAAGTGGCTATTTGGCTAGATTTGAGGATTTCGTTGGAAACGGGATTACATATAAAAAGCAGTCAGCGGCATTCTCAGAAAGTTCTTTGTGATGATTGCATTCAAGTCACAGAATTGAACATTCCCTTTCACAGAGCAGGTTTGAAACACTCTTTTTGTAGTGTGTGTAAGTGGACATTTGGAGCACTTACCGGCCTAAGGTGAAAAAGGAAATAATCTTCCCATAAAAACTAGACAGAAGCATTCTCAGAAACTTACTCGTGATGTGTGTCCTCAACTAAAGGAGTAGAACCTTTCTTTTCATAGAGAAGTTTTGAAACGCTCTTTTTGTGGAATCTGCAAGTGGATATTTGGCTAGTTTTGAGGATTTCGTTGGAAGCGGGAATTCATACAAATTGCAGACTGCAGCATTCTCAGAAACTTGTTTATGCTGTATCTACTCAACTAACAAAGTTGAACCTTTCTTTTGATAGAGCAGTTTTGAAATGCTCTTTTTGTGGAATCTGCAAGTGGATATTTGGCTAGTTTTGAGGATTTCGTTGGAAGCGGGAATTCATACAAATTGCAGACTGCAGGATTCTGAGAAACATCTTTGTGATGTTTCTATTCAGGACAGAGAGTTGAACATTCCCTATCATAGAGCAGGTTGGAATCACTCCTTTTGTAGTATCTGGAAGTGGACATTTGGAGCGCTTTCAGGCCTATGTTGAAAAAGGAAATATCTTCCCATAACAACTAGACACAAGCATTCTCAGAAACTTGTTTGTGATGTGTGCCCTCTACTGACAGAGTTGAACCTTTCTTTTCATAGAGCAGTTTTGAAACACTCTTTTTGTAGAATCTGCAAGAGGATATTTGCATAGCTTTGAGGATTTCGTGGGAAACGGGATTGTCTTCAGGTAAAATCTAGACAGAAGCATTCTCAGAAACTTCTTTGGGATGTTTGCATTCAAGTCACAGAGTAGAACATTCCCTTTGGTAGAGCAGGTTTGAAACACTCTTTTTGTAGTATCTGGAAGTGGACATTTGGAGCGCTTTCAGGCCCATGTTGGAAAGGGAAATATCTTCCCGTAACAACTAGGCAGAAGCATTCTCAGAAACTTATTTGAGATGTGTGTACTCAACTAAGAGAATTGAACCACCGTTTTGAAGGAGCAGTTTTGAAACACTCTTTTTCTGGAATCTGCAAGAGTATATTTGCCTAGCCTTGAGGATTTCGTTGGAAACGGGATTGTCTTCAGATAAAATCTAGACAGAAGCATTCTCAGAAACTTCTTTGGGATGTTTGCATTCAAGTCACATAGTAGAACATTCCCTTTGGTAGAGCAGGTGTGAAACACTCTTTTTTTAGTATATGGAAGTGGACATTTGGAGCGCTTTCAGGCCTACGTTGGAAAAGGAAATATCTTCCCATAACAACTAGACAGAAGCATTCTCAGAAACTAGTTTCTGATGTGTGTCCTCAACTAACACAGTTGAACATTTCTTTAGAGAGAACAGTTTTGAAACACTCTTTTTGTGGAATCTGCAAGTGGCTATTTGGCTAGATTTGAGGATTTCGTTGGAAACGGGATTACATATAAAAAGCAGACAGCAGCATTCTCAGAAAGTTCTTTGTGATGATTGCATTCAAGTCACAGAATTGAACATTCCCTTTCACAGAGCAGGTTTGAAACACTCTTTTTGTAGTGTGTGTAAGTGGACATTTGGAGCACTTTCCGGCCTAAGGTGAAAAAGGAAATATCTTCCCATAAAAACTAGACAGAAGCATTCTCAGAAACTTACTCGTGATGTGTGTCCTCAACTAAAGGAGTAGAACCTTTGTTTTCATAGAGAAGTTTTGAAACGCTCTTTTTGTGGAATCTGCAAGTGGATATTTGGCTAGTTTGGAGGATTTCGTTGGAAGCGGGAATTCATACAAATTGCAGACTGCAGCGTTCTGAGAAACATCTTTGTGATGTTTGTATTCAGGACACAGAGTTGAACATTCCCTATCATAGAGCAGGTTGGAATCACTCCTTTTGTAGTATCTGGAAGTGGACATTTGGAGCGCTTTCAGGCCTATGTTGGAAAAGGAAATATCTTCCCATAACAACTAGACAGAAGCATTCTCAGAAACTTATTTGAGATGTGTGTACTCAACTAAGAGAATTGAACCACCGTTTTGAAGGAGCAGTTTTGAAACACTCTTTTTCTGGAATCTGCAAGTGGATATTTGGCTAGCTTTGGGGATTTCGCTGGAAGCGGGAATACATATAAAAAGCACACAGCAGCGTTCTGAGAAACTGCTTTCTGATGTTTGCATTCAAGTCAAAAGTTGAACACTCCCTTTCATAGAGCAGTCTTGAAACACCCCTTTTGTAGTATCTGGAACTGGACTTTTGGAGCGATTTCAGGGCTAAGGTGAAAAAGGAAATATCTTCCCATAAAAACTGGACAGAAGCATTCTCAGAAACTTGTTTATGCTGTATCTACTCAACTAACAAAGTTGAACCTTTCTTTTGATAGAGCAGTTTTGAAATGGTCTTTTTGTGGAATCTGCAAGTGGATATTTGGCTAGTTTTGAGGATTTCGTTGGAAGCGGGAATTCATACAAATTGCAGACTGCAGCGTTCTGAGAAACATCTTTGTGATGTTTGTATTCAGGACACAGAGTTGAACATTCCCTATCATAGAGCAGGTTGGAATCACTCCTTTTGTAGTATCTGGAAGTGGACATTTGGAGCGCTTTCAGGCCTATTTTGGAAAGGGAAATATCTTCCCGTAACAACTATGCAGAAGCATTCTCAGAAACTTGTTTGTGATGTGTGCCCTCTACTGACAGAGTTGAACCTTTCTTTTCATAGAGCAGTTTTGAAACACTCTTTTTGTAGAATCTGCAAGAGGATATTTGCATAGCTTTGAGGATTTCGTGGGAAACGGGATTGTCTTCAGGTAAAATCTAGACAGAAGCATTCTCAGAAACTTCTTTGGGATGTTTGCATTCAAGTCACAGAGTAGAACATTCCCTTTGGTAGAGCAGGTTTGAAACCCTCTTTTTGTAGTATCTGGAAGTGGACATTCGGAGCGCTATCAGGCCCATGTTGGAAAGGGAAATATCTTCCCGTAACAACTAGGCAGAAGCATTCTCAGAAACTTATTTGAGATGTGTGTACTCAACTAAGAGAATTGAACCACCGTTTTGAAGGAGCAGTTTTGAAACACTCTTTTTCTGGAATCTGCAAGAGTATATTTGCCTAGCCTTGAGGATTTCGTTGGAAACGGGATTGTCTTCAGAGAAAATCTAGACAGAAGCATTCTCAGAAACTTCTTTGGGATGTTTGCATTCAAGTCACAGAGTAGAACATTCCCTTTGGTAGAGCAGGTTTGAAACACTCTTTTTTTAGTATATGGAAGTGGACATTTGGATCGCTTTCAGGCCTACGTTGGAAAAGGAAATATCTTCCCATAACAACTAGACAGAAGCATTCTCAGAAACTAGTTTCTGATGTGTGTCCTCAACTAACACAGTTGAACATTTCTTTAGACAGAACAGTTTTGAAACACTCTTTTTGTGGAATCTGCAAGTGGCTATTTGGCTAGATTTGAGGATTTCGTTGGAAACGGGATTACATATAAAAAGCAGTCAGCAGCATTCTCAGAAAGTTCTTTGTGATGATTGCATTCAAGTCACAGAATTGAACATTCCCTTTCACAGAGCAGGTTTGAAACACTCTTTTTGTAGTGTGTGTAAGTGGACATTTGGAGCACTTACCGGCCTAAGGTGAAAAAGGAAATATCTTCCCATAAAAACTAGACAGAAGCATTCTCAGAAACTTACTCGTGATGTGTGTCCTCAACTAAAGGAGTAGAACCTTTCTTTTCATAGAGAAGTTTTGAAACGCTCTTTTTGTGGAATCTGCAAGTGGATATTTGGCTAGTTTTGAGGATTTCGTTGGAAGCGGGAATTCATACAAATTGCAGACTGCAGCGTTCTGAGAAACATCTTTGAAATGTTTGTATTCAAGACAGAGAGATGAACATTCCCTATCATAGAGCATGTTGGAATCACTCCTTTTGTAGTATCTGGAAGTGGACATTTGGAGCGCTTTCAGGCCTATGTTGAAAAAGGAAATATCTTCCCATAACAACTAGACACAAGCATTCCCAGAAACTTATTTGAGATGTGTGTACTCAACTAAGAGAATTGAACCACCGTTTTGAAGGAGCAGTTTGGAAACACTCTTTTTCTGGAATCTGCAAGTGGATATTTGGCTAGCTTTGGGGATTTCGCTGGAAGCGGGAATACATATAAAAAGCACACAGCAGCGTTCTGAGAAACTGCTTTCTGATGTTTGCATTCAAGTCAAAAGTTGAACACTCCCTTTCATAGAGCAGTCTTGAAACACCCCTTTTGTAGTATCTGGAACTGGACATTTGGAGCGCTTTCAGGGCTAAGGTGAAAAAGGAAATATCTTCCCATAAAAACTGGACAGAAGCATTCTCAGAAACTTGTTTATGCTGTATCTGCTCAACTAACAAAGTTGAACCTTTCTTTTGATAGAGCAGTTTTGAAATGCTCTTTTTGTGGAATCTGCAAGTGGATATTTGGCTAGTTTTGAGGATTTCGTTGGAAGCGGGAATTCATACAAATTGCAGACTGCAGCGTTCTGAGAAACATCTTTGTGATGTTTGTATTCAGGACACAGAGATGAACATTCCCTATCATAGACCAGGTTGGAATCACTCCTTTTGTAGTATCTGGAAGTGGACATTTGGAGCGCTTTCAGGCCTATGTTGAAAAAGGAAATATCTTCCCATAACAACTAGACACAAGCATTCTCAGAAACTTGTTTGTGATGTGTGCCCTCTACTGACAGAGTTGAACCTTTCTTTTCATAGAGCAGTTTTGAAACACTCTTTTTGTAGAATCCGCAAGAGGATATTTGCATAGCTTTGAGGATTTCGTGGGAAACGGGATTGTCTTCAGGTAAAATCTAGACAGAAGCATTCTCAGAAAATTCTTCGGGATGTTTGCATTCAAGTCACAGAGTAGAACATTCCCTTTGGTAGAGCAGGTTTGAAACACTCTTTTTGTAGTATCTGGAAGTGGACATTTGGAGCGCTTTCAGGCCTATGTTGGAAAGGGAAATATCTTCCCGTAACAACTAGGCAGAAGCATTCTCAGAAACTTATTTGAGATGTGTGTACTCAACTAAGAGAATTGAACCACCGTTTTGAAGGAGCAGATTTGAAACACTCTTTTTCTGGAATCTGCAAGAGTATATTTGCCTAGCCTTGAAGATTTCGTTGGAAACGGGATTGTCTTCAGATAAAATCTAGACAGAAGCATTCTCAGAAACTTCTTTGGGATGTTTGCATTCAAGTCACAGAGTAGAACATTCCCTTTGGTAGAGCAGGTTTGAAACACTCTTTTTTTAGTATATGGAAGTGGACATTTGGAGCGCTTTCAGGCCTACGTTGGAAAAGGAAATATCTTCCCATAACAACTAGACAGAAGCATTCTCAGAAACTAGTTTCTGATGTGTGTCCTCAACTAACACAGTTGAACATTTCTTTAGACAGAACAGTTTTGAAACTCTCTTTTTGTGGAATCTGCAAGTGGCTATTTGGCTAGATTTGAGGATTTCGTTGGAAACGGGATTACATATAAAAAGCAGACAGCAGCATTCTCAGAACGTTCTTTGTGATGATTGCATTCAAGTCACAGAATTGAACATTCCCTTTCACAGAGCAGGTTTGAAACACTCTTTTTGTAGTGTGTGTAAGTGGACATTTGGAGCACTTTCCGGCCTAAGGTGAAAAAGGAAATATCTTCCCATAAAAACTAGACAGAAGCATTCTCAGAAACTTACTCGTGATGTGTGTCCTCAACTAAAGGAGTAGAACCTTTCTTTTCATAGAGAAGTTTTGAAACGCTCTTTTTGTGGAATCTGCAAGTGGATATTTGGCTAGTTTGGAGGATTTCGTTGGAAGCGGGAATTCATACAAATTGCAGACTGCAGCTTTCTGAGAAACATCTTTGTGATGTTTGTATTCAGGACACAGAGTTGAACATTCCCTATCATAGAGCAGGTTTGAATCACTCCTTTTGTAGTATCTGGAAGTGGACATTTGGAGCGCTTTCAAGCCTATGTTGGAAAAGGAAATATCTTCCCATAACAACTAGACAGAAGCATTCTCAGAAACTTATTTGAGATGTGTGTACTCAACTAAGAGAATTGAACCACCGTTTTGAAGGAGCAGTTTTGAAACACTCTTTTTCTGGAATCTGCAAGTGGATATTTGGCTAGCTTTGGGGATTTCGCTGGAAGCGGGAATACATATAAAAAGCACACAGCAGCGTTCTGAGAAACTGCTTTCTGATGTTTGCATTCAAGTCAAAAGTTGAACACTCCCTTTCATAGAGCAGTCCTGAAACACTCCTTTTGTAGTATCTGGAACTGGACTTTTGGAGCGCTTTCAGGGCTAAGGTGAAAAAGGAAATATCTTCCCATAAAAACTGGACAGAAGCATTCTGAGAAACTTGTTTATGCTGTATCTACTCAACTAACAAATTTGAACCTTTCTTTTGATAGAGCAGTTTTGAAATGGTCTTTTTGTGGAATCTGCAAGTGGATATTTGGCTAGATTTGAGGATTTCGTTGGAAGCGGGAATTCATACAAATTGCAGACTGCAGCGTTCTGAGAAACATCTTTGTGATGTTTGTATTCAAGACACAGAGATGAACATTCCCTATCATAGAGCATGTTGGAATCACTCCTTTTGTAGTATCTGGAAGTGGACATTTGGAGCGCTTTCAGGCCTATGTTGAAAAAGGAAATATCTTCCCATAACAACTAGACACAAGCATTCTCAGAAACTTGTTTGTGATGTGTGCCCTCTACTGACAGAGTTGAACCTTTCTTTTCATAGAGCAGTTTTGAAACACTCTTTTTGTAGAATCTGCAAGAGGATATTTGCATAGCTTTGAGGATTTCGTGGGAAACGGGATTGTCTTCAGGTAAAATCTAGACAGAAGCATTCTCAGAAACTTCTTTGGGATGTTTGCATTCAAGTCACAGAGTAGAACATTCCCTTTGGTAGAGCAGGTTTGAAACACTCTTTTTGTAGTATCTGGAAGTGGACATTTGGAGCGCTTTCAGGCCCATGATGGAAAGGGAAATATCTTCCCGTAACAACTAGGCAGAAGCATTCTCAGAAACTTATTTGAGATGTGTGTACTCAACTAAGAGAATTGAACCACCGTTTTGAAGGAGCAGTTTTGAAACACTCTTTTTCTGGAATCTGCAAGAGTATATTTGCCTAGCCTTGAGGATTTCGTTGGAAACGGGATTGTCTTCAGAGAAAATCTAGACAGAAGCATTCTCAGAAACTTCTTTGGGATGCTTGCATTCAAGTCACAGAGTAGAACATTCCCTTTGGTAGAGCAGGTTTGAAACACTCTTTTTGTAGTATCTGGAAGTGGACATTTGGAGCGCTTTCAGGCCTACGTTGGAAAAGGAAATATCTTCCCATAACAACTAGACAGAAGCATTCTCAGAAACTAGTTTCTGATGTGTGTCCTCAACTAACACAGTTGAACATTTCTTTAGACAGAACAGTTTTGAAACACTCTTTTTGTGGAATCTGCAAGTGGCTATTTGGCTAGATTTGAGGATTTCGTTGGAAACGGGATTACATATAAAAAGCAGTCAGCGGCATTCTCAGAAAGTTCTTTGTGATGATTGCATTCAAGTCACAGAATTGAACATTCCCTTTCACAGAGCAGGTTTGAAACACTCTTTTTGTAGTGTGTGTAAGTGGACATTTGGAGCACTTACCGGCCTAAGGTGAAAAAGGAAATATCTTCCCATAAAAACTAGACAGAAGCATTCTCAGAAACTTACTCGTGATGTGTGTCCTCAACTAAAGGGGTAGAACCTTTCTTTTCATAGAGAAGTTTTGAAACGCTCTTTTTGTGGAATCTGCAAGTGGATATTTGGCTAGTTTTGAGGATTTCGTTGGAAGCGGGAATTCATACAAATTGCAGACTGCAGCGTTCTGAGAAACATCTTTGTGATGTTTGTATTCAGGACACAGAGTTGAACATTCCCTATCATAGAGCAGGTTTGAATCACTCCTTTTGTAGTATCTGGAAGTGGACATTTGGAGCGCTTTCAGGCCTATGTTGGAAAAGGAAATATCTTCCCATAACAACTAGACAGAAGCATTCTCAGAAACTTATTTGAGATGTGTGTACTCAACTAAGAGAATTGAACCACCGTTTTGAAGGAGCAGTTTGGAAACACTCTTTTTCTGGAATCTGCAAGTGGATATTTGGCTAGCTTTGGGGATTTCGCTGGAAGCGGGAATACATATAAAAAGCACACAGCAGCGTTCTGAGAAACTGCTTTCTGATGTTTGCATTCAAGTCAAAAGTTGAACACTCCCTTTCATAGAGCAGTCCTGAAACACCCCTTTTGTAGTATCTGGAACTGGACTTTTGGAGCGATTTCAGGGCTAAGGTGAAAAAGGAAATATCTTCCCATAAAAACTGGACAGAAGCATTCTCAGAAACTTGTTTATGCTGTATCTACTCAACTAACATAGTTGAACCTTTCTTTTGATAGAGCAGTTTTGAAATGCTCTTTTTGTGGAATCTGCAAGTGGATATTTGGCTAGTTTTGAGGATTTCGTTGGAAGCGGGAATTCATACAAATTGCAGACTGCAGCGTTCTGAGAAACATCTTTGTGATGTTTGTATTCAGGACAGAGAGTTGAACATTCCCTATCATAGAGCAGGTTGGAATCACTCCTTTTGTAGTATCTGGAAGTGGACATTTGGAGCGATTTCAGGCCTATGTTGAAAAAGGAAATATCTTCCCATAACAACTAGACACAAGCATTCTCAGAAACTTGTTTGTGATGTGTGCCCTCTACTGACAGAGTTGAACCTTTCTTTTCATAGAGCAGTTTTGAAACACTCTTTTTGTAGAATCTGCAAGAGGATATTTGCATAGCTTTGAGGATTTCGTGGGAAACGGGATTGTCTTCAGGTAAAATCTAGACAGAAGCATTCTCAGAAACTTCTTTGGGATGTTTGCATTCAAGTCACAGAGTAGAACATTCCCTTTGGTAGAGCAGGTTTGAAACACTCTTTTTGTAGTGTGTGTAAGTGGACATTTGGAGCGCTTTCTGGCCTACGTTGGAAAAGGAAATATCTTCCCATAACAACTAGACAGAAGCATTCTCAGAAACTAGTTTCTGATGTGTGTCCTCAACTAACACAGTTGAACATTTCTTTAGACAGAACAGTTTTGAAACACTCTTTTTGTGGAATCTGCAAGTGGCTATTTGGCTAGATTTGAGGATTTCGTTGGAAACGGGATTACATATAAAAAGCAGACAGCAGCATTCTCAGAAAGTTCTTTGTGATGATTGCATTCAAGTCACAGAATTGAACATTCCCTTTCACAGAGCAGGTTTGAAACACTCTTTTTGTAGTGAGTGTAAGTGGACATTTGGAGCACTTTCCGGCCTAAGGTGAAAAAGGAAATATCTTCCCATAAAAACTAGACAGAAGCATTCTCAGAAACTTACTCGTGATGTGTGTCCTCAACTAAAGGAGTAGAACCTTTCTTTTCATAGAGAAGTTTTGAAACGCTCTTTTTGTGGAATCTGCAAGTGGATATTTGGCTAGTTTGGAGGATTTCGTTGGAAGCGGGAATTCATACAAATTGCAGACTGCAGCGTTCTGAGAAACATCTTTGTGATGTTTGTATTCAGGACACAGAGTTGAACATTCCCTATCATAGAGCAGGTTGGAATCACTCCTTTTGTAGTATCTGGAAGTGGACATTTGGAGTGCTTTCAGGCCTATGTTGGAAAAGGAAATATCTTCCCATAACAACTAGACAGAAGCATTCTCAGAAACTTATTTGAGATGTGTGTACTCAACTAAGAGAATTGAACCACCGTTTTGAAGGAGCAGTTTTGAAACTCTCTTTTTCTGGAATCTGCAAGTGGATATTTGGCTAGCTTTGGGGATTTCGCTGGAAGCGGGAATACATATAAAAAGCACACAGCAGCGTTCTGAGAAACTGCTTTCTGATGTTTGCATTCAAGTCAAAAGTTGAACACTCCCTTTCATAGAGCAGTCCTGAAACACCCCTTTTGTAGTATCTGGAACTGGACTTTTGGAGCGATTTCAGGGCTAAGGTGAAAAAGGAAATATCTTCCCATAAAAACTGGACAGAAGCATTCTCAGAAACTTGTTTATGCTGTATCTACTCAACTAACAAAGTTGAACCTTTCTTTTGATAGAGCAGTTTTGAAATGGTCTTTTTGTGGAATCTGCAAGTGGATATTTGGCTAGTTTTGAGGATTTCGTTGGAAGCGGGAATTCATACAAATTGCAGACTGCAGCGTTCTGAGAAACATCTTTGTGATGTTTGTATTCAGGACACAGAGATGAACATTCCCTATCATAGAGCAGGTTGGAATCACTCCTTTTGTAGTATCTGGAAGTGGACATTTGGAGCGCTTTCAGGCCTATGTTGAAAAAGGAAATATCTTCCCATAACAACTAGACACAAGCATTCTCAGAAACTTGTTTGTGATGTGTGCCCTCTACTGACAGAGTTGAACCTTTCTTTTCATAGAGCAGTTTTGAAACACTCTTGTTGTAGAATCCGCAAGAGGATATTTGCATAGCTTTGAGGATTTCGTGGGAAACGGGATTGTCTTCAGGTAAAATCTAGACAGAAGCATTCTCAGAAACTTCTTTGGGATGTTTGCATTCAAGTCACAGAGTAGAACATTCCCTTTGGTAGAGCAGGTTTGAAACCCTCTTTTTGTAGTATCTGGAAGTGGACATTTGGAGCGCTTTCAGGCCCATGTTGGAAAGGGAAATATCTTCCCGTAACAACTAGGCAGAAGCATTCTCAGAAACTTATTTGAGATGTGTGTACTCAACTAAGAGAATTGAACCACCGTTTTGAAGGAGCAGTTTTGAAACACTCTTTTTCTGGAATCTGCAAGAGTATATTTGCCTAGCCTTGAGGATTTCGTTGGAAACGGGATTGTCTTCAGATAAAATCTAGACAGAAGCATTCTCAGAAACTTCTTTGGGATGTTTGCATTCAAGTCACAGAGTAGAACATTCCCTTTGGTAGAGCAGGTTTGAAACACTCTTTTTTTAGTATATGGAAGTGGACATTTTGATCGCTTTCAGGCTTACGTTGGAAAAGGAAATATCTTCCCATAACAACTAGACAGAAGCATTCTCAGAAACTAGTTTCTGATGTGTGTCCTCAACTAACACAGTTGAACATTTCTTTAGACAGAACAGTTTTGAAACACTCTTTTTGTGGAATCTGCAAGTGGCTATTTGGCTAGATTTGAGGATTTCGTTGGAAACGGGATTACATATAAAAAGCAGTCAGCAGCATTCTCAGAAAGTTCTTTGTGATGATTGCATTCAAGTCACAGAATTGAACATTCCCTTTCACAGAGCAGGTTTGAAACACTCTTTTTGTAGTGTGTGTAAGTGGACATTTGGAGCACTTACCGGCCTAAGGTGAAAAAGGAAATATCTTCCCATAAAAACTAGACAGAAGCATTCTCAGAAACTTACTCGTGATGTGTGTCCTCAACTAAAGGAGTAGAACCTTTCTTTTCATAGAGAAGTTTTGAAACGCTCTTTTTGTGGAATCTGCAAGTGGATATTTGGCTAGTTTTGAGGATTTCGTTGGAAGCGGGAATTCATACAAATTGCAGACTGCAGCATTCTCAGAAACTTGTTTATGCTGTATCTACTCAACTAACAAAGTTGAACCTTTCTTTTGATAGAGCAGTTTTGAAATGCTCTTTTTGTGGAATCTGCAAGTGGATATTTGGCTAGTTTTGAGGATTTCGTTGGAAGCGGGAATTCATACAAATTGCAGACTGCAGCGTTCTGAGAAACATCTTTGTGATGTTTGTATTCAGGAGAGAGAGTTGAACATTCCCTATCATAGAGCAGGTTGGAATCACTCCTTTTGTAGTATCTGGAAGTGGACATTTGGAGCGCTTTCAGGCCTATGTTGAAAAAGGAAATATCTTCCCATAACAACTAGACACAAGCATTCTCAGAAACTTGTTTGTGATGTGTGCCCTCTACTGACAGAGTTGAACCTTTCTTTTCATAGAGCAGTTTTGAAACACTCTTTTTGTAGAATCTGCAAGAGGATATTTGCATAGCTTTGAGGATTTCGTGGGAAACGGGATTGTCTTCAGGTAAAATCTAGACAGAAGCATTCTCAGAAACTTCTTTGGGATGTTTGCATTCAAGTCACAGAGTAGAACATTCCCTTTGGTAGAGCAGGTTTGAAACACTCTTTTTGTAGTATCTGGAAGTGGACATTTGGAGCGCTTTCAGGCCTATGTTGGAAAGGGAAATATCTTCCCGTAACAACTAGGCAGAAGCATTCTCAGAAACTTATTTGAGATGTGTGTACTCAACTAAGAGAATTGAACCACCGTTTTGAAGGAGCAGTTTTGAAACACTCTTTTTCTGGAATCTGCAAGTGGATATTTGGCTAGATTTGAGGATTTCGTTGGAAACGGGATTACATATAAAAAGCAGACAGCAGCAGTCTCAGAAAGTTCTTTTTGATGATTGCATTTAAGTCACAGAATTGAACATTCCCTTTCACAGAGCAGGTATGAAACACTCTTTTTGTAGTGTGTGTAAGTGGACATTTGGAGCGCTTTCCGGCCTAAGGTGAAAAAGGAAATATCTTCCCATAAAAACTAGACAGAAGCATTCTCAGAAACTTACTCGTGATGTGTGTCCTCAACTAAAGGAGTAGAACCTTTCTTTTCATAGAGAAGTTTTGAAACGCTCTTTTTGTGGAATCTGCAAGTGGATATTTGGCTAGTTTTGAGGATTTCGTTGGAAGCGGGAATTCATACAAATTGCAGACTGCAGCATTCTCAGAAACTTATTTGAGATGGGTGTACTCAACTAAGAGAATTGAACCACCGTTTTCAAGGAGCAGTTTTGAAACGCTCTTTTTCTGGAATCTGCAAGTGGATATTTGGCTAGCTTTGGGGATTTCGCTGGAAGCGGGAATACATATAAAAAACACACAGCAGCGTTCTGAGAAACTGCTTTCTGATGTTTGCATTCAAATCAAAAGTTGAACACTCCCTTTCATAGAGCAGTCTTGAAACACCCCTTTTGTAGTATCTGGAACTGGACATTTGGGGCGCTTTCAGGGCTAAGGTGAAAAAGGAAATATCTTCCCATAAAAACTGGACAGAAGCATTCTCAGAAACTTGTTTATGCTGTATCTACTCAACTAACAAAGTTGAACCTTTCTTTTGATAGAGCAGTTTTGAAATGCTCTTTTTGTGGAATCTGCAAGTGGATATTTGGCTAGTTTTGAGGATTTCGTTGGAAGCGGGAATTCATACAAATTGCAGACTGCAGCGTTCTGAGAAACATCTTTGTGATGTTTGTATTCAGGACACAGAGTTGAACATTCCCTATCATAGAGCAGGTTGGAATCACTCCTTTTGTAGTATCTGGAAGTGGACATTTGGAGCGCTTTCAGGCCTATGTTAAAAAAGGAAATATCTTCCCATAACAACTAGACACAAGTATTCTCAGAAACTTGTTTGTGATGTGTGCCCTCTACTGACAGAGTTGAACCTTTCTTTTCATAGAGCAGTTTTGAAACACTCTTTTTGTAGAATCTGCAAGAGGATATTTGCATAGCTTTGAGGATTTCGGGGGAAACGGGATTGTCTTCAGGTAAAATCTAGACAGAAGCATTCTCAGAAACTTCTTTGGGATGTTTGCATTCAAGTCACAGAGTAGAACATTCCCTTTGGTAGAGCAGGTTTCAAACACTCTTTTTGTAGTATCTGGAAGTGGACATTTGAAGCGCTTTCAGGCCTATGTTGGAAAGGGAAATATCTTCCCGTAACAACTAGGCAGAAGCATTCTCAGAAACTTATTTGAGATGTGTGTACTCAACTAAGAGAATTGAACCACCGTTTTGAAGGCGCAGTTTTGAAACACTCTTTTTCTGGAATCTGCAAGAGTATATTTGCCTAGCCTTGACGATTTCGTTGGAAACGTGGTTGTCTTCAGATAAAATCTAGACAGAAGCATTCTCAGAAACTTCTTTGGGATGTTTGCATTCAAGTCACAGAGTAGAACATTCCCTTTGGTAGAGCAGGTTTGAAACACTCTTTTTTTAGTATATGGAAGTGGACATTTGGAGCGCTTTCAGGCCTACGTTGGAAAAGGAAATATCTTCCCATAACAACTAGACAGAAGCATTCTCAGAAAACTAGTTTCTGATGTGTGTCCTCCACTAACACAGTTGAACTTTTCTTTAGACAGAACAGTTTTGAAACACTCTTTTTGTGGAATCTGCAAGTGGATATTTGGCTAGATTTGAGGATTTCGTTGGAAACGGGATTACATATAAAAAGCAGACTGCAGCATTCTCAGAAAGTTCTTTGTGATGATTGCATTCAAGTCACAGAATTGAACATTCCCTTTCACAGAGCAGGTTTCAAACACTCTTTTTGTAGTGTGTGTAAGTGGACATTTGGAGCCCTTTCCGGCCTAAGGTGAAAGAGGAAATATCTTCCCATAAAAACTAGACAGAAGCATTCTCAGAAACTTACTCGTGATGTGTGTCCTCAACTAAAGGAGTAGAACCTTTCTATTCATAGAGAAGTTTTGAAACGCTCTTTTTGTGGAATCTCCAAGTGGATATTTGGCTAGTTTTGAGGATTTCTTTGGAAGCGGGAATTCATACAAATTGCAGACTGCAGCGTTCTGAGAAACATCTTTGTGATGTTTGTATTCAGGACACAGAGATGAACATTCCCTATCATAGAGCAGGTTGGAATCACTCCTTTTGTAGTATCTGGAAGTGGACATTTGGAGCGCTTTCAGGCCTATGTTGAAAAAGGAAATATCTTCCCATAACAACTAGACACAAGCATTCTCAGAAACTTATTTGAGATGTGTGTACTCAACTAAGAGAATTGAACCACCGTTTTGAAGGAGCAGTTTTGAAACACTCTTTTTCTGGAATCTGCAAGTGGATATTTGGCTAGCTTTGGGGATTTCGCTGGAAGCGGGAATACATATAAAAAGCACACAGCAGCGTTCTGAGAAACTGCTTTCTGATGTTTGCATTCAAGTCAAAAGTTGAACACTCCCTTTCATAGAGCAGTCTTGAAACACCCCTTTTGTAGTATCTGGAACTGGACTTTTGGAGCGATTTCAGGGCTAAGGTGAAAAAGGAAATATCTTCCCATAAAAACTGGACAGAAGCATTCTCAGAAACTTGTTTATGCTGTATCTACTCAACTAACAAAGTTGAACCTTTCTTTTGATAGAGCAGTTTTGAAATGGTCTTTTTGTGGAATCTGCAAGTGGATATTTGGCTAGTTTTGAGGATTTCGTTGGAAGCGGGAATTCATACAAATTGCAGACTGCAGCGTTCTGAGAAACATCTTTGTGATGTTTGTATTCAAGACACAGAGCATGAACATTCCCTATCATAGAGCATGTTGGAATCACTCCTTTTGTAGTATCTGGAAGTGGACATTTAGAGCGCTTTCAGGCCTATGTTGAAAAAGGAAATATCTTCCCATAACAACTAGACACAAGCATTCTCAGAAACTTGTTTGTGATGTGTGCCCTCTACTGACAGAGTTGAACCTTTCTTTTCATAGAGCAGTTTTGAAACACTCTTTTTGTAGAATCTGCAAGAGGATATTTGCATAGCTTTGAGGATTTCGCGGGAAACGGGATTGTCTTCAGATAAAATCTAGACAGAAGCATTCTCAGAAACTTGTTTGGGATGTTTGCATTCAAGTCACAGAGAAGAACATTCCCTTTGGTAGAGCAGGTTTGAAACATTCTTTTTTTAGTATATGGAAGTGGACATTTGGAGCGCTTTCAGGCCTACGTTGGAAAAGGAAATATCTTCCCATAACAACTAGACAGAAGCATTCTCAGAAACTAGTTTCTGATGTGTGTCCTCAACTAACACAGTTGAACTTTTCTTTAGACAGAACAGTTTTGAAACACTCTTTTTGTGGAATCTGCAAGTGGATATTTGGCTAGATTTGAGGATTTCGTTGGAAACGGGATTACATATAAAAAGCAGACAGCAGCATTCTCAGAAAGTTCTTTGTGATGATTGCATTCAAGTCACAGAATTGAACATTCCCTTTCACAGAGCAGGTTTGAAACACTCTTTTTGTAGTGTGTGTAAGTGGACATTTGGAGCGCTTTCCGGCCTAAGGTGAAAAAGGAAATATCTTCCCATAAAAACTAGACAGAAGCATTCTCAGAAACTTACTCGTGATGTGTGTCCTCAACTAAAGGAGTAGAACCTTTCTATTCATAGAGAAGTTTTGAAACGCTCTTTTTGTGGAATCTCCAAGTGGATATTTGGCTAGTTTTGAGGATTTCGTTGGAAGCGGGAATTCATCCAAATTGCAGACTGCAGCGTTCTGAGAAACATCTTTGTGATGTTTGTATTCAGGACACAGAGTTGAACATTCCCTATCATAGAGCAGGTTTGAATCACTCCTTTTGTAGTATCTGGAAGTGGACATTTGGAGCGCTTTCAGGCCTATGTTGGAAAAGGAAATATCTTCCCATAACAACTAGACAGAAGCATTCTCAGAAACTTATTTGAGATGTGTGTACTCAACTAAGAGAATTGAACCACCGTTTTGAAGGAGCAGTTTTGAAACACTCTTTTTCTGGAATCTGCAAGTGGCTATTTGGCTAGCTTTGGGGATTTCGCTGGAAGCGGGAATACATATAAAAAGCACACAGCAGCGTTCTGAGAAACTGCTTTCTGATGTTTGCATTCAAGTCAAAAGTTGAACACTCCCTTTCATAGAGCAGTCCTGAAACACTCCTTTTGTAGTATCTGGAACTGGACATTTGGAGCGCTTTCAGGGCTAAGGTGAAAAAGGAAATATCTTCCCATAAAAACTGGACAGAAGCATTCTCAGAAACTTGTTTATGCTGTATCTACTCAACTAACAAAGTTGAACCTTTCTTTTGATAGAGCAGTTTTGAAATGCTCTTTTTGTGGAATCTGCAAGTGGATATTTGGCTAGTTTTGAGGATTTCGTTGGAAGCGGGAATTCATACAAATTGCAGACTGCAGCGTTCTGAGAAACATCTTTGTGATGTTTGTATTCAGGACACAGAGTTGAACATTCCCTATCATAGAGCAGGTTTGAATCACTCCTTTTGTAGTATCTGGAAGTGGACATTTGGAGCGCTTTCAGGCCTATGTTGGAAAAGGAAATATCTTCCCATAACAACTAGACAGAAGCATTCTCAGAAACTTATTTGAGATGGGTGTACTCAACTAAGAGAATTGAACCACCGTTTTCAAGGAGCAGTTTTGAAACGCTCTTTTTCTGGAATCTGCAAGTGGATATTTGGCTAGCTTTGGGGATTTCGCTGGAAGCGGGAATACATATAAAAAACACACAGCAGCGTTCTGAGAAACTGCTTTCTGATGTTTGCATTCAAGTCAAAAGTTGAACAATCCCTTTCATAGAGCAGTCTTGAAACACCCCTTTTGTAGTATCTGGAACTGGACATTTGGAGCGCTTTCAGGGCTAAGGTGAAAAAGGAAATATCTTCCCATAAAAACTGGACAGAAGCATTCTCAGAAACTTGTTTATGCTGTATCTACTCAACTAACAAAGTTGAACCTTTCTTTTGATAGAGCAGTTTTGAAATGCTCTTTTTGTGGAATCTGCAAGTGGATATTTGGCTAGTTTTGAGGATTTCGGTTGGAAGCGGGAATTCATACAAATTGCAGACTGCAGCGTTCTGAGAAACATCTTTGTGATGTTTGTATTCAGGACACAGAGTTGAACATTCCCTATCATAGAGCAGGTTGGAATCACTCCTTTTGTAGTATCTGGAAGTGGACATTTGGAGCGCTTTCAGGCCTATGTTAAAAAAGGAAATATCTTCCCATAACAACTAGACACAAGCATTCTCAGAAACTTGTTTGTGATGTGTACCCTGTACTGACAGTGTTGAACCTTTCTTTTCATAGAGCAGTTTTGAAACACTCTTTTTGTAGAATCTGCAAGAGGATATTTGCATAGCTTTGAGGATTTCGTGGGAAACGGGATTGTCTTCAGGTAAAATCTAGACAGAAGCATTCTCAGAAACTTCTTTGGGATGTTTGCATTCAAGTCACAGAGTAGAACATTCCCTTTGGTAGAGCAGGTTTGAAACAATCTTTTTGTAGTATCTGGAAGTGGACATTTGGAGCGCTTTCAGGCCCATGTTGGAAAGGGAAATATCTTCCCGTAACAACTAGGCAGAAGCATTCTCTGAAACTTTTTTGAGATGTGTGTACTCAACTAAGAGAATTGAACCACCGTTTTGAAGGAGCAGTTTTGAAACACTCTTTTTCTGGAATCTGCTAGAGGATATTTGCCTAGCTTTGAGGATTTCGTTGGAAACGGGATTGTCTTCAGATCAAATCTAGACAGAAGCATTCTCAGAAACTTCTTTGGGATGCTTGCATTCAAGTCACAGAGTAGAACATTCCCTTTGGTAGAGCAGGTTTGAAACACTCTTTTTGTAGTATCTGGAAGTGGACATTTGGAGCGCTTTCAGGCCTACGTTGGAAAAGGAAATATCTTCCCATAACAACTAGACAGAAGCATTCTCAGAAACTAGTTTCTGATGTGTGTCCTCAACTAACACAGTTGAACATTTCTTTAGACAGAACAGTTTTGAAACACTCTTTTTGTGGAATCTGCAAGTGGCTATTTGGCTAGATTTGAGGATTTCGTTGGAAACGGGATTACATATAAAAAGCAGTCAGCGGCATTCTCAGAAAGTTCTTTGTGATGATTGCATTCAAGTCACAGAATTGAACATTCCCTTTCACAGAGCAGGTTTGAAACACTCTTTTTGTAGTGTGTGTAAGTGGACATTTGGAGCACTTACCGGCCTAAGGTGAAAAAGGAAATATCTTCCCATAAAAACTAGACAGAAGCATTCTCAGAAACTTACTCGTGATGTGTGTCCTCAACTAAAGGAGTAGAACCTTTGTTTTCATAGAGAAGTTTTGAAACGCTCTTTTTGTGGAATCTGCAAGTGGATATTTGGCTAGTTTTGAGGATTTCGTTGGAAGCGGGAATTCATACAAATTGCAGACTGCAGCATTCTCAGAAACTTGTTTATGCTGTATCTACTCAACTAACAAAGTTGAACCTTTCTTTTGATAGAGCAGTTTTGAAATGCTCTTTTTGTGGAATCTGCAAGTGGATATTTGGCTAGTTTTGAGGATTTCGTTGGAAGCGGGAATTCATACAAATTGCAGACTGCAGCGTTCTGAGAAACATCTTTGTGATGTTTGTATTCAGGACAGAGAGTTGAACATTCCCTATCATAGAGCAGGTTGGAATCACTCCTTTTGTAGTATCTGGAAGTGGACATTTGGAGCGCTTCAGGCCTATGTTGAAAAAGGAAATATCTTCCCATAACAACTAGACACAAGCATTCTCAGAAACTTGTTTGTGATGTGTGCCCTCTACTGACAGAGTTGAACCTTTCTTTTCATAGAGCAGTTTTGAAACACTCTTTTTGTAGAATCTGCAAGAGGATATTTGCATAGCTTTGAGGATTTCGTGGGAAACGGGATTGTCTTCAGGTAAAATCTAGACAGAAGCATTCTCAGAAACTTCTTTGGGATGTTTGCATTCAAGTCACAGAGTAGAACATTCCCTTTGGTAGAGCAGGTTTCAAACACTCTTTTTGTAGTATCTGGAAGTGGACATTTGGAGCGCTTTCAGGCCTATGTTGGAAAGGGAAATATCTTCCCGTAACAACTAGGCAGAAGCATTCTCAGAAACTTATTTGAGATGTGTGTACTCAACTAAGAGAATTGAACCACCGTTTTGAAGGAGCAGTTTTGAAACACTCTTTTTCTGGAATCTGCAAGAGTATATTTGCCTAGCCTTGAGGATTTCGTTGGAAACGGGATTGTCTTCAGATAAAATCTAGACAGAAGCATTCTCAGAAACTTCTTTGGGATGTTTGCATTCAAGTCACAGAGTAGAACATTCCCTTTGGTAGAGCAGGTTTGAAACACTCTTTTTTTAGTATATGGAAGTGGACATTTGGAGCGCTTTCAGGCCTACGTTGGAAAAGGAAATATCTTCCCATAACAACTAGACAGAAGCATTCTCAGAAACTAGTTTCTGATGTGTGTCCTCAACTAACACAGTTGAACATTTCTTTAGACAGAACAGTTTTGAAACACTCTTTTTGTGGAATCTGCAAGTGGCTATTTGGCTAGATTTGAGGATTTCGTTGGAAACGGGATTACATATAAAAAGCAGACAGCAGCATTCTCAGAAAGTTCTTTGTGATGATTGCATTCAAGTCACAGAATTGAAAATTCCCTTTCACAGAGCAGGTTTGAAACACTCTTTTTGTAGTGTGTGTAAGTGGACATTTGGAGCACTTTCCGGCCTAAGGTGAAAAAGGAAATATCTTCCCATAAAAACTAGACAGAAGCATTCTCAGAAACTTACTCGTGATGTGTGTCCTCAACTAAAGGAGTAGAACCTTCCTTTTCATAGAGAAGTTTTGAAACGCTCTTTTTCTGGAATCTGCAAGTGGATATTTGGCTAGTTTTGAGGATTTCGTTGGAAGCGGGAATTCATACAAATTGCAGACTGCAGCGTTCTGAGAAACATCTTTGTGATGTTTGTATTCAGGACACAGAGTTGAACATTCCCTATCATAGAGCAGGTTGGAATCACTCCTTTTGTAGTATCTGGAAGTGGACATTTGGAGCGCTTTCAGGCCTATGTTGAAAAAGGAAATATCTTCCCATAACAACTAGACACAAGCATTCTCAGAAACTTATTTGAGATGTGTGTACTCAACTAAGAGAATTGAACCACCGTTTTGAAGGAGCAGTTTTGAAACTCTCTTTTTCTGGAATCTGCAAGTGGATATTTGGCTAGCTTTGGGGATTTCGCTGGAAGCGGGAATACATATAAAAAGCACACAGCAGCGTTCTGAGAAACTGCTTTCTGATGTTTGCATTCAAGTCAAAAGTTGAACACTCCCTTTCATAGAGCAGTCCTGAAACACCCCTTTTGTAGTATCTGGAACTGGACTTTTGGAGCGATTTCAGGGCTAAGGTGAAAAAGGAAATATCTTCCCATAAAAACTGGACAGAAGCATTCTCAGAAACTTGTTTATGCTGTATCTACTCAACTAACAAAGTTGAACCTTTCTTTTGATAGAGCAGTTTTGAAATGGTCTTTTTGTGGAATCTGCAAGTGGATATTTGGCTAGTTTTGAGGATTTCGTTGGAAGCGGGAATTCATACAAATTGCAGACTGCAGCGTTCTGAGAAACATCTTTGTGATGTTTGTATTCAGGACACAGAGTTGAACATTCCCTATCATAGAGCAGGTTGGAATCACTCCTTTTGTAGTATCTGGAAGTGGACATTTGGAGCGCTTTCAGGCCTATTTTGGAAAGGGAAATATCTTCCCGTAACAACTATGCAGAAGCATTCTCAGAAACTTGTTTGTGATGTGTGCCCTCTACTGACAGAGTTGAACCTTTCTTTTCATAGAGCAGTTTTGAAACACTCTTTTTGTAGAATCTGCAAGAGGATATTTGCATAGCTTTGAGGATTTCGTGGGAAACGGGATTGTCTTCAGGTAAAATCTAGACAGAAGCATTCTGAGAAACTTCTTTGGGATGTTTGCATTCAAGTCACAGAGTAGAACATTCCCTTTGGTAGAGCAGGTTTGAAACACTCTTTTTGTATTATCTGGAAGTGGACATTTGGAGCGCTTTCAGGCCTATGTTGGAAAGGGAAATATCTTCCCGTAACAACTAGGCAGAAGCATTCTCAGAAACTTATTTGAGATGTGTGGACTCAACTAAGAGAATTGAACCACCGTTTTGAAGGAGCAGTTTTGAAACACTCTATTTCTGGAATCTGCAAGAGGATATTTGCCTAGCCTTGAGGATTTCGTTGGAAACGGGATTGTCTTCAGATCAAATCTAGACAGAAGCATTCTCAGAAACTTCTTTGGGATGTTTGCATTCAAGTCACAGAGTAGAACATTCCCTTTGGTAGAGCAGGTTTGAAACACTCTTTTTTTAGTATATGGAAGTGGACATTTGGAGCGCTTTCAGGCCTACGTTGGAAAAGGAAATATCTTCCCATAACAACTAGACAGAAGCATTCTCAGAAACTAGTTTCTGATGTGTGTCCTCAACTAACACAGTTGAACATTTCTTTAGACAGAACAGTTTTGAAACACTCTTTTTGTGGAATCTGCAAGTGGCTATTTGGCTAGATTTGAGGATTTCGTTAGAAACGGGATTACATATAAAAAGCAGTCAGCAGCATTCTCAGAAAGTTCTTTGTGATGATTGCATTCAAGTCACAGAATTGAACATTCCCTTTCACAGAGCAGGTTTGAAACACTCTTTTTGTAGTGTGTGTAAGTGGACATTTGGAGCACTTACCGGCCTAAGGTGAAAAAGGAAATATCTTCCCATAAAAACTAGACAGAAGCGTTCTGAGAAACATCTTTGTGATGTTTGTATTCAGGACACAGAGTTGAAAATTCCCTATCATAGAGCAGGTTGGAATCACTCCTTTTGTAGTATCTGGAAGTGGACATTTGGAGCGCTTTCAAGCCTATGTTGGAAAAGGAAATATCTTCCCATAACAACTAGACAGAAGCATCCTCAGAAACTTATTTGAGATGTGTGTACTCAACTATGAGAATTGAACCACCGTTTTGAAGGAGCAGTTTTGAAACACTCTTTTTCTGGAATCTGCAAGTGGATATTTGGCTAGCTTTGGGGATTTCGCTGGAAGCGGGAATACATATAAAAAGCACACAGCAGCGTTCTGAGAAACTGCTTTCTGATGTTTGCATTCAAGTCAAAAGTTGAACACCCCCTTTCATAGAGCAGTCTTGAAACACCCCTTTTGTAGTATCTGGAACTGGACATTTGGAGCGCTTTCAGGGCTAAGGTGAAAAAGGAAATATCTTCCCATAAAAACTGGACAGAAGCATTCTCAGAAACTGGTTTATGCTGTATCTACTCAACTAACAAAGTTGAACCTTTCTTTTGATAGAGCAGTTTTGAAATGCTCTTTTTGTGGAATCTGCAAGTGGATATTTGGCTAGGTTTGAGGATTTCGTTGGAAGCGGGAATTCATACAAATTGCAGACTGCAGCGTTCTGAGAAACTGCTTTCTGATGTTTGCATTCAAGTCAAAAGTTGAACACTCCCTTTCATAGAGCAGTCTTGAAACACCCCTTTTGTAGTATCTGGAACTGGACTTTTGGAGCGATTTCAGGGCTAAGGTGAAAAAGGAAATATCTTCCCATAAAAACTGGACAGAAGCATTCTCAGAAACTTGTTTATGCTGTATCTACTCAACTAACAAAGTTGAACCTTTCTTTTGATAGAGCAGTTTTGAAATGGTCTTTTTGTGGAATCTGCAAGTGGATATTTGGCTAGTTTTGAGGATTTCGTTGGAAGCGGGAATTCATACAAATTGCAGACTGCAGCGTTCTGAGAAACATCTTTGAAATGTTTGTATTCAAGACACAGAGATGAACATTCCCTATCATAGAGCATGTTGGAATCACTCCTTTTGTAGTATCTGGAAGTGGACATTTGGAGCGCTTTCAGGCCTATGTTGAAAAAGGAAATATCTTCCCATAACAACTAGACACAAGCATTCTCAGAAACTTGTTTGTGATGTGTGCCCTCTACTGACAGAGTTGAACCTTTCTTTTCATAGAGCAGTTTTGAAACACTCTTTTATAGAATCCGCAAGAGGATATTTGCATAGCTTTGAGGATTTCGTGGGAAACGGGATTGTCTTCAGGTAAAATCTAGACAGAAGCATTCTCAGAAACTTCTTTGGGATGTTTGCATTCAAGTCACAGAGTAGAACATTCCCTTTGGTAGAGCAGGTTTGAAACACTCTTTTTGTAGTATCTGGAAGTGGACATTTGGAGCGCTTTCAGACCCATGTTGGAAAGGGAAATATCTTCCCGTAACAACTAGGCAGAAGCATTCTCAGAAACTTATTTGAGATGTGTGTACTCAACTAAGAGAATTGAACCACCGTTTTGAAGGAGCAGTTTTGAAACCCTCTTTTTCTGGAATCTGCAAGAGTATATTTGCCTAGCCTTGAGGATTTCGTTGGAAACGGGATTGTCTTCAGATAAAATCTAGACAGAAGCATTCTCAGAAACTTCTTTGGGATGTTTGCATTCAAGTCACAGAGTAGAACATTCCCTTTGGTAGAGCAGGTTTGAAACACTCTTTTTTTAGTATATGGAAGTGGACATTTGGAGCGCTTTCAGGCCTACGTTGGAAAAGGAAATATCTTCCCATAACAACTAGACAGAAGCATTCTCAGAAACTAGTTTCTGATGTGTGTCCTCAACTAACACAGTTGAACATTTCTTTAGACAGAACAGTTTTGAAACACTCTTTTTGTGGAATCTGCAAGTGGCTATTTGGCTAGATTTGAGGATTTCGTTGGAAACGGGATTACATATAAAAAGCAGTCAGCGGCATTCTCAGAAAGTTCTTTGTGATGATTGCATTCAAGTCACAGAATTGAACATTCCCTTTCACAGAGCAGGTTTGAAACACTCTTTTTGTAGTGTGTGTAAGTGGACATTTGGAGCACTTACCGGCCTAAGGTGAAAAAGGAAATAATCTTCCCATAAAAACTAGACAGAAGCATTCTCAGAAACTTACTCGTGATGTGTGTCCTCAACTAAAGGAGTAGAACCTTTCTTTTCATAGAGAAGTTTTGAAACGCTCTTTTTGTGGAATCTGCAAGTGGATATTTGGCTAGTTTTGAGGATTTCGTTGGAAGCGGGAATTCATACAAATTGCAGACTGCAGCGTTCTGAGAAACTTCTTTGTGATGTTTGTATTCAGGACACAGAGTTGAACATTCCCTATCATAGAGCAGGTTTGAATCACTCCTTTTGTAGTATCTGGAAGTGGACATTTGGAGCGCTTTCAGGCCTATGTTGGAAAAGGAAATATCTTCCCATAACAAATAGACAGAAGCATTCCCAGAAACTTATTTGAGATGTGTGTACTCAACTAAGAGAATTGAACCACCGTTTTGAAGGAGCAGTTTGGAAACACTCTTTTTCTGGAATCTGCAAGTGGATATTTGGCTAGCTTTGGGGATTTCGCTGGAAGCGGGAATACATATAAAAAGCACACAGCAGCGTTCTGAGAAACTGCTTTCTGATGTTTGCATTCAAGTCAAAAGTTGAACACTCCCTTTCATAGAGCAGTCTTGAAACACCCCTTTTGTAGTATCTGGAACTGGACTTTTGGAGCGATTTCAGGGCTAAGGTGAAAAAGGAAATATCTTCCCATAAAAACTGGACAGAAGCATTCTCAGAAACTTGTTTATGCTGTATCTACTCAACTAACAAAGTTGAACCTTTCTTTTGATAGAGCAGTTTTGAAATGGTCTTTTTGTGGAATCTGCAAGTGGATATTTGGCTAGTTTTGAGGATTTCGTTGGAAGCGGGAATTCATACAAATTGCAGACTGCAGCGTTCTGAGAAACATCTTTGTGATGTTTGTATTCAGGACACAGAGTTGAACATTCCCTATCATAGAGCAGGTTGGAATCACTCCTTTTGTAGTATCTGGAAGTGGACATTTGGAGCGCTTTCAGGCCTATTTTGGAAAGGGAAATATCTTCCCGTAACAACTATGCAGAAGCATTCTCAGAAACTTGTTTGTGATGTGTGCCCTCTACTGACAGAGTTGAACCTTTCTTTTCATAGAGCAGTTTTGAAACACTCTTTTTGTAGAATCTGCAAGAGGATATTTGCATAGCTTTGAGGATTTCGTGGGAAACGGGATTGTCTTCAGGTAAAATCTAGACAGAAGCATTCTCAGAAACTTCTTTGGGATGTTTGCATTCAAGTCACAGAGTAGAACATTCCCTTTGGTAGAGTAGGTTTGAAACACTCTTTTTGTAGTATCTGGAAGTGGACATTTGGAGCGCTTTCAGGCCCATGTTGGAAAAGGAAATATCTTCCTGTAACAACTAGGCAGAAGCATTCTCAGAAACTTATTTGAGATGTGTGTACTCAACTAAGAGAATTGAACCACCGTTTTGAAGGAGCAGTTTTGAAACACTCTTTTTCTGGAATCTGCAAGAGTATATTTGCCTAGCCTTGAGGATTTCGTTGGAAACGGGATTGTCTTCAGAGAAAATCTAGACAGAAGTATTCTCAGAAACTTCTTTGGGATGTTTGCATTCAAGTCACAGAGTAGAACATTCCCTTTGGTAGAGCAGGTTTGAAACACTCTTTTTGTAGTATCTGGAAGTGGACATTTGGAGCGCTTTCAGGCCTACGTTGGAAAAGGAAATATCTTCCCATAACAACTAGACAGAAGCATTCTCAGAAACTAGTTTCTGATGTGTGTCCTCAACTAACACAGTTGAACATTTCTTTAGACAGAACAGTTTTGAAACACTCTTTTTGTGGAATCTGCAAGTGGCTATTTGGCTAGATTTGAGGATTTCGTTGGAAACGGGATTACATATAAAAAGCAGTCAGCAGCATTCTCAGAAAGTTCTTTGTGATGATTGCATTCAAGTCACAGAAATTGAACATTCCCTTTCACAGAGCAGGTTTGAAACACTCTTTTTGTAGTGTGTGTAAGTGGACATTTGGAGCGCTTTCCGGCCTAAGGTGAAAAAGGAAATATCTTCCCATAAAAACTAGACAGATAAGCATTCTCAGCAAACTTACTCGTGATGTGTGTCCTCAACTAAAGGAGTAGAACCTTTCTTTTCATAGAGAAGTTTTGAAACGCTCTTTTTGTGGAATCTGCAAGTGGATATTTGGCTAGTTTTGAGGATTTCGTTGGAAGCGGGAATTCATACAAATTGCAGACTGCAGCGTTCTGAGAAACATCTTTGTGATGTTTGTATTCAGGACACAGAGTTGAACATTCCCTATCATAGAGCAGGTTGGAATCACTCCTTTTGTAGTATCTGGAAGTGGACATTTGGAGCACTTTCAGGCCTATGTTGGAAAAGGAAATATCTTCCCATAACAACTAGACAGAAGCATTCTCAGAAACTTATTTGAGATGTGTGTACTCAACTAAGAGAATTGAACCACCGTTTTGAAGGAGCAGTTTTGAAACTCTCTTTTTCTGGAATCTGCAAGTGGATATTTGGCTAGCTTTGGGGATTTCGCTGGAAGCGGGAATACATATAAAAAGCACACAGCAGCGTTCTGAGAAACTGCTTTCTGATGTTTGCATTCAAGTCAAAAGTTGAACACTCCCTTTCATAGAGCAGTCTTGAAACACCCCTTTTGTAGTATCTGGAACTGGACTTTTGGAGCGATTTCAGGGCTAAGGTGAAAAAGGAAATATCTTCCCATAAAAACTGGACAGAAGCATTCTCAGAAACTTGTTTATGCTGTATCTACTCAACTAACAAAGTTGAACCTTTCTTTTGATAGAGCAGTTTTGAAATGGTCTTTTTGTGGAATCTGCAAGTGGATATTTGGCTAGTTTTGAGGATTTCGTTGGAAGCGGGAATTCATACAAATTGCAGACTGCAGCGTTCTGAGAAACATCTTTGTGATGTTTGTATTCAGGACACAGAGTTGAACATTCCCTATCATAGAGCAGGTTGGAATCACTCCTTTTGTAGTATCTGGAAGTGGACATTTGGAGCGCTTTCAGGCCTATTTTGGAAAGGGAAATATCTTCCCGTAACAACTATGCAGAAGCATTCTCAGAAACTTGTTTGTGATGTGTGCCCTCTACTGACAGAGTTGAACCTTTCTTTTCATAGAGCAGTTTTGAAACACTCTTTTTGTAGAATCTGCAAGAGGATATTTGCATAGCTTTGAGGATTTCGTGGGAAACGGGATTGTCTTCAGGTAAAATCTAGACAGAAGCATTCTCAGAAACTTCTTTGGGATGTTTGCATTCAAGTCACAGAGTAGAACATTCCCTTTGGTAGAGCAGGTTTGAAACACTCTTTTTTTAGTATCTGGAAGTGGACATTTGGAGCGCTTTCAGGCCTATGTTGGAAAGGGAAATATCTTCCCGTAACAACTAGGCAGAAGCATTCTCAGAAACTTATTGGAGATGTGTGTACTCAACTAAGAGAATTGAACCACCGTTTTGAAGGAGCAGTTTTGAAACACTCTTTTTCTGGAATCTGCAAGAGGATATTTGCCTAGCTTTGAGGATTTCGTTGGAAACGGGATTGTCTTCAGATCAAATCTAGACAGAAGCATTCTCAGAAACTTCTTTGGGATGTTTGCATTCAAGTCACAGAGTAGAACATTCCCTTTGGTAGAGCAGGTTTGAAACACTCTTTTTTTAGTATATGGAAGTGGACATTTGGAGCGCTTTCAGGCCTACGTTGGAAAAGGAAATATCTTCCCATAACAATTAGACAGAAGCATTCTCAGAAACTAGTTTCTGATGTGTGTCCTCAACTAACACAGTTGAACATTTCTTTAGACAGAACAGTTTTGAAACACTCTTTTTGTGGAATCTGCAAGTGGCTATTTGGCTAGATTTGAGGATTTCGTTGGAAACGGGATTACATATAAAAAGCAGACAGCCAGCATTCTCAGAAAGTTCTTTGTGATGATTGCATTCAAGTCACAGTAATTGAACATTCCCTTTCACAGTAGCAGGTTTGAAACACTCTTTTTGTAGTGTGTGTAAGTGGACATTTGGAGCACTTTCCGGCCTAAGGTGAAAAAGGAAATATCTTCCCATAAAAACTAGACAGAGCATTCTCAGAAACTTACTCGTGATGTGTGTCCTCAACTAAAGGAGTAGAACCTTTCTTTTCATAGAGAAGTTTTGAAACGCTCTTTTTGTGGAATCTGCAAGTGGATATTTGCCTAGTTTTGAGGATTTCGTTGGAAGCGGGAATTCATACAAATTGCAGACTGCAGCATTCTCAGAAACTTGTTTATGCTGTATCTACTCAACTAACAAAGTTGAACCTTTCTTTTGATAGAGCAGTTTTGAAATGCTCTTTTTGTGGAATCTGCAAGTGGATATTTGGCTAGTTTTGAGGATTTCGTTGGAAGCGGGAATTCATACAAATTGCAGACTGCAGCGTTCTGAGAAACATCTTTGTGATGTTTGTATTCAGGACAGAGAGTTGAACATTCCCTATCATAGAGCAGGTTGGAATCACTCCTTTTGTAGTATCTGGAAGTGGACATTTGGAGCGCTTTCTGGCCTATGTTGAAAAAGGAAATATCTTCCCATAACAACTAGACACAAGCATTCTCAGAAACTTGTTTGTGATGTGTGCCCTCTACTGACAGAGTTGAACCTTTCTTTTCATAGAGCAGTTTTGAAACACTCTTTTTGTAGAATCTGCAAGAGGATATTTGCATAGCTTTGAGGATTTCGTGGGAAACGGGATTGTCTTCAGGTAAAATCTAGACAGAAGCATTCTCAGAAACTTCTTTGGGATGTTTGCATTCAAGTCACAGAGTAGAACATTCCCTTTGGTAGAGCAGGTTTGAAACACTCTTTTTGTAGTATCTGGAAGTGGACATTTGGAGCGCTTTCAGGCCTATGTTGGAAAGGGAAATATCTTCCCGTAACAACTAGGCAGAAGCATTCTCAGAAACTTATTTGAGATGTGTGTACTCAACTAAGAGAATTGAACCACCGTTTTGAAGGAGCAGTTTTGAAACACTCTTTTTCTGGAATCTGCAAGAGGATATTTGCCTAGCCTTGAGGATTTCGTTGGAAACGGGATTGTCTTCAGATCAAATCTAGACAGAAGCATTCTCAGAAACTTCTTTGGGATGTTTGCATTCAAGTCACAGAGTAGAACATTCCCTTTGGTAGAGCAGGTTTGATACACTCTTTTTTTAGTATATGGAAGTGGACATTTGGAGCGCTTTCAGGCCTACGTTGGAAAAGGAAATATCTTCCCATAACAACTAGACAGAAGCATTCTCAGAAACTAGTTTCTGATGTGTGTCCTCAACTAACACAGTTGAACATTTCTTTAGACAGAACAGTTTTGAAACTCTCTTTTTGTGGAATCTGCAAGTGGCTATTTGGCTAGATTTGAGGATTTCGTTGGAAACGGGATTACATATAAAAAGCAGACAGCAGCATTCTCAGAAAGTTCTTTGTGATGATTGCATTCAAGTCACAGAATTGAACATTCCCTTTCACAGAGCAGGTTTGAAACACTCTTTTTGTAGTGTGTGTAAGTGGACATTTGGAGCACTTTCCGGCCTAAGGTGAAAAAGGAAATATCTTCCCTTAAAAACTAGACAGAAGCATTCTCAGAAACTTACTCGTGATGTGTGTCCTCAACTAAAGGAGTAGAACCTTTCTTTTCATAGAGAAGTTTTGAAACGCTCTTTTTGTGGAATCTGCAAGTGGATATTTGGCTAGTTTTGAGGATTTCGTTGGAAGCGGGAATTCATACAAATTGCAGACTGCAGCGTTCTGAGAAACATCTTTGTGATGTTTGTATTCAGGACACAGAGTTGAACATTCCCTATCATAGAGCAGGTTGGAATCACTCCTTTTGTAGTGTCTGGAAGTGGACATTTGGAGCGCTTTCAGGCCTATGTTGGAAAAGGAAATATCTTCCCATAACAACTAGACAGAAGCATTCTCAGAAACTTATTTGAGATGTGTGTACTCAACTAAGAGAATTGAACCACCGTTTTGAAGGAGCAGTTTTGAAACACTCTTTTTCTGGAATCTGCAAGTGGATATTTGGCTAGCTTTGGGGATTTCGCTGGAAGCGGGAATACATATAAAAAGCACACAGCAGCGTTCTGAGAAACTGCTTTCTGATGTTTGCATTCAAGTCAAAAGTTGAACACTCCCTTTCATAGAGCAGTCTTGAAACACCCCTTTTGTAGTATCTGGAACTGCACATTTGGAGCGCTTTCAGGGCTAAGGTGAAAAAGGAAATATCTTCCCATAAAAACTGGACAGAAGCATTCTCAGAAACTTGTTTATGCTGTATCTACTCAGCTAACAAAGTTGAACCTTTCTTTTGATAGAGCAGTTTTGAAATGCTCTTTTTGTGGAGTCTGCAAGTGGATATTTGGTTAGTTTTGAGGATTTCGTTGGAAGCGGGAATTCATACAAATTGCAGACTGCAGCGTTCTGAGAAACATCTTTGTGATGTTTGTATTCAGGACAGAGAGTTGAACATTCCCTATCATAGAGCAGGTTGGAATCACTCCTTTTGTAGTATCTGGAAGTGGACATTTGGAGCGCTTTCAGGCCTATGTTGAAAAAGGAAATATCTTCCCATAACAACTAGACACAAGCATTCTCAGAAACTTGTTTGTGATGTGTGCCCTCTACTGACAGAGTTGAACCTTTCTTTTCATAGAGCAGTTTTGAAACACTCTTTTTGTAGAATCTGCAAGAGGATATTTGCATAGCTTTGAGGATTTCGTGGGAAACGGGATTGTCTTCAGGTAAAAATCTAGACAGAAGCATTCTCAGAAACTTCTTTGGGATGTTTGCATTCAAGTTACAGAGCAGAACATTCCCTTTGGTAGAGCAGGTTTGAAACACTCTTTTTGTAGTATCTGGAAGTGGACATTAGGAGCGCTTTCAGGCCTATGTTGGAAAGGGAAATATCTTCACGTAACAACTAGGCAGAAGCATTCTCAGAAACTTATTTGAGATGTGTGTACTCAACTAAGAGAATTGAACCACCGTTTTGAAGGAGCAGTTTTGAAACACTCTTTTTCTGGAATCTGCAAGAGGATATTTGCCTAGCCTTGAGGATTTCGTTGGAAACGGGATTGTCTTCAGATCAAATCTAGACAGAAGCATTCTCAGAAACTTCTTTGGGATGTTTGCATTCAAGTCACAGAGTAGAACATTCCCTTTGGTAGAGCAGGTTTGAAACACTCTTTTTTTAGTATATGGAAGTGGACATTTGGAGCGCTTTCAGGCCTACGTTGTAAAAGGAAATATCTTCCCATAACAACTAGACAGAAGCATTCTCAGAAACTAGTTTCTGATGTGTGTCCTCAACTAACACAGTTGAACATTTCTTTAGACAGAACAGTTTTGAAACACTCTTTTTGTGGAATCTGCAAGTGGCTATTTGGCTAGATTTGAGGATTTCGTTGGAAACGGGATTACATATAAAAAGCAGTCAGCAGCATTCTCAGAAAGTTCTTTGTGATGATTGCATTCAAGTCACAGAATTGAACATTCCCTTTCACAGAGCAGGTTTGAAATACTCTTTTTTAGTGTGTGTAATTGGACATTTGGAGCACTTTCCGGCCTAAGGTGAAAAAGGAAATATCTTCCCATAAAAACTAGACAGAAGCATTCTCAGAAACTTACTCGTGATGTGTGTCCTCCACTAAATGAGTAGAACCTTTCTTTTCATAGAGAAGTTTTGAAACGCTCTTTTTGTAGAATCTGCAAGAGGATATTTGCATAGCTTTGAGGATTTCGTGGGAAACGGGATTGTCTTCAGGTAAAATCTAGACAGAAGCATTCTCAGAAACTTCTTTGGGATGTTTGCATTCAAGTCACAGAGTAGAACATTCCCTTTGGTAGAGCAGGTTTGAAACACTCTTTTTGTCGTATCTGGAAGTGGACATTTGGAGCGCTTTCAGGCCTATGTTGGAAAGGGAAATATCTTCCCGTAACAACTAGGCAGAAGCATTCTCAGAAACCTATTTGAGATGTGTGTACTCAACTAAGAGAATTGAACCACCGTTTTGAAGGAGCAGTTTTGAATCACTCTTTTTCTGGAATCTGCAAGAGGATATTTGCATAGATTTGAGGATTTCGTTGGAAACGGGATTGTCTTCAGATCAAATCTAGACAGAAGCATTCTCAGAAACTTCTTTGGGATGCTTGCATTCAAGTCACAGAGTAGAACATTCCCTTTGGTAGAGCAGGTTTGAAACACTCTTTTTGTAGTATCTGGAAGTGGACATTTGGAGCGCTTTCAGGCCTACGTTGGAAAAGGAAATATCTTCCCATAACAACTAGACAGAAGCATTCTCAGAAACTAGTTTCTGATGTGTGTCCTCAACTAACACAGTTGAACTTTTCTTTAGACAGAACAGTTTTGAAACACTCTTTTTGTGGAATCTGCAAGTGGATATTTGGCTAGATTTGAGGATTTCGTTGGAAACGGGATTACATATAAAAAGCAGACTGCAGCATTCTCAGAAAGTTCTTTGTGGTGATTGCATTCAAGTCACAGAATTGAACATTCCCTTTCACAGAGCAGGTTTGAAACACTCTTTTTGTAGTGTGTGTAAGTGGACAGTTGGAGCGCTTTCCGGCCTAAGGTGAAAAAGGAAATATCTTCCCATAAAAACTAGACAGAAGCATTCTCAGAAACTTACTCGTGATGTGTGTCCTCAACTAAAGGAGTAGAACCTTTCTTTTCATAGAGAAGTTTTGAAACGCTCTTTTTGTGGAATCTGCAAGTGGATATTTGGCTAGTTTTGAGGATTTCGTTGGAAGCGGGAATTCATACAAATTGCAGACTGCAGCATTCTCAGAAACTTATTTGAGATGTGTGTACTCAACTAAGAGAATTGAACCACCGTTTTGAAGGAGCAGTTTTGAAACACTCTTTTTCTGGAGTCTGCAAGTGGATATTTGGCTAGCTTTGGGGATTTCGCTGGAAGCGGGAATACATATAAAAAGCACACAGCAGCATTCTCAGAAACTTATTTGAGATGTGTGTACTCAACTAAGAGAATTGAACCACCGTTTTGAAGGAGCAGTTTTGAAACTCTCTTTTTCTGGAATCTGCAAGTGGATATTTGGCTAGCTTTGGGGATTTCGCTGGAAGCGGGAATACATATAAAAAGCACACAGCAGCGTTCTGAGAAACTGCTTTCTGATGTTTGCATTCAAGTCAAAAGTTGAACACTCCCTTTCATAGAGCAGTCCTGAAACACCCCTTTTGTAGTATCTGGAACTGGACTTTTGGAGCGATTTCAGGGCTAAGGTGAAAAAGGAAATATCTTCCCATAAAAACTGGACAGAAGCATTCTCAGAAACTTGTTTATGCTGTATCTACTCAACTAACAAAGTTGAACCTTTCTTTTGATAGAGCAGTTTTGAAATGGTCTTTTTGTGGAATCTGCAAGTGGATATTTGGCTAGTTTTGAGGATTTCGTTGGAAGCGGGAATTCATACAAATTGCAGACTGCAGCGTTCTGAGAAACATCTTTGTGATGTTTGTATTCAGGACACAGAGTTGAACATTCCCTATCATAGAGGAGGTTGGAATCACTCCTTTTGTAGTATCTGGAAGTGGACATTTGGAGCGCTTTCAGGCCTATGTTGAAAAAGGAAATATCTTCCCATAACAAGTAGACACAAGCATTCTCAGAAACTTGTTTGTGATGTGTGCCCTCTACTGACAGAGTTGAACCTTTCTTTTCATAGAGCAGTTTCGAAACACTCTTTTTGTAGAATCTGCAAGAGGATATTTGCATAGCTTTGAGGATTTCGTGGGAAACGGGATTGTCTTCAGGTAAAATCTAGACAGAAGCATTCTCAGAAAATTCTTCGGGATGTTTGCATTCAAGTCACAGAGTAGAACATTCCCTTTGGTAGAGCAGGTTTGAAACACTCTTTTTGTAGTATCTGGAAGTGGACATTTGGAGCGCTTTCAGGCCTATGTTGGAAAGGGAAATATCTTCCCGTAACAACTAGGCAGAAGCATTCTCAGAAACTTATTTGAGATGTGTGTACTGAACTAAGAGAATTGAACCACCGTTTTGAAGGAGCAGGTTTGAAACACTCTTTTTGTAGTATCTGGAAGTGGACATTTGGAGCGCTTTCAGGCCTATGTTGGAAAGGGAAATATCTTCCCGTAACAACTAGGCAGAAGCATTCTCAGAAACTTATTTGAGATGTGTGTACTCAACTAAGAGAATTGAACCACCGTTTTGAAGGAGCAGTTTTGAAACACTCTTTTTCTGGAATCTGCAAGAGGATATTTGCCTAGCCTTGAGGATTTCGTTGGAAACGGGATTGTCTTCAGATCAAATCTAGACAGAAGCATTCTCAGAAACTTCTTTGGGATGTTTGCATTCAAGTCACAGAGTAGAACATTCCCTTTGGTAGAGCAGGTTTGAAACACTCTTTTTTTAGTATATGGAAGTGGACATTTGGAGCACTTTCAGGCCTACGTTGGAAAAGGAAATATCTTCCCATAACAACTAGACAGAAGCATTCTCAGAAACTAGTTTCTGATGTGTGTCCTCAACTAACACAGTTGAACTTTTCTTTAGACAGAACAGTTTTGAAACACTCTTTTTGTGGAATCTGCAAGTGGCTATTTGGCTAGATTTGAGGATTTCGTTGGAAACGGGATTACATATAAAAAGCAGACAGCAGCATTCTCAGAAAGTTCTTTGTGATGATTGCATTCAAGTCACAGAATTGAACATTCCCTTTCACAGAGCAGGTTTGAAACACTCTTTTTGTAGTGTGTGTAAGTGGTCATTTGGAGCACTTTCCGGCCTAAGGTGAAAAAGGAAATATCTTCCCATAAAAACTAGACAGAAGCATTCTCAGAAACTTACTCGTCATGTGTGTCCTCAACTAAAGGAGTAGAACCTTTCTTTTCAGAGAGAAGTTTTGAAACGCTCTTTTTGTGGAATCTGCAAGTGGATATTTGGCTAGTTTTGAGGATTTCGTTGGAAGCGGGAATTCATACAAATTGCAGACTGCAGCGTTCTGAGAAACATCTTTGTGATGTTTGTATTCAGGACACAGAGTTGAACATTCCCTATCATAGAGCAGGTTTGAATCACTCCTTTTGTAGTATCTGGAAGTGGACATTTGGAGCGCTTTCAGGCCTATGTTGGAAAAGGAAATATCTTCCCATAACAACTAGACAGAAGCATTCTCAGAAACTTATTTGAGATGTGTGTACTCAACTAAGAGAATTGAACCACCGTTTTGAAGGAGCAGTTTTGAAACACTCTTTTTCTGGAATCTGCAAGTGGATATTTGGCTAGCTTTGGGGATTTCGCTGGAAGCGGGAATACATATAAAAAGCACACAGCAGCGTTCTGAGAAACTGCTTTCTGATGTTTGCATTCAAGTCAAAAGTTGAACACTCCCTTTCATAGAGCAGTCTTGAAACACCCCTTTTGTAGTATCTGGAACTGGACTTTTGGAGCGATTTCAGGGCTAAGGTGAAAAAGGAAATATCTTCCCATAAAAACTGGACAGAAGCATTCTCAGAAACTTGTTTATGCTGTATCTACTCTACTAACAAAGTTGAACCTTTCTTTTGATAGAGCAGTTTTGAAATGCTCTTTTTGTGGAATCTGCAAGTGGATATTTGGCTAGTTTTGAGGATTTCGTTGGAAGCTGGAATTCATGCAAATTGCAGACTGCAGCGTTCTGAGAAACATCTTTGTGATGTTTGTATTCAGGACACAGCAGATGAACATTCCCTATCATAGAGCATGTTGGAATCACTCCTTTTGTAGTATCTGGAAGTGGACATTTGGAGCGCTTTCAGGCCTATGTTGAAAAAGGAAATATCTTCCCATAACAACTAGACACAAGCATTCTCAGAAACTTGTTTGTGATGTGTGCCCTCTACTGACAGAGTTGAACCTTTCTTTTCATAGAGCAGTTTTGAAACACTCTTTTTGTAGAATCTGCAAGAGGATATTTGCATAGCTTTGAGGATTTCGTGGGAAACGGGATTGTCTTCAGGTAAAATCTAGACAGAAGCATTCTCAGAAACTTCTTTGGGATGTTTGCATTCAAGTCACAGAGTAGAACATTCCCTTTGGTAGAGCAGGTTTGAAACACTCTTTTTCTAGTATCTGGAAGTGGACATTTGGAGCGCTTTCAGGCCTATGTTGGAAAGGGAAATATCTTCCCGTAACAACTAGGCAGAAGCATTCTCAGAAACTTACTTGAGATGTGTGTACTCAACTAAGAGAATTGAATCACCGTTTTGAAGGAGCAGTTTTGAAACACTCTTTTTCTGGAATCTGCAAGAGGATATTTGCCTAGCCTTGAGGATTTCGTTGGAAACGGGATTGTCTTCAGATCAAATCTAGACAGAAGCATTCTCAGAAACTTCTTTGGGATGTTTGCATTCAAGTCACAGAGTAGAACATTCCCTTTGGTAGAGCAGGTTTGAAACACTCTTTTTTTAGTATATGGAAGTGGACATTTGGAGCGCTTTCAGGCCTACGTTGGAAAAGGAAATATCTTCCCATAACAACTAGACAGAAGCATTCTCAGAAACTAGTTTCTGATGTGTGTCCTCAACTAACACAATTGAACATTTCTTTAGAGAGAACAGTTTTGAAACACTCTTTTTGTGGAATCTGCAAGTGGATATTTGGCTAGATTTGAGGATTTCGTTGGAAACGGGATTACATATAAAAAGCAGACAGCAGCATTCTCAGAAAGTTCTTTGTGATGATTGCATTCAAGTCACAGAATTGAACATTCCCTTTCACAGAGCAGGTTTGAAAGACTCTTTTTGTAGTGTGTGTAAGTGGACATTTGGAGCACTTACCGGCCTAAGGTGAAAAAGGAAATATCTTCCCATAAAAACTAGACAGAAAGCATTCTCAGAAACTTACTCGTGATGAGTGTCCTCAACTAAAGGAGTAGAACCTTTCTTTTCATAGAGAAGTTTTGAAACGCTCTTTTTGTGGAATCTGCAAGTGGGTATTTGGCTAGTTTTGAGGATTTCGTTGGAAGCGGGAATTCATACAAATTGCAGACTGCAGCATTCTCAGAAACTTGTTTATGCTGTATCTACTCAACAAACAAAGTTGAACCTTTCTTTTGATAGAGCAGTTTTGAAATGCTCTTTTTGTGGAATCTGCAAGTGGATATTTGGCTAGTTGCGAGGATTTCGTTGGAAGCTGGAATTCATACAAATTGCAGACTGCAGCATTCTCAGAAACTTATTTGAGATGTGTGTACTCAACTAAGAGAATTGAACCACCGTTTTGAAGGAGCAGTTTTGAAACTCTCTTTTTCTGGAATCTGCAAGTGGATATTTGGCTAGCTTTGGGGATTTCGCTGGAAGCGGGAATACATATAAAAAGCACACAGCAGCGTTCTGAGAAACTGCTTTCTGATGTTTGCATTCAAGTCAAAAGTTGAACACTCCCTTTCATAGAGCAGTCTTGAAACACCCGTTTTGTAGTATCTGGAACTGGACTTTTGGAGCGATTTCAGGGCTAAGGTGAAAAAGGAAATATCTTCCCATAAAAACTGGACAGAAGCATTCTCAGAAACTTGTTTATGCTGTAACTACTCAACTAACAAAGTTGAACCTTTCTTTTGATAGAGCAGTTTTGAAATGGTCTTTTTGTGGAATCTGCAAGTGGATATTTGGCTAGTTTTGAGGATTTCGTTGGAAGCGGGAATTCATACAAATTGCAGACTGCAGCGTTCTGAGAAACATCTTTGTGATGTTTGTATTCAGGACAGAGAGTTGAACATTCCCTATCATAGAGCAGGTTGGAATCACTCCTTTTGTAGTATCTGGAAGTGGACATTTGGAGCGCTTTCTGGCCTATGTTGAAAAAGGAAATATCTTCCCATAACAACTAGACACAAGCATTCTCAGAAACTTGTTTGTGATGTGTGCCCTCTACTGACAGAGTTGAACCTTTCTTTTCATAGAGCAGTTTTGAAACACTCTTTTTGTAGAATCTGCAAGAGGATATTTGCATAGCTTTGAGGATTTCGTGGGAAACGGGATTGTCTTCAGGTAAAATCTAGACAGAAGCATTCTCAGAAACTTCTTTGGGATGTTTGCATTCAAGTCACAGAGTAGAACATTCCCTTTGGTAGAGCAGGTTTGAAACACTCTTTTTGTAGTATCTGGAAGTGGACATTTGGAGCGCTTTCAGGCCTATGTTGGAAAGGGAAATATCTTCCGGTAACAACTAGGCAGAAACATTCTCAGAAACTTATTTGAGATGTGTGTACTCAACTAAGAGAATTGAACCACCGTTTTGAAGGAGCAGTTTTGAAACACTCTTTTTCTGGAATCTGCAAGAGGATATTTGCCTAGCTTTGAGGATTTCGTTGGAAACGGGATTGTGTTCAGATCAAATCTAGACAGAAGCATTCTCAGAAACTTCTTTGGGATGTTTGCATTCAAGTCACAGAGTAGAACATTCCCTTTGGTAGAGCAGGTTTGAAACACTCTTTTTTTAGTATATGGAAGTGGACATTTGGAGCGCTTTCAGGCCTACGTTGGAAAAGGAAATATCTTCCCATAACAACTAGACAGAAGCATTCTCAGAAAACTAGTTTCTGATGTGTGTCCTCAACTAACAGAGTTGAACATTTCTTTTGACAGAACAGTTTTGAAACACTTTTTTTTTGGAATCTGCAAGTGGATATTTGGCTAGATTTGAGGATTTCGTTGGAAACGGGATTACATATAAAAAGCAGACAGCAGCATTCTCAGAAACTTGTTTGTGATGATTGCATTCAAGTCACAGAATTGAACATTCCCTTTCACAGAGCAGGTTTGAAACACTCTTTTTGTAGTGTCTGTAAGTGGACATTTGGAGCGCTTTCCGGCCTAAGGTGAAAAAGGAAATATCTTCCCATAAAAACTAGACAGAAGCATTCTCAGAAACTTACTCGTGATGTGTGTCCTCAACTAAAGGAGTAGAACCTTTCTTTTCATAGAGAAGTTTTGAAACGCTCTTTTTGTGGAATCTGCAAGTGGATATTTGGCTAGTTTTGAGGATTTCGTTGGAAGCGGTAATTCATACAAATTGCAGACTGCAGCGTTCTGAGAAACATTTTGTGATGTTTGTATTCAGGACACAGAGTTGAACATTCCCTATCATAGAGCATTTTTGATTCACTCCTTTTGTAGTATCTGGAAGTGGACATTTGGAGCGCTTTCAGGCCTATGTTGAAAAAGGAAATATCTTCCCATAACAACTAGACAGAAGAATTCTCAGAAACTTCTTTGTGATGTGTACCCTCTACTGACAGAGTTGAACCTTTCTTTTCATAGAGCAGTTTCGAAACACTCTTTCTGTAGAATCTGCAAGTGGATATTTCGATAGCTTTGTGGATTTCGTTGGAAACGGGAATATCTTCATATAAAATCTAGACAGAAGCATTCTCAGAAACGTATTTGTGATGTGTGTCCTCAACTGACAGAGTTGAACATTTCTTTTGAGAGAGCAGTTTTGAAACACTCTTTTTGTGGAATCTGCAAGTGGATATTTGGCTGGATTTGAGGATTTCGTTGTAAACGGGAATACATATAAAAAGCAGACAGCAGCATTCTCAGAAAGTTCTTTGTGATGATTGCATTCAAGTCACAGAATTGAACATTCCCTTTCACAGAGCAGGTTTGAAACACTCTTTTTGTAGTGTGTGTAAGTGGACATTTGGAGCGCTTTCCGGCCTAAGGTGAAAAAGGACATATCTTCCCATAAAAACTAGACAGAAGCACTCTCAGAAACTTACTCGTGATGTGTGTCCTCAACTAAAGGAGTAGAACCTTTCTTTCATAGAGAAGTTTTGAAACGCTCTTTTTGTGGAATCTGCAAGTGGATATTTGGCTAGTTTTGAGGATTTCGTTGGAAGCGGGAATTCATACAAATTGCAGACTGCAGCGTTCTGAGAAACATCTTTGTGATGTTTGTATTCAGGACACAGAGTTGAACATTCCCTATCATAGAGCAGGTTTGAATCACTCCTTTTGTAGTATCTGGAAGTGGACATTTGGAGCGCTTTCAGGCCTATGTTGGAAAAGGAAATATCTTCCCATAACAACTAGACAGAAGCATTCTCAGAAACTTATTTGAGATGTGTGTACTCAACTAAGAGAATTGAACCACCGTTTTGAAGGAGCAGTTTTGAAACACTCTTTTTCTGGAATCTGCAAGTGGATATTTGGCTAGCTTTGGGGATTTCGCTGGAAGCGGGAATACATATAAAAAGCACACAGCAGCGTTCTGAGAAACTGCTTTCTGATGTTTGCATTCAAGTCAAAAGTTGAACACTCCCTTTCATAGAGCAGTCTTGAAACACCCCTTTTGTAGTATCTGGAACTGGACTTTTGGAGCGATTTCAGGGCTAAGGTGAAAAAGGAAATATCTTCCCATAAAAACTGGACAGAAGCATTCTCAGAAACTTGGTTATGCTGTATCTACTCAACTAACAAAGTTGAACCTTTCTTTTGATAGAGCAGTTTTGAAATGGTCTTTTTGTGGAATCTGCAAGTGGATATTTGGCTAGTTTTGAGGATTTCGTTGGAAGCGGGAATTCATACAAATTGCAGACTGCAGCGTTCTGAGAAACATCTTTGTGATGTTTGTATTCAAGACACAGAGATGAACATTCCCTACCATAGAGCATGTTGGAATCACTCCTTTTGTAGTATCTGGAAGTGGACATTTGGAGCGCTTTCAGGCCTATGTTGAAAAAGGAAATATCTTCCCATAACAACTAGACACAAGCATTCTCAGAAACTTGTTTGTGATGTGTGCCCTCTACTGACAGAGTTGAACCTTTCTTTTCATAGAGCAGTTTTGAAACACTCTTTTTGTAGAATCTGCAAGAGGATATTTGCATAGCTTTGAGGATTTCGTGGGAAACGGGATTGTCTTCAGGTAAAATCTAGACAGAAGCATTCTCAGAAACTTCCTTGGGATGTTTGCATTCAAGTCACAGAGTAGAACATTCCCCTTTGGTAGAGCAGGTTTGAAACACTCTTTTTGTAGTATCTGGAAGTGGACATTTGGAGCGCTTTCAGGCCTATGTTGGAAAGGGAAATATCTTCCCGTAACAACTAGGCAGAAGCATTCTCAGAAACTTATTTGAGATGTGTGTACTCAACTAAGAGAATTGAACCACCGTTTTGAAGGAGCAGTTTTGAAACACTCTTTTTCTGGAATCTGCAAGAGTATATTTGCCTAGCCTTGAGGATTTCGTTGGAAACGGGATTGTCTTCAGAGAAAATCTAGACAGAAGCATTCTCAGAAACTTCTTTGGGATGTTTGCATTCAAGTCACAGAGTAGAACATTCCCTTTGGTAGAGCAGGTTTGAAACACTCTTTTTGTAGTATCTGGAAGTGGACATTTGGAGCGCTTTCAGGCCTACGTTGGAAAAGGAAATATCTTCCCATAACAACTAGACAGAAGCATTCTCAGAAACTAGTTTCTGATGTGTGTCGTCAACTAACACAGTTGAACATTTCTTTAGACAGAACAGTTTTGAAACACTCTTTTTGTGGAATCTGCAAGTGGCTATTTGGCTAGATTTGAGGATTTCGTTGGAAACGGGATTACATATAAAAAGCAGTCAGCAGCATTCTCAGAAAGTTCTTTGTGATGATTGCATTCAAGTCACAGAATTGAACATTCCCTTTCACAGAGCAGGTTTGAAACACTCTTTTTGTAGTGTGTGTAAGTGGACATTTGGAGCACTTACCGGCCTAAGGTGAAAAAGGAAATATCTTCCCATAAAAACTAGACAGAAGCATTCTCAGAAACTTACTCGTGATGTGTGTCCTCAACTAAAGGAGTAGAACCTTTCTTTTCATAGAGAAGTTTTGAAACGCTCTTTTTGTGGAATCTGCAAGTGGATATTTGGCTAGTTTTGAGGATTTCGTTGGAAGCGGGAATTCATACAAATTGCAGACTGCAGCGTTCTGAGAATCATCTTTGTGATGTTTGTATTCAGGACACAGAGTTGAACATTCCCTATCATAGAGCAGGTTTGAATCACTCCTTTTGTAATATCTGGAAGTGGACATTTGGAGCGCTTTCAGGCCTATGTTGGAAAAGGAAATATCTTCCCATAACAACTAGACAGAAGCATTCTCAGAAACTTATTTGAGATGTGTGTACTCAACTAAGAGAATTGAACCACCGTTTTGAAGGAGCAGTTTTGAAACTCTCTTTTTCTGGAATCTGCAAGTGGATATTTGGCTAGCTTTGGGGATTTCGCTGGAAGCGGGAATACATATAAAAAGCACACAGCAGCGTTCTGAGAAACTGCTTTCTGATGTTTGCATTCAAGTCAAAAGTTGAACACTCCCTTTCATAGAGCAGTCTTGAAACACCCCTTTTGTAGTATCTGGAACTGGACTTTTGGAGCGATTTCAGGGCTAAGGTGAAAAAGGAAATATCTTCCCATAAAAACTGGACAGAAGCATTCTCAGAAACTTGTTTATGCTGTATCTACTCAACTAACAAAGTTGAACCTTTCTTTTGATAGAGCAGTTTTGAAATGGTCTTTTTGTGGAATCTGCAAGTGGATATTTGGCTAGTTTTGAGGATTTCGTTGGAAGCGGGAATTCATACAAATTGCAGACTGCAGCGTTCTGAGGAAACATCTTTGTGATGTTTGTATTCAGGACAGAGAGTTGAACATTCCCTATCATAGAGCAGGTTGGAATCACTCCTTTTGTAGTATCTGGAAGTGGACATTTGGAGCGCTTTCAGGCCTATGTTGAAAAAGGAAATATCTTCCCATAACAACTAGACACAAGCATTCTCAGAAACTTGTTTGTGATGTGTGCCCTCTACTGACAGAGTTGAACCTTTCTTTTCATAGAGCAGTTTTGAAACACTCTTTTTGTAGAATCTGCAAGAGGATATTTGCATAGCTTTGAGGATTTCGTGGGAAACGGGATTGTCTTCAGGTAAAATCTAGACAGAAGCATTCTCAGTAAACTTCTTTGGGATGTTTGCATTCAAGTCACAGAGTAGAACATTCCCTTTGGTAGAGCAGGTTTGAAACACTCTTTTTGTAGTATCTGGAAGTGGACATTTGGAGCGCTTTCAGGCCTATGTTGGAAAGGGAAATATCTTCCGGTAACAACTAGGCAGAAGCATTCTCAGAAACTTATTTGAGATGTGTGTACTAAACTAAGAGAATTGAACCACCGTTTTGAAGGAGCAGTTTTGAAACACTCTTTTTCTGGAATCTGCAAGAGGATATTTGCCTAGCTTTGAGGATTTCGTTGGAAACGGGATTGTGTTCAGATCAAATCTAGACAGAAGCATTCTCAGAAACTTCTTTGGGATGTTTGCACTCAAGTCACAGAGTAGAATATTCCCTTTGGTAGAGCAGGTTTGAAACACTCTTTTTTTAGTATATGGAAGTGGACATTTGGAGCGCTTTCAGGCCTACGTTGGAAAAGGAAATATCTTCCCATAACAACTAGACAGAAGCATTCTCAGAAACTAGTTTCTGATGTGTGTCCTCAACTAACACAGTTGAACTTTTCTTTAGACAGGACAGTTTTGAAACACTCTTTTTGTGGAATCTGCAAGTGGATATTTGGCTAGATTTGAGGATTTCGTTTGGAAACGGGATTACATATAAAAAGCAGACAGCAGCATTCTCAGAAACTTCTTTGTGATGATTGCATTCAAGTCACAGAATTGAACATTCCCTTTCACAGAGCAGGTTTGAAACACTCTTTTTGTAGTGTGTGTAAGTGGACATTTGGAGCGCTTTCCGGCCTAAGGTGAACAAGGAAATATCTTCCCATAAAAACTAGACAGAAGCATTCTCAGAAACTTACTCGTGATGTGTGTCCTCAACTAAAGGAGTAGAACCTTTCTTTTCATAGAGAAGTTTTGAAACGCTCTTTTTGTGGAATCTGCAAGTGGATATTTGGCTAGTTTTGAGGATTTCGTTGGAAGCGGGAATTCATACAAGATGCAGACTGCAGCGTTCTGAGAAACATCTTTGTGATGTTTGTATTCAGGACACAGAGTTGAACATTCCCTATCATAGAGCAGGTTTGAATCACTCCTTTTGTAGTATCTGGAAGTGGACATTTGGAGCGCTTTCAGGCCTATGTTGGAAAAGGAAATATCTTCCCATAACAACTAGACAGAAGCATTCCCAGAAACTTATTTGAGATGTGTGTACTCAACTAAGAGAATTGAACCACCGTTTTGAAGGAGCAGTTTGGAAACACTCTTTTTCTGGAATCTGCAAGTGGATATTTGGCTAGCTTTGGGGATTTCGCTGGAAGCGGGAATACATATAAAAAGCACACAGCAGCGTTCTGAGAAACTGCTTTCTGATGTTTGCATTCAAGTCAAAAGTTGAACACTCCCTTTCATAGTGCAGTCCTGAAACACTCCTTTTGTAGTATCTGGAACTGGACTTTTGGAGCGCTTTCAGGGCTAAGGTGAAAAAGGAAATATCTTCCCATAAAAACTGGACAGAAGCATTCTCAGAAACTTGTTTATGCTGTATCTACTCAACTAACAAAGTTGAACCTTTCTTTTGATAGAGCAGTTTTGAAATGCTCTTTTTGTGGAATCTGCAAGTGGATATTTGGCTAGTTTTGAGGATTTCGTTGGAAGCGGGAATTCATACAAATTGCAGACTGCAGCATTCTCAGAAACTTCTTTGTGATGATTGTATTCAGGACACACAGTTGAACATTCCCTATCATAGAGCAGGTTGGAATCACTCCTTTTGTAGTATCTGGAAGTGGACATTTGGAGCGCTTTCAGGCCTATGTTGAAAAAGGAAATATCTTCCCATAACAACTAGGCAGAAGCATTCTCAGAAACTTGTTTGTGATGTGTGCCTTCTACTAACACAGTTGAACCTTTCTTTTCATAGAGCAGTTTCGAAACACTCTTTTTGTAGAATCTGCAAGAGGATATTTGCATAGATTTGAGGATTTCGTGGGAAACGGGATTGTCTTCAGGTAAAATCTAGACAGAAGCATTCTCAGAAACTTCTTTGGGATGTTTGCATTCAAGTCACAGAGTAGAACATTCCCTTTGGTAGAGCAGGTTTGAAACACTCTTTTTGTAGTGTGTGTAAGTGGACATTTGGAGCGCTTTCAGGCCTACGTTGGAAAAGGAAATATCTTCCCATAACAACTAGACAGAAGCATTCTCAGAAACTAGTTTCTGATGTGTGTCCTCAACTAGCACAGTTGAACATTTCTTTAGACAGAACAGTTTTGAAACACTCTTTTAGTGGAATCTGCAAGTGGATATTTGGCTAGATTTGAGGATTTCGTTGGAAACGGGATTACATATAAAAAGCAGACAGCAGCATTCTCAGAAACTTCTTTGTGATGATTGCATTCAAGTCACAGAATTGAACATTCCCTTTCACAGAGCAGGTTTGAAACACTCTTTTTGTAGTGTGTGTAAGTGGACATTTGGAGCGCTTTCCGGCCTAAGGTGAACAAGGAAATATCTTCCCATAACAACTAGGCAGAGGCATTCTCAGAAACTTGTTTGTGATGTGTGCCCTCTACTGACACAGTTGAACCTTTCTTTTCATAGAGCAGTTTCGAAACACTCTTTTTGTATAATCTCCAAGAGGATATTTGCATAGCTTTGAGGATTTCGTGGGAAACGGGATTGTCTTCAGGTAAAATCTAGACAGAAGCATTCTCAGAAACTTCTTTGGGATGTTTGCATTCAAGTCACAGAGTAGAACATTCCCTTTGGTAGAGCAGGTTTGAAACACTCTTTTTGTAGTATCTGGAAGTGGACATTTGGAGCGCTTTCAGGCCCATGTTGGAAAGGGAAATATCTTCCCGTAACAACTAGGCAGAAGCATTCTCAGAAACTTATTTGAGATGTGTGTACTCAACTAAGAGAATTGAACCACCGTTTTGAAGGATCAGTTTTGAAACACTCTTTTTCTGGAATCTGCAAGAGTATATTTGCCTAGCCTTGAGGATTTCGTTGGAAACGGGATTGTCTTCAGATAAAATCTAGACAGAAGCATTCTCAGAAACTTCTTTGGGATGTTTGCATTGAAGTCACAGAGTAGAACATTCCCTTTAGTAGAGCAGGATTGAAACACTCTTTTTTTAGTATATGGAAGTGGACATTTGGAGCGCTTTCAGGCCTACGTTGGAAAAGGAAATATCTTCCCATAACAACTAGACAGAAGCATTCTCAGAAACTAGTTTCTGATGTGTGTCCTCAACTAACACAGTTGAACATTTCTTTAGACAGAACAGTTTTGAAACTCTCTTTTTGTGGAATCTGCAAGTGGCTATTTGGCTAGATTTGAGGATTTCATTGGAAACGGCATTACATATAAAAAGCAGACAGCAGCATTCTCAGAAAGTTCTTTGTGATGATTGCATTCAAGTCACAGAATTGAACATTCCCTTTCACAGAGCAGGTTTGAAACTCTCTTTTTATAGTGTGTGTAAGTGGACATTTGGAGCACTTTCCGGCCTAAGGTGAAAAAGGAAATATCTTCCCATAAAATCTAGACAGAAGCATTCTCAGAAACTTACTCGTGATGTGTGTCCTCAACTAAAGGAGTAGAACCTTTGTTTTCATAGAGAAGTTTTGAAACGCTCTTTTTGTGGAATCTGCAAGTGGATATTTGGCTAGTTTGGAGGATTTCGTTGGAAGCGGGAATTCATACAAATTGCAGACTGCAGCGTTCTGAGAAACATCTTTGTGATGTTTGTATTCAGGACACAGAGTTGAACATTCCCTATCATAGAGCAGGTTTGAATCACTCCTTTTGTAGTATCTGGAAGTGGACATTTGGAGCGCTTTCAGGCCTATGTTGGAAAAGGAAATATCTTCCCATAACAACTAGACAGAAGCATTCTCAGAAACTTATTTGAGATGTGTGTACTCAACTAAGAGAATTGAACCACCGTTTTGAAGGAGCAGTTTTGAAACTCTCTTTTTCTGGAATCTGCAAGTGGATATTTGGCTAGCTTTGGGGATTTCGCTGGAAGCGGGAATACATATAAAAAGCACACAGCAGCGTTCTGAGAAACTGCTTTCTGATGTTTGCATTCAAGTCAAAAGTTGAACACTCCCTTTCATAGAGCAGTCTTGAAACACCCCTTTTGTAGTATCTGGAACTGGACTTTTGGAGCGATTTCAGGGCTAAGGTGAAAAAGGAAATATCTTCCCATAAAAACTGGACAGAAGCATTCTCAGAAACTTGGTTATGCTGTATCTACTCAACTAACAAAGTTGAACCTTTCTTTTGATAGAGCAGTTTTGAAATGGTCTTTTTGTGGAATCTGCAAGTGGATATTTGGCTAGTTTTGAGGATTTCGTTGGAAGCGGGAATTCATACAAATTGCAGACTGCAGCGTTCTGAGAAACATCTTTGTGATGTTTGTATTCAGGACACAGAGTTGAACATTCCCTATCATAGAGCAGGTTGGAATCACTCCTTTTGTAGTATCTGGAAGTGGACATTTGGAGCGCTTTCAGGCCTATGTTGGAAAAGGAAATATCTTCCCATAACAACTAGACAGAAGCATTCTCAGAAACTTGTTTGTGATGTGTGCCCTCTACTGACAGAGTTGAACCTTTCTTTTCATAGAGCAGTTTTGAAACACTCTTTTTGTAGAATCTGCAAGAGGATATTTGCATAGCTTTGAGGATTTCGTGGGAAACGGGATTGTCTTCAGGTAAAATCTAGACAGAAGCATTCTCAGAAACTTCTTTGGGATGTTTGCATTCAAGTCACAGAGTAGAACATTCCCTTTGGTAGAGCAGGTTTGAAACACTCTTTTTGTAGTATCTAGAAGTGGACATTAGGAGCGCTTTCAGGCCCATGTTGGAAAGGGAAATATCTTCCCGTAACAACTAGGCAGAAGCATTCTCAGAAACATATTTGAGATGTGTGTACTCAACTAAGAGAATTGAACCACCGTTTTGAAGGAGCAGTTTTGAAACACTCTTTTTCTGGAATCTGCAAGAGTATATTTGCCTAGCCTTGAGGATTTCGTTGGAAACGGGATTGTCTTCAGATAAAATCTAGACAGAAGCATTCTCAGAAACTTCTTTGGGATGTTTGCATTCAAGTCACAGAGTAGAACATTCCCTTTGGTAGAGCAGGTTTGAAACACTCTTTTTTTAGTATATGGAAGTGGACATTTGGAGCGCTTTCAGGCCTACGTTGGAAAAGGAAATATCTTCCCATAACAACTAGACAGAAGCATTCTCAGAAACTAGTTTCTGATGTGTGTCCTCAACTAAAACAGTTGTACATTTCTTTACACAGAACAGTTTTGAAACACTCTTTTTGTGGAATCTGCAAGTGGATATTGGGGTAGATTTGAGGATTTCGTTGGAAACGGGATTACATATAAAAAGCAGACAGCAGCATTCTCAGAAAGTTCTTTGTGATGATTGCATTCAAGTCACAGAATTGAACATTCCCTTTCACAGAGCAGGTTTGAAACACTCTTTTTGTAGTGTGTGTAAGTGGACATTTGGAGCACTTACCGGCCTAAGGTGAAAAAGGAAATATCTTCCCATAAAAACTAGACAGAAGCATTCTCAGAAACTTACTCGTGATGTGTGTCCTCAACTAAAGGAGTAGAACCTTTCTTTTCATAGAGAAGTTTTGAAACGCTCTTTTTGTGGAATCTGCAAGTGGATATTTGGCTAGTTTGGAGGATTTCGTTGGAAGCGGGAATTCATACAAATTGCAGACTGCAGCGTTCTGAGAAACATCTTTGTGATGTTTGTATTCAGGACACAGAGTTGAACATTCCCTATCATAGAGCAGGTTGGAATCACTCCTTTTGTAGTATCTGGAAGTGGACATTTGGAGCGCTTTCAGGCCTATGTTGGAAAAGGAAATATCTTCCCATAACAACTAGACAGAAGCATTCTCAGAAACTTATTTGAGATGTGTGTACTCAACTAAGAGAATTGAACCACCGTTTTGAAGGAGCAGTTTTGAAACACTCTTTTTCTGGAATCTGCAAGTGGATATTTGGCTAGCTTTGGGGATTTCGCTGGAAGCGGGAATACATATAAAAAGCACACAGCAGCGTTCTGAGAAACTGCTTTCTGATGTTTGCATTCAAGTCAAAAGTTGAACACTCCCTTTCATAGAGCAGTCTTGAAACACCCCTTTTGTAGTATCTGGAACTGGACTTTTGGAGCGATTTCAGGGCTAAGGTGAAAAAGGAAATATCTTCCCATAAAAACTGGACAGAATCATTCTCAGAAACTTGTTTATGCTGTATCTACTCAACTAACATAGTTGAACCTTTCTTTTGATAGAGCAGTTTTGAAATGCTCTTTTTGTGGAATCTGCAAGTGGATATTTGGCTAGTTTTGAGGATTTCGTTGGAAGCGGGAATTCATACAAATTGCAGACTGCAGCGTTCTGAGAAACATCTTTGTGATGTTTGTATTCAGGACAGAGAGTTGAACATTCCCTATCATAGAGCAGGTTGGAATCACTCCTTTTGTAGTATCTGGAAGTGGACATTTGGAGCGCTTTCAGGCCTATGTTGAAAAAGGAAATATCTTCCCATAACAACTAGACACAAGCATTCTCAGAAACTTGTTTGTGATGTGTGCCCTCTACTGACAGACTTGAACCTTTCTTTTCATAGAGCAGTTTTGAAACACTCTTTTTGTAGAATCTGCAAGAGGATATTTGCATAGCTTTGAGGATTTCGTGGGAAACGGGATTGTCTTCAGGTAAAATCTAGACAGAAGCATTCTCAGAAACTTCTTTGGGATGTTTGCATTCAAGTCACAGAGCAGAACATTCCCTTTGGTAGAGCAGGTTTGAAACACTCTTTTTGTAGTATCTGGAAGTGGACATTTGGAGCGCTTTCAGGCCTATGTTGGAAAGGGAAATATCTTCCCGTAACAACTAGGCAGAAGCATTCTCAGAAACTTATTTGAGATGTGTGTACTCAACTAAGAGAATTGAACCACCGTTTTGAAGGAGCAGTTTTGAAACACTCTTTTTCTGGAATCTGCAAGAGGATATTTGCCTAGCCTTGAGGATTTCGTTGGAAACGGGATTGTCTTCAGATCAAATCTAGACAGAAGCATTCTCAGAAACTTCTTTGGGATGTTTGCATTCATGTCACAGAGTAGAACATTCCCTTTGGTAGAGCAGGTTTGAAACACTCTTTTTTAAGTATATGGAAGTGGACATTTGGAGCGCTTTCAGGCCTACGTTGGAAAAGGAAATATCTTCCCATAACAACTAGACAGAAGCATTCTCAGAAACTAGTTTCTGATGTGTGTCCTCAACTAACACAGTTGAACATTTCTTTAGACAGAACAGTTTTGAAACTCTCTTTTTGTGGAATCTGCAAGTGGCTATTTGGCTAGATTTGAGGATTTCGTTGGAAACGGGATTACATATAAAAAGCAGACAGCAGCATTCTCAGAACGTTCTTTGTGATGATTGCATTCAAGTCACAGAATTGAACATTCCCTTTCACAGAGCAGGTTTGAAACACTCTTTTTGTAGTGTGTGTAAGTGGACATTTGGAGCACTTTCCGGCCTAAGGTGAAAAAGGAAATATCTTCCCATAAAAACTAGACAGAAGCATTCTCAGAAACTTACTCGTGATGTGTGTCCTCAACTAAAGGAGTAGAACCTTTCTTTTCATAGAGAAGTTTTGAAACGCTCTTTTTGTGGAATCTGCAAGTGGATATTTGGCTTGTTTGGAGGATTTCGTTGGAAGCGGGAATTCATACAAATTGCAGACTGCAGCGTTCTGAGAAACATCTTTGTGATGTTTGTATTCAGGACACAGAGTTGACCATTCCCTATCATAGAGCAGGTTTGAATCACTCCTTTTGTAGTATCTGGAAGTGGACATTTGGAGCGCTTTCAGGCCTATGTTGGAAAAGGAAATATCTTCCCATAACAACTAGACAGAAGCATTCTCAGAAACTTATTTGAGATGTGTGTACTCAACTAAGAGAATTGAACCACCGTTTTGAAGGAGCAGTTTTGAAACACTCTTTTTCTGGAATCTGCAAGTGGATATTTGGCTAGCTTTGGGGATTTCGCTGGAAGCGGGAATACATATAAAAAGCACACAGCAGCGTTCTGAGAAACTGCTTTCTGATGTTTGCATTCAAGTCAAAAGTTGAACACTCCCTTTCATAGAGCAGTCCTGAAACACTCCTTTTGTAGTATCTGGAACTGGACTTTTGGAGCGCTTTCAGGGCTAAGGTGAAAAAGGAAATATCTTCCCATAAAAACTGGACAGAAGCATTCTCAGAAACTTGTTTATGCTGTATCTGCTCAACTAACAAAGTTGAACCTTTCTTTTGATAGAGCAGTTTTGAAATGCTCTTTTTGTGGAATCTGCAAGTGGATATTTGGCTAGTTTGGAGGATTTCGTTGGAAGCGGGAATTCATACAAATTGCAGACTGCAGCGTTCTGAGAAACATCTTTGTGATGTTTGTATTCAGGACACAGAGTTGAACATTCCCTATCATAGAGCAGGTTGGAATCACTCCTTTTGTACTATCTGGAAGTGGACATTTGGAGCGCTTTCAGGCCTATGTTGAAAAAGGAAATATCTTCCCATAACAATTAGACAGAAGCATTCTCAGAAACTTGTTTGTGATGTGTGCCCTCTACTGACACAGTTGAACCTTTCTTTTCATAGAGCAGTTTCGAAACACTCTTTTTGTAGAATCTGCAAGAGGATATTTGCATAGCTTTGAGGATTTCGTGGGAAACGGGATTGTCTTCAGGTAAAATCTAGACAGAAGCATTCTCAGAAACTTCTTTGGGATGTTTGCATTCAAGTCACAGAGTAGAACATTCCCTTTGGTAGAGCAGGTTTGAAACACTCTTTTTGTAGAGTGTGTAAGTGGACATTTGGAGCGCTTTCAGGCCTACGTTGGAAAAGGAAATATCTTCCCATAACAACTAGACAGAAGCATTCTCAGAAACTAGTTTCTGATGTGTGTCCTCAACTAACACAGTTGAACATTTCTTTAGACAGAACAGTTTTGAAACACTCTTTTTGTGGAATCTGCAAGTGGATATTTGGCTAGATTTGAGGATTTCGTTGGAAACGGGATTACATATAAAAAGCAGACAGCAGCATTCTCAGAAAGTTCTTTGTGATGATTGCATTCAAGTCACAGAATTGAACATTCCCTTTCACAGAGCCAGGTTTGAAACACTCTTTTTGTAGTGTGTGTAAGTGGACATTTGGAGCGCTTTCCGGCCTAAGGTGAAAAAGGAAATATCTTCCCATAAAAACTAGACAGAAGCATTCTCAGAAACTTACTCGTGATGTGTGTCCTCAACTAAAGGAGTAGAACCTTTCTATTCATAGAGAAGTTTTGAAACGCTCTTTTTGTGGAATCTCCAAGTGGATATTTGGCTAGTTTTGAGGATTTCGTTGGAAGCGGGAATTCATACAAATTGCAGACTGCAGCGTTCTGAGAAACATCTTTGTGATGTTTGTATTCAGGACACAGAGATGAACATTCCCTATCATAGAGCAGGTTGGAATCACTCCTTTTGTAGTATCTGTAAGTGGACATTTGGAGCGCTTTCAGGCCTATGTTGAAAAAGGAAATATCTTCCCATAACAACTAGACACAAGCATTCTCAGAAACTTATTTGAGATGTGTGTACTCAACTAAGAGAATTGAACCACCGTTTTGAAGGAGCAGTTTTGAAACTCTCTTTTTCTGGAATCTGCAAGTGGATATTTGGCTAGCTTTGGGGATTTCGCTGGAAGCGGGAATACATATAAAAAGCACACAGCAGCGTTCTGAGAAACTGCTTTCTGATGTTTGCATTCAAGTCAAAAGTTGAACACTCCCTTTCATAGAGCAGTCCTGAAACACCCCTTTTGTAGTATCTGGAACTGGACTTTTGGAGCGATTTCAGGGCTAAGGTGAAAAAGGAAATATCTTCCCATAAAAACTGGACAGAAGCATTCTCAGAAACTTGTTTATGCTGTATCTACTCAACTAACAAAGTTGAACCTTTCTTTTGATAGAGCAGTTTTGAAATGGTCTTTTTGTGGAATCTGCAAGTGGATATTTGGCTAGTTTTGAGGATTTCGTTGGAAGCGGGAATTCATACAAATTGCAGACTGCAGCGTTCTGAGAAACATCTTTGTGATGTTTGTATTCAGGACACAGAGTTGAACATTCCCTATCATAGCGCAGGTTGGAATCACTCCTTTTGTAGTATCTGGAAGTGGACATTTGGAGCGCTTTCAGGCCTATGTTGAAAAAGGAAATATCTTCCCATAACAACTAGGCAGAAGCATTCTCAGAAACTTGTTTGTGATGTGTGCTCTCTACTGACACAGTTGAACCTTTCTTTTCATAGAGCACTTTCGAAACACTCTTTTTGTAGAATCTGCAAGAGGATATTTGCATAGCTTTGAGGATTTCGTGGGAAACGGGATTGTCTTCAGGTAAAATCTAGACAGAAGCATTCTCAGAAACTTCTTTGGGATGTTTGCATTCAAGTCACAGAGTAGAACATTCCCTTTGGTAGAGCAGGTTTGAAACACTCTTTTTGTAGTGTGTGTAAGTGGACATTTGGAGCGCTTTCAGGCCTACGTTGGAAAAGGAAATATCTTCCCATAACAACTAGACAGAAGCATTCTCAGAAACTAGTTTCTGATGTGTGTCCTCAACTAACACAGTTGAACATTTCTTTAGACAGAACAGTTTTGAAACACTCTTTTTGTGGAATCTGCAAGTGGATATTTGGCTAGATTTGAGGATTTCGTTGGAAACGGGATTACATATAAAAAGCAGACAGCAGCATTCTCAGAAACTTCTTTGTGATGATTGCATTCAAGTCACAGAATTGAACATTCCCTTTCACAGAGCAGGTTTGAAACACTCTTTTTCTAGTGTGTGTAAGTGGACATTTGGAGCGCTTTCCAGCCTAAGGTGAACAAGGAAATATCTTCCCATAAAAACTAGACAGAAGCATTCTCAGAAACTTACTCGTGATGTGTGTCCTCAACTAAAGGAGTAGAACCTTTCTTTTCATAGAGAAGTTTTGAAACGCTCTTTTTGTGGAATCTGCAAGTGGATATTTGGCTAGTTTTGAGGATTTCGTTGGAAGCGGGAATTCATACAAATTGCAGACTGCAGCGTTCTGAGAAACTGCTTTCTGATGTTTGCATTCAAGTCAAAAGTTGAACACTCCCTTTCATAGAGCAGTCCTGAAACACTCCTTTTGTAGTATCTGGAACTGGACTTTTGGAGCGCTTTCAGGGCTAAGGTGAAAAAGGAAATATCTTCCCATAAAAACTGGACAGAAGCATTCTCAGAATCTTGTTTATGCTGTATCTACTCAACTAACAAAGTTGAACCTTTCTTTTGATAGAGCAGTTTTGAAATGCTCTTTTTGTGGAATCTGCAAGTGGATATTTGGCTAGTTGTGAGGATTTCGTTGGAAGCTGGAATTCATACAAATTGCAGACTGCAGCGTTCTGAGAAACATCTTTGTGATGTTTGTATTCAGGACAGAGAGTTGAACATTCCCTATCATAGAGCAGGTTGGAATCACTCCTTTTGTAGTATCTGGAAGTGGACATTTGGAGCGCTTCAGGCCTATGTTGAAAAAGGAAATATCTTCCCATAACAACTAGACACAAGCATTCTCAGAAACTTGTTTGTGATGTGTGCCCTCTACTGACAGAGTTGAACCTTTCTTTTCATAGAGCAGTTTTGAAACACTCTTTTTGTAGAATCCGCAAGAGGATATTTGCATAGCTTTGAGGATTTCGTGGGAAACGGGATTGTCTTCAGGTAAAATCTAGACAGAAAGCATTCTCAGAAACTCCTTTGGGATGTTTGCATTCAAGTCACAGAGTAGAACATTCCCTTTGGTAGAGCAGGTTTGAAACACTCTTTTTGTAGTATCTGGAAGTGGACATTTGGAGCGCTTTCAGGCCCATGTTGGAAAGGGAAATATCTTCCCGTAACAACTAGGCAGAAGCATTCTCAGAAACTTATTTGAGATGTGTGTACTCAACTAAGAGAATTGAACCACCGTTTTGAAGGAGCAGTTTTGAAACACTCTTTTTCTGGAATCTGCAAGAGTATATTTGCCTAGCCTTGAGGATTTCGTTGGAAACGGGATTGTCTTCAGATAAAATCTAGACAGAAGCATTCTCAGAAAGTTCTTTGGGATGTTTGCATTCAAGTCACAGAGTAGAACATTCCCTTTGGTAGAGCAGGTTTGAAACACTCTTTTTGTAGTATATGGAAGTGGACATTTGGAGCGCTTTCAGGCCTACGTTGGAAAAGGAAATATCTTCCGATAACAACTAGACAGAAGCATTCTCAGAAACTAGTTTCTGATGTGTGTCCTCAACTAACACAGTTGTACATTTCTTTAGACAGAACAGTTTTGAAACACTCTTTTTGTGGAATCTGCAAGTGGATATTGGGCTAGATTTGAGGATTTCGTTGGAAACGGGATTACATATAAAAAGCAGTCAGCAGCATTCTCAGAAAGTTCTTTGTGATGATTGCATTCAAGTCACAGAATTGAACATTCCCTTTCACAGAGCAGGTTTGAAACACTCTTTTTGTAGTGTGTGTAAGTGGACATTTGGAGCGCTTTCCGGCCTAAGGTGAAAAAGGACATATCTTACCATAAAAACCAGACAGAAGCATTCTCAGAAACTTACTCGTGATGTGTGTCCTCAACTAAAGGAGTAGAAACTTTCTATTCATAGAGAAGTTTTGAAACGCTCTTTTTGTGGAATCTGCAAGTGGATATTTGGCTAGTTTTGAGGATTTCGTTGGAAGCGGGAATTCATACAAATTGCAGACTGCAGCGTTCTGAGAAACATCGTTGTGATGTTTGTATTCAGGACACAGAGTTGAACATTCCCTATCATAGAGCAGGTTTGAATCACTCCTTTTGTAGTATCTGGAAGTGGACATTTGGAGCGCTTTCAGGCCTATGTTGGAAAAGGAAATATCTTCCCATAACAACTAGACAGAAGCATTCTCAGAAACTTATTTGAGATGTGTGTACTCAACTAAGAGAATTGAACCACCGTTTTGAAGGAGCAGTTTTGAAACACTCTTTTTCTGGAATCTGCAAGTGGATATTTGGCTAGCTTTGGGGATTTCGCTGGAAGCGGGAATACATATAAAAAGCACACAGCAGCGTTCTGAGAAACTGCTTTCTGATGTTTGCATTCAAGTCAAAAGTTGAACACTCCCTTTCATAGAGCAGTCTTGAAACACCCCTTTTGTAGTATCTGGAACTGGACTTTTGGAGCGATTTCAGGGCTAAGGTGAAAAAGGAAATATCTTCCCATAAAAACTGGACAGAAGCATTCTCAGAAACTTGTTTATGCTGTATCTACTCTACTAACAAAGTTGAACCTTTCTTTTGATAGAGCAGTTTTGAAATGCTCTTTTTGTGGAATCTGCAAGTGGATATTTGGCTAGTTTTGAGGATTTCGTTGGAAGCTGGAATTCATACAAATTGCAGACTGCAGCGTTCTGAGAAACATATTTGTGATGTTTGTATTCAGGACACAGAGTTGAACATTCCCTATCATAGAGCAGGTTGGAATCACTCCTTTTGCAGTATCTGGAAGTGGACATTTGGAGCACTTTCAGGCCTATTTTGGAAAGGGAAATATCTTCCCGTAACAACTAGGCAGAAGCATTCTCAGAAACTTGTTTGTGATGTGTGCATTCTACTGACACAGTTGAACCTTTCTTTTCATAGAGCAGTTTCGAAACTCTCTTTTTGTAGAATCTGCAAGAGGATATTTGCATAGCTTTGAGGATTTCGTGGGAAACGGGATTGTCTTCAGCTAAAATCTAGACAGAAGCATTCTCAGAAACTTCTTTGGGATGTTTGCATTCAAGTCACAGAGTAGAACATTCCCTTTGGTAGAGCAGGTTTGAAACACTCTTTTTGTAGTATCTGGAAGTGGACATTTGGAGCGCTTTCAGGCCTATGTTGGAAAGGGAAATATCTTCCCGTAACAACTAGGCAGAAGCATTCTCAGAAACTTATTTGAGATGTGTGTACTCAACTAAGAGAATTGAACCACCGTTTTGAAGGAGCAGTTTTGAAACACTCTTTTTCTGGAATCTGCTAGAGTATATTTGCCTAGCTTTGAGGATTTCGTTGGAAACGGGATTGTCTTCAGCTAAAATCTAGACAGAAGCATTCTCAGAAACTTCTTTGGGATGTTTCTATTCAAGTCACAGAGTAGAACATTCCCTTTGGTAGAGCAGGTTTGAAACACTCTTTTTGTAGTATCTGGAAGTGGACATTTGGAGCGCTTTCAGGCCTATGTTGGAAAGGGAAATATCTTCCCGTAACAACTAGGCAGAAGCATTCTCAGAAACTTATTTGAGATGTGTGTACTCAACTAAGAGAATTGAACCACCGTTTTGAAGGAGCAGTTTTGAAACACTCTTTTTCTGGAATCTGCAAGAGTATATTTGCCTAGCCTTGAGGATTTCGTTGGAAACGGGATTGTCTTCAGAGAAAATCTAGACAGAAGCATTCTCAGAAACTTCTTTGGGATGTTTGCATTCAAGTCACAGAGTAGAACATTCCCTTTGGTAGAGCAGGTTTGAAACACTCTTTTTTTAGTATATGGAAGTGGACATTTGGAGCGCTTTCAGGCCTACGTTGGAAAAGGAAATATCTTCCCATAACAACTAGACAGAAGCACTCTCAGAAACTAGTTTCTGATGTGTGTCCTCAACTAACACAGTTGAACATTTCTTTAGACAGAACAGTTTTGAAACACTCTTTTTGTGGAATCTGCAAGTGGCTATTTGGCTAGATTTGAGGATTTCGTTGGAAACGGGATTACATATAAAAAGCAGTCAGCAGCATTCTCAGAAAGTTCTTTGTGATGATTGCATTCAAGTCACAGAATTGAACATTCCCTTTCACAGAGCAGGTTTGAAACACTCTTTTTGTAGTGTGTGTAAGTGGACATTTGGAGCACTTACCGGCCTAAGGTGAAAAAGGAAATATCTTCCCATAAAAACTAGACAGAAGCATTCTCAGAAACTTACTCGTGATGTGTGTCCTCAACTAAAGGAGTAGAACCTTTCTTTTCATAGAGAAGTTTTGAAACGCTCTTTTTGTGGAATCTGCAAGTGGATATTTGGCTAGTTTTGAGGATTTCGTTGGAAGCGGGAATTCATACAAATTGCAGACTGCAGCGTTCTGAGAAACATCTTTGTGATGTTTGTATTCAGGACACAGAGTTGAACATTCCCTATCATAGAGCAGGTTTGAATCACTCCTTTTGTAGTATCTGGAAGTGGACATTTGGAGCGCTTTCAGGCCTATGTTGGAAAAGGAAATATCTTCCCATAACAACTAGACAGAAGCATTCTCAGAAACTTATTTGAGATGTGTGTACTCAACTAAGAGAATTGAACCACCGTTTTGAAGGAGCAGTTTTGAAACACTCTTTTTCTGGAATCTGCAAGTGGATATTTGGCGAGCTTTGGGGATTTCGCTGGAAGCGGGAATACATATAAAAAGCACACAGCAGCGTTCTGAGAAACTGCTTTCTGATGTTTGCATTCAAGTCAAAAGTTGAACACTCCCTTTCATAGAGCAGTCCTGAAACACCCCTTTTGTAGTATCTGGAACTGGACTTTTGGAGCGATTTCAGGGCTAAGGTGAAAAAGGAAATATCTTCCCATAAAAACTGGACAGAAGCATTCTCAGAAACTTGTTTATGCTGTATCTACTCAGCTAACAAAGTTGAACCTTTCTTTTGATAGAGCAGTTTTGAAATGCTCTTTTTGTGGAGTCTGCAAGTGGATATTTGGCTAGTTTTGAGGATTTCGTTGGAAGCGGGAATTCATACAAATTGCAGACTGCAGCGTTCTGAGAAACATCTTTGTGATGTTTGTATTCAGGACACAGAGTTGAACATTCCCTATCATAGAGCAGGTTTGAATCACTCCTTTTGTAGTATCTGGAAGTGTCCATTTGGAGCCCTTTCAGGCCTATGTTGGAAAAGGAAATATCTTCCCATAACAAATAGACAGAAGCATTCTCAGAAACTTATTTGAGATGTGTGTACTCAACTAAGAGAATTGAACCACCGTTTTGAAGGAGCAGTTTTGAAACACTCTTTTTCTGGAAGCTGCAAGTGGCTATTTGGCTAGCTTTGGGGATTTCGCTGGAAGCGGGAATACATATAAAAAGCACACAGCAGCGTTCTGAGTAAACTGCTTTCTGATGTTTGCATTCAAGTCAAAAGTTGAACACTCCCTTTCATAGAGCAGTCTTGAAACACCCCTTTGGTAGTATCTGGAACTGGACTTTTGGAGCGATTTCAGGGCTAAGGTGAAAAAGGAAATATCTTCCCATAAAAACTGGACAGAAGCATTCTCAGAAACTTGTTTATGCTGTATCTACTCAACTAACAAAGTTGAACCTTTCTTTTGATAGAGCAGTTTTGAAATGCTCTTTTTGTGGAATCTGCAAGTGGATATTTGGCTAGTTTTGAGGATTTCGCTGGAAGCGGGAATTCATACAAATTGCAGACTGCAGCGTTCTGAGAAACATCTTTGTGATGTTTGTATTCAGGACACAGAGTTGAACTTTCCCTATCATAGAGCAGGTTGGAATCACTCCTTTTGCAGTATCTGGAAGTGGACATTTGGAGCGCTTTCAGGCCTATTTTGGAAAGGGAAATATCTTCCCGTAACAACTAGGCAGAAGCATTCTCAGAAACTTATTTGAGATGTGTGTACTCAACTAAGAGAATTGAACCACCGTTTTGAAGGAGCAGATTTGAAACACTCTTTTTCTGGAATCTGCAAGAGTATATTTGCCTAGCCTTGAAGATTTCGTTGGAAACGGGATTGTCTTCAGATAAAATCTAGACAGAAGCATTCTCAGAAACTTCTTTGGGATGTTTGCATTCAAGTCACAGAGTAGAACATTCCCTTTGGTAGAGCAGGTTTGAAACACTCTTTTTTTAGTATATGGAAGTGGACATTTGGAGGGCTTTCAGGCCTACGTTGGAAAAGGAAATATCTTCCCATAACAACTAGACAGAAGCATTCTCAGAAACTAGTTTCTGATGTGTGTCCTCAACTAACACAGTTGAACATTTCTTTAGACAGAACAGTTTTGAAAAACTCTTTTTGTGGAATCTGCAAGAGGATATTTGGCTAGATTTGAGGATTTCGTTGGAAACGGGATTACATATAAAAAGCAGACAGCAGCATTCTCAGAAAGTTCTTTGTGATGATTGCATTCAAGTCACAGAATTGAACATTCCCTTTCACAGAGCAGGTTTGAAACACTCTTTTTGTAGTGTGTGTAAGTGGACATTTGGAGCGCTTTCCGGCCTAAGGTGAAAAAGGACATATCTTACCATAAAAACCAGACAGAAGCATTCTCAGAAACTTACTCGTGATGTGTGTCCTCAACTAAAGGAGTAGAAACTTTCTATTCATAGAGAAGTTTTGAAACGCTCTTTTTGTGGAATCTCCAAGTGGATATTTGGCTAGTTTTGAGGATTTCGTTGGAAGCGGGAATTCATACAAATTGCAGACTGCAGCGTTCTGAGAAACATCTTTGTGATGTTTGTATTCAGGACACAGAGTTGAACATTCCCTATCATAGAGCAGGTTTGAATCACTCCTTTTGTAGTATCTGGAAGTGGACATTTGGAGCACTTTCAGGCCTATGATGGAAAAGGAAATATCTTCCCATAACAACTAGACAGAAGCATTCTCAGAAACTTATTTGAGATGTGTGTACTCAACTAAGAGAATTGAACCACCGTTTTGAAGGAGCAGTTTTGAAACACTCTTTTTCTGGAATCTGCAAGTGGATATTTGGCTAGCTTTGGGGATTTCGCTGGAAGCGGGAATACATATAAAAAGCACACAGCAGCGTTCTGAGAAACTGCTTTCTGATGTTTGCATTCAAGTCAAAAGTTGAACACTCCCTTTCATAGAGCAGTCTTGAAACACCCCTTTTGTAGTATCTGGAACTGGACTTTTGGAGCGATTTCAGGGCTAAGGTGAAAAAGGAAATATCTTCCCATAAAAACTGGACAGAAGCATTCTCAGAAACTTGTTTATGCTGTATCTACTCAACTAACAAAGTTGAACCTTTCTTTTGATAGAGCAGTTTTGAAATGGTCTTTTTGTGGAATCTGCAAGTGGATATTTGGCTAGTTTTGAGGATTTCGTTGGAAGCGGGAATTCATACAAATTGCAGACTGCAGCGTTCTGAGAAACATCTTTGTGATGTTTGTATTCAGGACACAGAGTTGAACATTCCCTATCATAGAGCAGGTTGGAATCACTCCTTTTGTAGTATCTGGAAGTGGACATTTGGAGCGCTTTCAGGCCTATTTTGGAAAGGGAAATATCTTCCCGTAACAACTATGCAGAAGCATTCTCAGAAACTTGTTTGTGATGTGTGCCCTCTACTGACAGAGTTGAACCTTTCTTTTCATAGAGCAGTTTTGAAACACTCTTTTTGTAGAATCTGCAAGAGGATATTTGCATAGCTTTGAGGATTTCGTGGGAAACGGGATTGTCTTCAGGTAAAATCTAGACAGAAGCATTCTCAGAAACTATCTTTGTTATGTTTGCATTCAAGTCACAGAGTAGAACATTCCCTTTGGTAGAGCAGGTTTGAAACCCTCTTTTTGTAGTATCTGGAAGTGGACATTTGCAGCACTTTCAGGCCCATGTTGGAAAGGGAAATATCTTCCCGTAACAACTATGCAAAAGCATTCTCAGAAACTTATTTGAGATGTGTGTACTCAACTAAGAGAATTGAACCACCGTTTTGAAGGAGCAGTTTTGAAACACTCTTTTTCTGGAATCTGCAAGAGTATATTTGCCTAGCCTTGAGGATTTCGTTGGAAACCGGATTGTCTTCAGATAAAATCTAGACAAAAGCATTCTCAGAAACTTCTTTGGGATGCTTGCATTCAAGTCACAGAGTAGAACATTCCCTTTGGTAGAGCAGGTTTGAAACACTCTTTTTGTAGTATCTGGAAGTGGACATTTGGAGCGCTTTCAGGCCTACGTTGGAAAAGGAAATATCTTCCCATAACAACTAGACAGAAGCATTCTCAGAAACTAGTTTCTGATGTGTGTCCTCAACTAACACAGTTGAACATTTCTTTAGACAGAACAGTTTTGAAACACTCTTTTTGTGGAATCTGCAAGTGGCTATTTGGTTAGATTTGAGGATTTCGTTGGAAACGGGATTACATATAAAAAGCAGTCAGCAGCATTCTCAGAAAGTTCTTTGTGATGATTGCATTCAAGTCACAGAATTGAACATTCCCTTTCACAGAGCAGGTTTGAAACACTCTTTTTGTAGTGTGTGTAAGTGGACATTTGGAGCACTTACCGGCCTAAGGTGAAAAAGGAAATATCTTCCCATAAAAACTAGACAGAAGCATTCTCAGAAACTTACTCGTGATGTGTGTCCTCAACTAAAGGAGTAGAACCTTTCTATTCATAGAGAAGTTTTGAAACGCTTTTTTTGTGGAATCTCCAAGTGGATATTTGGCTAGTTTTGAGGATTTCGTTGGAAGCGGGAATTCATACAAATTGCAGACTGCAGCGTTCTGAGAAACATCTTTGTGATGTTTGTATTCAGGACACAGAGTTGAACATTCCCTATCATAGAGCAGGTTAGAATCACTCCTTTTGTAGTATCTGGAAGTGGACATTTGGAGCGCTTTCAGGCCTATGTTGGAAAAGGAAATATCTTCCCATAACAAATAGACAGAAGCATTCTCAGAAACTTATTTGAGACGTGTGTACTCAACTAAGAGAATTGAACCACCGTTTTGAAGGAGCAGTTTTGAAACACTCTTTTTCTGGAATCTGCAATTGGATATTTGGCTAGCTTTGGGGATTTCGCTGGAAGCGGGAATACATATAAAAAGCACACAGCAGCGTTCTGAGTAAACTGCTTTCTGATGTTTGCATTCAAGTCAAAAGTTGAACACTCCCTTTCATAGAGCAGTCCTGAAACACTCCTTTTGTAGTATCTGGAACTGGACTTTTGGAGCGCTTTCAGGGCTAAGGTGAAAAAGGAAATATCTTCCCATAAAAACTGGACAGAAGCATTCTCAGAAACTTGTTTATGCTGTATCTACTCAACTAACAAAGTTGAACCTTTCTTTTGATAGAGCAGTTTTGAAATGCTCTTTTTGTGGAATCTGCAAGTGGATATTTGGCTAGTTTTGAGGATTTCGCTGGAAGCGGGAATTCATACAAATTGCAGACTGCAGCGTTCTGAGAAACATCTTTGTGATGTTTGTATTCAGGACACAGAGTTGAACATTCCCTATCATAGAGCAGGTTGGAATCACTCCTTTTGTAGTATCTGGAAGTGGACATTTGGAGCGCTTTCAGGCCTATGTTGGAAAAGGAAATATCTTCCCATAACAACTAGACAGAAGCATTCTCAGAAACTTGTTGGTGATGTGTTTCCTCTACTGACAGAGTTGAACCTTTCTTTTCATAGAGCAGTTTCGAAACACTCTTTTTGTAGAATCTGCAAGAGGATGTTTGCATAGCTCTGAGGATTTCGTGGGAAACGGGATTGTCTTCAGGTAAAATCTAGACAGAAGCATTCTCAGAAACTTCTTCGGGATGTTTGCATTCAAGTCACAGAGTAGAACATTCCCTTCGGTAGAGCAGGTTTGAAACACTCTTTTTGTAGTATCTGGAAGTGGACATTTGTTGCGCTTTCAGGCCTATGTTGGAAAGGGAAATATCTTCCCGTAACAACTAGGCAGAAGCATTCTCAGAAACTTATTTGAGATGTGTGTACTCAACTAAGAGAATTGAACCACCGTTTTGAAGGAGCAGTTTGGAAACACTCTTTTTCTGGAATCTGCAAGAGGATATTTGCCTAGCTTTGAGGATTTCGTTGGAAAAGGGATTGTCTTCAGATCAAATCTAGACAGAAGCATTCTCAGAAACTTCTTTGGGATGTTTGCATTCAAGTCACAGAGTAGAACATTCCTTTGGTAGAGCAGGTTTGAAACACTCTTTTTTTAGTATATGGAAGTGGACATTTGGAGCGCTTTCAGGCCTACGTTGGAAAAGGAAATATCTTCCCATAACAACTAGACAGAAGCATTCTCGGAAACTAGTTTCTGATGTGTGTCCTCAACTAACACAGTTGAACATTTCTTTAGACAGAACAGTTTTGAAACACTCTTTTTGTGGAATCTGCAAGTGGATATTTGGCTAGATTTGAGGATTTCGTTGGAAACGGGATTACATATAAAAAGCAGACAGCAGCATTCTCAGAAACTTCTTTGTGATGATTGCATTCAAGTCACAGAATTGAACATTCCCTTTCACAGAGCAGGTTTGAAACACTCTTTTTGTAGTGTGTGTAAGTGGACATTTGGAGCGCTTTCCGGCCTAAGGTGAACAAGGAAATATCTTCCCATAAAAACTAGACAGAAGCATTCTCAGAAACTTACTCGTGATGTGTGTCCTCAACTAAAGGAGTAGAACCTTTCTTTTCATAGAGAAGTTTTGAAACGCTCTTTTTGTGGAATCTGCAAGTGGATATTTGGCTAGTTTGGAGGATTTCGTTGGAAGCGGGAATTCATACAAGATGCAGACTGCAGCGTTCTGAGAAACATCTTTGTGATGTTTGTATTCAGGACACAGAGTTGAACATTCCCTATCATAGAGCAGGTTTGAATCACTCCTTTTGTAGTATCTGGAAGTGGACATTTGGAGCGCTTTCAGGCCTATGTTGGAAAAGGAAATATCTTCCCATAACAACTAGACAGAAGCGTTCTGAGAAACATCTTTGTGATGTTTGTATTCAGGACACAGAGTTGAACATTCCCTATCATAGAGCAGGTTTGAATCACTCCTTTTGTAGTATCTGGAAATGGACATTTGGAGCGCTTTCAGGCCTATGTTGGAAAAGGAAATATCTTCCCATAACAACTAGACAGAAGCATTCTCAGAAACTTATTTGAGATGGGTGTACTCAACTAAGAGAATTGAATCACCGTTTTGAAGGAGCAGTTTTGAAACACTCTTTTTCTGGAATCTGCAAGTGGATATTTGGCTAGCTTTGGGGATTTCGCTGGAAGCGGGAATACATATAAAAAGCACACAGCAGCGTTCTGAGAAACTGCTTTCTGATGTTTGCATTCAAGTCAAAAGTTGAACACTCCCTTTCATAGAGCAGTCTTGAAACACCCCTTTTGTAGTATCTGGAACTGGACTTTTGGAGCGATTTCAGGGCTAAGGTGAAAAAGGAAATATCTTCCCATAAAAACTGGACAGAAGCATTCTCAGAAACTTGTTTATGCTGTATCTACTCAACTAACAAAGTTGAACCTTTCTTTTGATAGAGCAGTTTTGAAATGGTCTTTTTGTGGAATCTGCAAGTGGATATTTGGCTAGTTTTGAGGATTTCGTTGGAAGCGGGAATTCATACAAATTGCAGACTGCAGCGTTCTGAGAAACATCTTTGTGATGTTTGTATTCAGGACACAGAGTTGAACATTCCCTATCATAGAGCAGGTTGGAATCACTCCTTTTGTAGTATCTGGAAGTGGACATTTGGAGCGCTTTCAGGCCTATTTTGGAAAGGGAAATATCTTCCCGTAACAACTATGCAGAAGCATTCTCAGAAACTTGTTTGTGATGTGTGCCCTCTACTGACAGAGTTGAACCTTTCTTTTCATAGAGCAGTTTTGAAACACTCTTTTTGTAGAATCTGCAAGAGGATATTTGCATAGCTTTGAGGATTTCGTGGGAAACGGGATTGTCTTCAGGTAAAATCTAGACAGAAGCATTCTCAGAAACTTCTTTGGGATGTTTGCATTCAAGTCACAGAGTAGAACATTCCCTTTGGTAGAGCAGGTTTGAAACCCTCTTTTTGTAGTATCTGGAAGTGGACATTTGGAGCGCTTTCAAGCCCATGTTGGAAAGGGAAATATCTTCCCGTAACAACTAGGCAGAAGCATTCTCAGAAACTTATTTGAGATGTGTGTACTCAACTAAGAGAATTGAACCACCGTTTTGAAGGAGCAGTTTTGAAACACTCTTTTTCTGGAATCTGCAAGAGTATATTTGCCTAGCCTTGAGGATTTCGTTGGAAACGGGATTGTCTTCAGATAAAATCTAGACAGAAGCATTCTCAGAAACTTCTTTGGGATGTTTGCATTCAAGTCACAGAGTAGAACATTCCCTTTGGTAGAGCAGGTTTGAAACACTCTTTTTTTAGTATATGGAAGTGGACATTTGGAGCGCTTTCAGGCCTACGTTGGAAAAGGAAATATCTTCCCATAACAACTAGACAGAAGCATTCTCAGAAACTAGTTTCTGATGTGTGTCCTCAACTAACACAGTTGAACATTTCTTTAGACAGAACAGTTTTGAAACACTCTTTTTGTGGAATCTGCAAGTGGATATTTGGCTAGATTTGAGTATTTCGTTGGAAACGGGATTACATATAAAAAGCAGACAGCAGCATTCTCAGAAACTTCTTTGTGATGATTGCATTCAAGTCACAGAATTGAACATTCCCTTTCACAGAGCAGGTTTGAAACACTCTTTTTGTAGTGTGTGTAAGTGGACATTTGGAGCGCTTTCCGGCCTAAGGTGAACAAGGAAATATCTTCCCATAAAAACTAGACAGAAGCATTCTCAGAAACTTACTCGTGATGTGTGTCCTCAACTTAAGGAGTAGAACCTTTCTTTTCATAGAGAAGTTTTGAAATGCTCTTTTTGTGGAATCTGCAAGTGGATATTTGGCTAGTTTTGAGGATTTCGTTGGAAGCGGGAATTCATACAAATTGCAGACTGCAGCGTTCTGAGAGACATCTTTGTGATGTTTGTATTAAGGACACAGAGTTGAACATTCCCTATCATAGAGCAGGTTGGAATCACTCCTTTTGTAGTATCTGGAAGTGGACATTTGGAGCGCTTTCAGGCCTATGTTGAAAAAGGAAATATCTTCCCATAACAACTAGACAGAAGCATTCTCAGAAACTTATTTGAGATGTGTGTACTCAACTAAGAGAATTGAACCACCGTTTTGAAGGAGCAGTTTTGAAACACTCTTTTTCTGGAATCTGCAAGTGGATATTTGGCTAGCTTTGGGGATTTCGCTGGAAGCGGGAATACATATAAAAAGCACACAGCAGCGTTCTGAGAAACTGCTTTCTGATGTTTGCATTCAAGTCAAAAGTTGAACACTCCCTTTCATAGAGCAGTCTTGAAACACCCCTTTTGTAGTATCTGGAACTGGACTTTTGGAGCGATTTCAGGGCTAAGGTGAAAAAGGAAATATCTTCCCATAAAAACTGGACAGAAGCATTCTCAGAAACTTGTTTATGCTGTATCTACTCAACTAACAAAGTTGAACCTTTCTTTTGATAGAGCAGTTTTGAAATGCTCTTTTTGTGGAATCTGCAAGTGGATATTTGGCTAGTTTTGAGGATTTCGTTGGAAGCGGGAATTCATACAAATTGCAGACTGCAGCGTTCTGAGAAACATCTTTGTGATGTTTGTATTCAGGACACAGAGTTGAACATTCCCTATCATAGAGGAGGTTGGAATCACTCCTTTTGTAGTATCTGGAAGTGGACATTTGGAGCGCTTTCAGGCCTATGTTGAAAAAGGAAATATCTTCCCATAACAAGTAGACACAAGCATTCTCAGAAACTTGTTTGTGATGTGTGCCCTCTACTGACAGAGTTGAACCTTTCTTTTCATAGAGCAGTTTTGAAACACTCTTTTTGTAGAATCTGCAAGAGGATATTTGCATAGCTTTGAGGATTTCGTGGGAAACGGGATTGTCTTCAGGTAAAATCTAGACAGAAGCATTCTCAGAAACTTCTTTGGGATGTTTGCATTCAAGTCACACAGTAGAACATTCCCTTTGGTAGAGCAGGTTTGAAACACTCTTTTTGTAGTATCTGGAAGTGGACATTTGGAGCGCTTTCAGGTCTATGTTGGAAAGGGAAATATCTTCCCTTAACAACTAGGCAGAAGCATTCTCAGAAACTTATTTGAGATGTGTGTACTCAACTAAGAGAATTGAACCACCCTTTTGAAGGAGCAGTTTTGAAACACTCTTTTTCTGGAATCTGCAAGAGTATATTTGCCTAGCTTTGAGGATTTCGTTGGAAACGGGATTGTCTTCAGATCAAATATAGACAGAAGCATTCTCAGAAACTTCTTTGGGATGTTTGCATTCAAGTCACAGAGTAGAACATTCCCTTTGGTAGAGCAGGTTTGAAACACTCTTTTTTTAGTATATGGAAGTGGACATTTGGAGCGCTTTCAGGCCTACGTTGGAAAAGGAAATATCTTCCCATAACAACTAGACAGAAGCATTCTCAGAAACTAGTTTCTGATATGTGTCCTCAACTAACACAGTTGAACTTTTCTTTAGACAGAACAGTTTTGAAACACTCTTTTTGTGGAATCTGCAAGTGGATAATTGGCTAGATTTGAGGATTTCGTTGGAAACGGGATTACATATAAAAAACAGTCAGCAGCATTCTCAGAAAGTTCTTTGTGATGATTGCATTCAAGTCACAGAATTGAACATTCCCTTTCACAGAGCAGGTTTGAAACACTCTTTTTGTAGTGTGTGTAAGTGGACATTTGGAGCGCTTTCCGGCCTAAGGTGAAAAAGGAAATATCTTCCCATAAAAACTAGACAGAAGCATCCTCAGAAACTTACTCGTGATGTGTGTCCTCAACTAAAGGAGTAGAACCTTTCTATTCATAGAGAAGTTTTGAAACGCTCTTTTTGTGGAATCTCCAAGTGGATATTTGGCTAGTTTTGAGGATTTCGTTGGAAGCGGGAATTCATCCAAATTGCAGACTGCAGCGTTCTGAGAAACTGCTTTCTGATGTTTGCATTCAAGTCAAAAGTTGAACACTCCCTTTCATAGAGCAGTCCTGAAACACTCCTTTTGTAGTATCTGGAACTGGACTTTTGGAGCGCTTTCAGGGCTAAGGTGAAAAAGGAAATATCTTCCCATAAAAACTGGACAGAAGCATTCTCAGAAACTTGTTTATGCTGTATCTACTCAACTAACAAAGTTGAACCTTTCTTTTGATAGAGCAGTTTTGAAATGCTCTTTTTGTGGAATCTGCAAGTGGATATTTGGCTAGTTTTGAGGATTTCGTTGGAAGCGGGAATTCATACAAATTGCAGACTGCAGCGTTCTGAGAAACATCTTTGTGATGTTTGTATTCAGGACAGAGAGTTGAACATTCCCTATCATAGAGCAGGTTGGAATCACTCCTTTTGTAGTATCTGGAAGTGGACATTTGGAGCGCTTTCTGGCCTATGTTGAAAAAGGAAATATCTTCCCATAACAACTAGACACAAGCATTCTCAGAAACTTGTTTGTGATGTGTGCCCTCTACTGACAGAGTTGAACCTTTCTTTTCATAGAGCAGTTTTGAAACACTCTTTTTGTAGAATCTGCAAGAGGATATTTGCATAGCTTTGAGGATTTCGTGGGAAACGGGATTGTCTTCAGGTAAAATCTAGACAGAAGCATTCTCAGAAACTTCTTTGGGATGTTTGCATTCAAGTCACAGAGTAGAACATTCCCTTTGGTAGAGTAGGTTTGAAACACTCTTTTTGTAGTATCTGGAAGTGGACATTTGGAGCACTTTCAGGCCCATGTTGGAAAGGGAAATATCTTCCCGTAACAACTAGGCAGAAGCATTCTCTGAAACTTTTTTGAGATGTGTGTACGCAACTAAGAGAATTGAACCACCGTTTTGAAGGAGCAGTTTTGAAACACTCTTTTTCTGGAATCTGCTAGACGATATTTGCCTAGCCTTGAGGATTTCGTTGGAAACGGGATTGTCTTCAGATAAAATCTAGACAGAAGCATTCTCAGAAACTTCTTTGGGATGTTTGCATTCAAGTCACAGAGTAGAACATTCCCTTTGGTAGAGCAGGTTTGAAACACTCTTTTTTTAGTATATGGAAGTGGACATTTGGAGCGCTTTCAGGCCTACGTTGGAAAAGGAAATATCTTCCCATAACAACTAGACAGAAGCATTCTCAGAAACTAGTTTCTGATGTGTGTCCTCAACTAACACAGTTGAACATTTCTTTAGACAGAACAGTTTTGAAACACTCTTTTTGTGGAATCTGCAAGTGGCTATTTGGCTAGATTTGAGGATTTCGTTGGAAACGGGATTACATATAAAAAGCAGTCAGCAGCATTCTCAGAAAGTTCTTTGTGATGATTGCATTCAAGTCACAGAATTGAACATTCCCTTTCACAGAGCAGGTTTGAAACACTCTTTTTGTAGTGTGTGTAAGTGGACATTTGGAGCACTTACCGGCCTAAGGTGAAAAAGGAAATATCTTCCCATAAAAACTAGACAGAAGCATTCTCAGAAACTTACTCGTGATGTGTGTCCTCAACTAAAGGAGTAGAACCTTTCTTTTCATAGAGAAGTTTTGAAACGCTCTTTTTGTGGAATCTGCAAGTGGATATTTGGCTAGTTTTGAGGATTTCGTTGGAAGCGGGAATTCATACAAATTGCAGACTGCAAGCATTCTCAGTAAACTTGTTTATGCTGTATCTACTCAACTAACAAAGTTGAACCTTTCTTTTGATAGAGCAGTTTTGAAATGCTCTTTTTGTGGAATCTGCAAGTGGATATTTGGCTAGTTTTGAGGATTTCGTTGGAAGCGGGAATTCATACAAATTGCAGACTGCAGCATTCTCAGAAACTTATTTGAGATGTGTGTACTCAACTAAGAGAATTGAACCACCGTTTTGAAGGAGCAGTTTTGAAACACTCTTTTTCTGGAATCTGCAAGTGGATATTTGGCTAGCTTTGGGGATTTCGCTGGAAGCGGGAATACATATAAAAAGCACACAGCAGCGTTCTGAGAAACTGCTTTCTGATGTTTGCATTCAAGTCAAAAGTTGAACACTCCCTTTCATAGAGCAGTCTTGAAACACCCCTTTTGTAGTATCTGGAACTGGACTTTTGGAGCGATTTCAGGGCTAAGGTGAAAAAGGAAATATCTTCCCATAAAAACTGGACAGAAGCATTCTCAGAAACTTGTTTATGCTGTATCTACTCAACTAACAAAGTTGAACCTTTCTTTTGATAGAGCAGTTTTGAAATGGTCTTTTTGTGGAATCTGCAAGTGGATATTTGGCTAGTTTTGAGGATTTCGTTGGAAGCGGGAATTCATACAAATTGCAGACTGCAGCGTTCTGAGAAACATCTTTGTGATGTTTGTATTCAGGACAGAGAGTTGAACATTCCCTATCATAGAGCAGGTTGGAATCACTCCTTTTGTAGTATCTGGAAGTGGACATTTGGAGCGCTTTCAGGCCTATGTTGAAAAAGGAAATATCTTCCCATAGCAACTAGACACAAGCATTCTCAGAAACTTGTTTGTGATGTGTGCCCTCTACTGACAGAGTTGAACCTTTCTTTTCATAGAGCAGTTTTGAAACACTCTTTTTGTAGAATCTGCAAGAGGATATTTGCATAGCTTTGAGGATTTCGTGGGAAACGGGATTGTCTTCAGGTAAAATCTAGACAGAAGCATTCTCAGAAACTTCTTTGGGATGTTTGCATTCAAATCACAGAGTAGAACATTCCCTTTGGTAGAGCAGGTTTGAAACACTCTTTTTGTAGTATCTGGAAGTGGACATTTGGAGCGCTTTCAGGCCCATGTTGAAAAGGGAAATATCTTCCCGTAACAACTAGGCAGAAGCATTCTCAGAAGCTTATTTGAGATGTGTGTACTCAACTAAGAGAATTGAACCACCGTTTTGAAGGAGCAGTTTTGAAACCCTCTTTTTCTGGAATCTGCAAGAGTATATTTGCCTAGCCTTCAGGATTTCGTTGGAAACGGGATTGTCTTCAGATAAAATCTAGACAGAAGCATTCTCAGAAACTTCTTTGGGATGTTTGCATTCAAGTCACAGAGTAGAACATTCCCTTTGGTAGAGCAGGTTTGAAACACTCTTTTTGTAGTATCTGGAAGTGGACATTTGGAGCGCTTTCAGGCCTACGTTGGAAAAGGAAATATCTTCCCATAACAACTAGACAGAAGCATTCTCAGAAACTAGTTTCTGATGTGTGTCCTCAACTAACACAGTTGAACATTTCTTTAGACAGAACAGTTTTGAAACTCTCTTTTTGTGGAATCTGCAAGTGGCTATTTGGCTAGATTTGAGGATTTCGTTGGAAACGGGATTACAAATAAAAAGCAGACAGCAGCATTCTCAGAACGTTCTTTGTGATGATTGCATTCAAGTCACAGAATTGAACATTCCCTTTCACAGAGCAGGTTTGAAACACTCTTTTTGTAGTGTGTGTAAGTGGACATTTGGAGCACTTTCCGGCCTAAGGTGAAAAAGGAAATATCTTCCCATAAAAACTAGACAGAAGCATTCTCAGAAACTTACTCGTGATGTGTGTCCTCAACTAAAGGAGTAGAACCTTTCTTTTCATAGAGAAGTTTTGAAACGCTCTTTTTGTGGAATCTGCAAGTGGATATTTGGCTAGTTTGGAGGATTTCGTTGGAAGCGGGAATTCATACAAATTGCAGACTGCAGCGTTCTGAGAAACATCTTTGTGATGTTTGTATTCAGGACACAGAGTTGAACATTCCCTATCATAGAGCAGGTTTGAATCACTCCTTTTGTAGTATCTGGAAGTGGACATTTGGAGCGCTTTCAGGCCTATGTTGGAAAAGGAAATATCTTCCCATAACAACTAGACAGAAGCATTCTCAGAAACTTATTTGAGATGTGTGTACTCAACTAAGAGAATTGAACCACCGTTTTGAAGGAGCAGTTTTGAAACACTCTTTTTCTGGAATCTGCAAGTGGATATTTGGCTAGCTTTGGGGATTTCGCTGGAAGCGGGAATACATATAAAAAGCCCACAGCAGCGTTCTGAGAAACTGCTTTCTGATGTTTGCATTCAAGTCAAAAGTTGAACACTCCCTTTCTTAGTGCAGTCCTGAAACACTCCTTTTGTAGTATCTGGAACTGGACTTTTGGAGCGCTTTCTGGCCTATGTTGAAAAAGGAAATATCTTCCCATAACAACTAGACACAAGCATTCTCAGAAACTTGTTTGTGATGTGTGCCCTCTACTGACAGAGTTGAACCTTTCTTTTGATAGAGCAGTTTTGAAATGCTCTTTTTGTGGAATCTGCAAGTGGATATTTGGCTAGTTTTGAGGATTTCGTTGGAAGCGGGAATTCATACAAATTGCAGACTGCAGCGTTCTGAGAAACATCTTTGTGATGTTTGTATTCAGGACACAGAGTTGAACATTCCCTATCATAGAGCAGGTTGGAATCACTCCTTTTGTAGTATCTGGAAGTGGACATTTGGAGCGCTTTCTGGCCTATGTTGAAAAAGGAAATATCTTCCCATAACAACTAGACACAAGCATTCTCAGAAACTTGTTTGTGATGTGTGCCCTCTACTGACAGAGTTGAACCTTTCTTTTCATAGAGCAGTTTTGAAACACTCTTTTTGTAGAATCTGCAAGAGGATATTTGCATAGCTTTGAGGATTTCGTGGGAAACGGGATTGTCTTCAGGTAAAATCTAGACAGAAGCATTCTCAGAAACTCCTTTGGGATGTTTGCATTCAAGTCACAGAGTAGAACATTCCCTTTGGTAGAGCAGGTTTGAAACACTCTTTTTTTAGTATATGGAAGTGGACATTTGGAGCGCTTTCAGGCCTACGTTGGAAAAGGAAATATCTTCCCATAACAACTAGACAGAAGCATTCTCAGAAACTAGTTTCTGATGTGTGTCCTCAACTAACACAGTTGAACTTTTCTTTAGACAGAACAGTTTTGAAACACTCTTTTTGTGGAATCTGCAAGTGGATATTTGGCTAGATTTGAGGATTTCGTTGGAAACGGGATTACATATAAAAAGCAGACAGCAGCATTCTCAGAAAGTTCTTTGTGATGATTGCATTCAAGTCACAGAATTGAACATTCCCTTTCACAGAGCAGGTTTGAAACACTCTTTTTGTAGTGTGTGTAAGTGGACATTTGGAGCACTTTCCGGCCTAAGGTGAAAAAGGAAATATCTTCCCATAAAAACTAGACAGAAGCATTCTCAGAAACTTACTCGTGATGTGTGTCCTCAACTAAAGGAGCAGAACCTTTCTTTTCATAGAGAAGTTTTGAAACGCTCTTTTTGTGGAATCTGCAAGTGGATATTTGGCTAGTTTTGAGGATTTCGTTGGAAGCGGGAATTCATACAAATTGCAGACTGCAGCGTTCTGAGAAACATCTTTGTGATGTTTGTATTCAGGACATAGAGTTGAACATTCCCTATCATAGAGCAGGTTGGAATCACTCCTTTTGTAGTATCTGGAAGTGGACATTTGGAGCGCTTTCAGGCCTATGTTGAAAAAGGAAATATCTTCCCATAACAACTAGACACAAGCATTCTCAGAAACTTGTTTGTGATGTGTGCCCTCTACTGACAGAGTTGAACCTTTCTTTTCATAGAGCAGTTTTGAAACACTCTTTTTGTAGAATCTGCAAGAGGATATTTGCATAGCTTTGAGGATTTCGTGGGAAACGGGATTGTCTTCAGGTAAAATCTAGACAGAAGCATTCTCAGAAAATTCCTCGGGATGTTTGCATTCAAGTCACAGAGTAGAACATTCCCTTTGGTAGAGCAGGTTTGAAACACTCTTTTTGTAGTATCTGGAAGTGGATATTTGGAGCGCTTTCAGGCCTATGTTGGAAAGGGAAATATCTTCCCGTAACAACTAGGCAGAAGCATTCTCAGAAACTTATTTGAGATGTGTGTACTCAACTAAGAGAATTGAACCACCGTTTTGAAGGAGCAGTTTTGAAACACTCTTTTTCTGCAATCTGCAAGAGTATATTTGCCTAGCCTTGAGGATTTCGTTGGAAACGGGATTGTCTTCAGAGAAAATCTAGACAGAAGCATTCTCAGAAACTTCTTTGGGATGCTTGCATTCAAGTCACAGAGTAGAACATTCCCTTTGGTAGAGCAGGTTTGAAACACTCTTTTTGTAGTATCTGGAAGTGGACATTTGGAGCGCTTTCAGGCCTACGTTGGAAAAGGAAATATCTTCCCATAACAACTAGACAGAAGCATTCTCAGAAACTAGTTTCTGATGTGTGTCCTCAACTAACACAGTTGAACATTTCTTTAGACAGAACAGTTTTGAAACACTCTTTTTGTGGAATCTGCAAGTGGCTATTTGGCTAGATTTGAGGATTTCGTTGGAAACGGGATTACATATAAAAAGCAGCCAGCAGCATTCTCAGAAAGTTCTTTGTGATGATTGCATTCAAGTCACAGAATTGAACATTCCCTTTCACAGAGCAGGTTTGAAACACTCTTTTTGTAGTGTGTGTAAGTGGACATTTGGAGCACTTACCGGCCTAAGGTGAAAAAGGAAATAATCTTCCCATAAAAACTAGACAGAAGCATTCTCAGAAACTTACTCGTGATGTGTGTCCTCAACTAAAGGAGTAGAACCTTTCTTTTCATAGAGAAGTTTTGAAACGCTCTTTTTGTGGAATCTGCAAGTGGATATTTGGCTAGTTTTGAGGATTTCGTTGGAAGCGGGAATTCATACAAATTGCAGACTGCAGCGTTCTGAGAAACATCTTTGTGATGTTTGTATTCAGGACACAGAGATGAACATTCCCTATCATAGAGCAGGTTGGAATCACTCCTTTTGTAGTATCTGGAAGTGGACATTTGGAGCGCTTTCAGGCCTATGTTGAAAAAGGAAATATCTTCCAATAACAACTAGACACAAGCATTCTCAGAAACTTATTTGAGATGTGTGTACTCAACTAAGAGAATTGAACCACCGTTTTGAAGGAGCAGTTTTGAAACACTCTTTTTCTGGAATCTGCAAGTGGATATTTGGCTAGCTTTGGGGATTTCGCTGGAGGCGGGAATACATATAAAAAGCACACAGCAGCGTTCTGAGAAACTGCTTTCTGATGTTTGCATTCAAGTCAAAAGTTGAACACTCCCTTTCATAGAGCAGTCCTGAAACACTCCTTTTGTAGTATCTGGAACTGGACTTTTGGAGCGCTTTCAGGGCTAAGGTGAAAAAGGAAATATCTTCCCATAAAAACTGGACAGAAGCATTCTCAGAAACTTGTTTATGCTGTATCTACTCAACTAACAAAGTTGAACCTTTCTTTTGATAGAGCAGTTTTGAAATGCTCTTTTTGTGGAATCTGCAAGTGGATATTTGGCTAGTTTTGAGGATTTCGTTGGAAGCGGGAATTCATACAAACTGCAGACTGCAGCGTTCTGAGAAACATCTTTGTGATGTTTGTATTCAGGACAGAGAGTTGAACATTCCCTATCATAGAGCAGGTTGGAATCACTCCTTTTGTAGTATCTGGAAGTGGACATTTGGAGCGCTTTCAGGCCTATGTTGAAAAAGGAAATATCTTCCCATAACAACTAGACACAAGCATTCTCAGAAACTTGTTTGTGATGTGTGCCCTCTACTGACAGAGTTGAACCTTTCTTTTCATAGAGCAGTTTTGAAACACTCTTTTTGTAGAATCTGCAAGAGGATATTTGCATAGCTTTGAGGATTTCGTGGGAAACGGGATTGTCTTCAGGTAAAATCTAGACAGAAGCATTCTCAGAAACTTCTTTGGGATGTTTGCATTCAAGTCACAGAGTAGAACATTCCCTTTGGTAGAGCAGGTTTGAAACACTCTTTTTATAGTATCTGGAAGTGGACATTTGGAGCGCTTTCAAGCCTATGTTGGAAAGGGAAATATCTTCCCGTAACAACTAGGCAGAAGCATTCTCAGAAACTTATTTGAGATGTGTGTACTCAACTAAGAGAATTGAACCACCGTTTTGAAGGAGCAGTTTTGAAACACTCTTTTTCTGGAATCTGCAAGAGTATATTTGCCTAGCCTTGAGGATTTCGTTGGAAACGGGATTGTCTTCAGAGAAAATCTAGACAGAAGCATTCTCAGAAACTTCTTTGGGATGTTTGCATTCAAGTCACAGAGTAGAACATTCCCTTTGGTAGAGCAGGTTTGAAACACTCTTTTTTTAGTATATGGAAGTGGACATTTGGAGCGCTTTCAGGCCTACGTTGGAAAAGGAAATATCTTCCCATAACAACTAGACAGAAGCATTCTCAGAAACTAGTTTCTGATGTGTGTCCTCAACTAACACAGTTGAACATTTCTTTAGACAGAACAGTTTTGAAACACTCTTTTTGTGGAATCTGCAAGAGGCTATTTGGCTAGATTTGAGGATTTCGTTGGAAACGGGATTACATATAAAAAGCAGTCAGCAGCATTCTCAGAAAGTTCTTTGTGATGATTGCATTCAAGTCACAGAATTGAACATTCCCTTTCACAGAGCAGGTTTGAAACCCTCTTTTTGTAGTGTGTGTAAGTGGACATTTGGAGCGCTTTCCGGCCTAAGGTGAAAAAGGAAATATCTTCCCATAAAAACTAGACAGAAGCATTCTCAGAAACTTACTCGTGATGTGTGTCCTCAACTAAAGGAGTAGAACATTTCTATTCATAGAGAAGTTTTGAAACGCTCTTTTTGTGGAATCTCCAAGTGGATATTTGGCTAGTTTTGAGGATTTCGTTGGAAGCGGGAATTCATACAAATTGCAGACTGCAGCGTTCTGAGAAACATCTTTGTGATGTTTGTATTCAGGACACAGAGATGAACATTCCCTATCATAGAGCAGGTTGGAATCACTCCTTTTGTAGTATCTGGAAGTGGACATTTGGAGCGCTTTCAGGCCTATGTTGAAAAAGGAAATATCTTCCCATAACAACTAGACACAAGCATTCTCAGAAACTTATTTGAGATGTGTGTACTCAACTAAGAGAATTGAACCACCGTTTTGAAGGAGCAGTTTTGAAACTCTCTTTTTCTGGAATCTGCAAGTGGATATTTGGCTAGCTTTGGGGATTTCGCTGGAAGCGGGAATACATATAAAAAGCACACAGCAGCGTTCTGAGAAACTGCTTTCTGATGTTTGCATTCAAGTCAAAAGTTGAACACTCCCTTTCATAGAGCAGTCTTGAAACACCCCTTTTGTAGTATCTGGAACTGGACTTTTGGAGCGATTTCAGGGCTAAGGTGAAAAAGGAAATATCTTCCCATAAAAACTGGACAGAAGCATTCTCAGAAACTTGTTTATGCTGTATCTACTCAACTAACAAAGTTGAACCTTTCTTTTGATAGAGCAGTTTTGAAATGGTCTTTTTGTGGAATCTGCAAGTGGATATTTGGCTAGTTTTGAGGATTTCGTTGGAAGCGGGAATTCATACAAATTGCAGACTGCAGCGTTCTGAGAAACATCTTTGTGATGTTTGTATTCAGGACAGAGAGTTGAACATTCCCTATCATAGAGCAGGTTGGAATCACTCCTTTTGTAGTATCTGGAAGTGGACATTTGGAGCGCTTTCAGGCCTATGTTGAAAAAGGAAATATCTTCCCATAACAACTAGACACAAGCATTCTCAGAAACTTGTTTGTGATGTGTGCCCTCTAATGACAGAGTTGAACCTTTCTTTTCATAGAGCAGTTTTGAAACACTCTTTTTGTAGAATCTGCAAGAGGATATTTGCATAGCTTTGAGGATTTCGTGGGAAACGGGATTGTACTTCAGGTAAAATCTAGACAGAAGCATTCTCAGAAACTTCTTTGGGATGTTTGCATTCAAGTCACAGAGCAGAACATTCCCTTTGGTAGAGCAGGTTTGAAACACTCTTTTTGTAGTATCTGGAAGTGGACATTTGGAGCGCTTTCAGGCCTATGTTGGAAAGGGAAATATCTTCCCGTAACAACTAGGCAGAAGCATTCTCAGAAAGTTATTTGAGATGTGTGTACTCAACTAAGAGAATTGAACCACCGTTTTGAAGGAGCAGTTTTGAAACACTCTTTTTCTGGAATCTGCAAGAGGATATTTGCCTAGCCTTGAGGATTTCGTTGGAAACGGGATTGTCTTCAGATCAAATCTAGACAGAAGCATTCTCAAAAACTTCTTTGGGATGTTTGCATTCAAGTCACAGAGTAGAACATTCCCTTTGGTAGAGCAGGTTTGAAACACTCTTTTTTTAGTATATGGAAGTGGACATTTGGAGCGCTTTCAGGCCTACGTTGGAAAAGGAAATATCTTCCCATAACAACTAGACAGAAGCATTCTCAGAAACTAGTTTCTGATGTGTGTCCTCAACTAACACAGTTGTACATTTCTTTAGACAGAACAGTTTTGAAACACTCTTTTTGTGGAATCTGCAAGTGGATATTGGGCTAGATTTGAGGATTTCGTTGGAAACGGGATTACATATAAAAAGCAGTCAGCAGCATTCTCAGAAAGTTCTTTGTGATGATTGCATTCAAGTCACAGAATTGAACATTCCCTTTCACAGAGCAGGTTTGAAACACTCTTTTTGTAGTGTGTGTAAGTGGACATTTGGAGCGCTTTCCGGCCTAAGGTGAAAAAGGACATATCTTACCATAAAAACCAGACAGAAGCATTCTCAGAAACTTACTCGTGATGTGTGTCCTCAACTAAAGGAGTAGAACCTTTCTTTTCATAGAGAAGTTTTGAAACGCTCTTTTTGTGGAATCTGCAAGTGGATATTTGGCTAGTTTGGAGGATTTCGTTGGAAGCGGGAATTCATACAAATTGCAGACTGCAGCGTTCTGAGAAACATCTTTGTGATGTTTGTATTCAGGACACAGAGTTGAACATTCCCTATCATAGAGCAGGTTTGAATCACTCCTTTTGTAGTATCTGGAAGTGGACATTTGGAGCGCTTTCAGGCCTATGTTGGAAAAGGAAATATCTTCCCATAACAACTAGACAGAAGCATTCTCAGAAACTTATTTGAGATGTGTGTACTCAACTAAGAGAATTGAACCACCGTTTTGAAGGAGCAGTTTTGAAACACTCTTTTTCTGGAATCTGCAAGTGGATATTTGGCTAGCTTTGGGGATTTCGCTGGAAGCGGGAATACATATAAAAAGCACACAGCAGCGTTCTGAGAAACTGCTTTCTGATGTTTGCATTCAAGTCAAAAGTTGAACACTCCCTTTCATAGAGCAGTCTTGAAACACCCCTTTTGTAGTATCTGGAACTGGACTTTTGGAGCGATTTCAGGGCTAAGGTGAAAAAGGAAATATCTTCCCATAAAAACTGGACAGAAGCATTCTCAGAAACTTGTTTATGCTGTATCTACTCAACTAACAAAGTTGAACCTTTCTTTTGATAGAGCAGTTTTGAAATGGTCTTTTTGTGGAATCTGCAAGTGGATATTTGGCTAGTTTTGAGGATTTCGTTGGAAGCGGGAATTCATACAAATTGCAGACTGCAGCGTTATGAGAAACATCTTTGTGATGTTTGTATTCAGGACACAGAGTTGAACATTCCCTATCATAGAGCAGGTTGGAATCACTCCTTTTGTAGTATCTGGAAGTGGACATTTGGAGCGCTTTCAGGCCTATTTTGGACAGGGAAATATCTTCCCATAACAACTAGACACAAGCATTCTCAGAAACTTGTTTGTGATGTGTGCCCTCTGCTGACAGAGTTGAACCTTTCTTTTCATAGAGCAGTTTTGAAACACTCTTTTTGTAGAATCTGCAAGAGGATATTTGCATAGCTTTGAGGATTTCGTGGGAAACGGGATTGTCTTCAGGTAAAATCTAGACAGAAGCATTCTCAGAAACTTCTTTGGGATGTTTGCATTCAAGTCACAGAGTAGAACATTCCCTTTGGTAGAGCAGGTTTGAAACACTCTTTTTGTAGTATCTGAAAGTGGACATTTGGAGCGCTTTCAGGCCTATGTTGGAAAGGGAAATATCTTCCGGTAACAACTAGGCAGAAGCATTCTCAGAAACTTATTTGAGATGTGTGTACTCAACTAAGAGAATTGAACCACCGTTTTGAAGGAGCAGTTTTGAAACACTCTTTTTCTGGAATCTGCAAGAGGATATTTGCCTAGCTTTGAGGATTTCGTTGGAAACGGGATTGTGTTCAGATCAAATCTAGACAGAAGCATTCTCAGAAACTTCTTTGGGATGCTTGCATTCAAGTCACAGAGTAGAACATTCCCTTTGGTAGAGCAGGTTTGAAACACTCTTTTTGTAGTATCTGGAAGTGGACATTTGGAGCGCTTTCAGGCCTACGTTGGAAAAGGAAATATCTTCCCATAACAACTAGACAGAAGCATTCTCAGAAACTAGTTTCTGATGTGTGTCCTCAACTAACACAAGTTGAACATTTCTTTAGACAGAACAGTTTTGAAACACTCTTTTTGTGGAATCTGCAAGTGGCTATTTGGCTAGATTTGAGGATTTCGTTGGAAACGGGATTACATATAAAAAGCAGTCAGCAGCATTCTCAGAACGTTCTTTGTGATGATTGCATTCAAGTCACAGAATTGAACATTCCCTTTCACAGAGCAGTTTTGAAACACTCTTTTTGTAGTGTGTGTAAGTGGACATTTGGAGCACTTTCCGGCCTAAGGTGAAAAAGGAAATATCTTCCCATAAAAACTAGACAGAAGCACTCTCAGAAACTTACTCGTGATGTGTGTCCTCAACTAAAGGAGTAGAACCTTTCTTTTCATAGAGAAGTTTTGAAACGCTCTTTTTGTGGAATCTGCAAGTGGATATTTGGCTAGTTTTGAGGATTTCGTTGGAAGCGGGAATTCATACAAATTGCAGACTGCAGCGTTCTGAGAAACATCTTTGTGATGTTTGTATTCAGGACACAGAGTTGAACATTCCCTATCATAGAGCAGGTTGGAATCACTCCTTTTGTAGTATCTGGAAGTGGACATTTGGAGCGCTTTCAGGCCTATGTTGGAAAAGGAAATATCTTCCCATAACAACTAGACAGAAGCATTCTCAGAAACTTATTTGAGATGTGTGTACTCAACTAAGAGAATTGAACCACCGTTTTGAAGGAGCAGTTTTGAAACACTCTTTTTCTGGAATCTGCAAGTGGATATTTGGCTAGCTTTGGGGATTTCGCTGGAAGCGGGAATACATATAAAAAGCACACAGCAGCGTTCTGAGAAACTGCTTTCTGATGTTTGCATTCAAGTCAAAAGTTGAACACTCCCTTTCATAGAGCAGTCCTGAAACACCCCTTTTGTAGTATCTGGAACTGGACTTTTGGAGCGCTTTCAGGGCTAAGGTGAAAAAGGAAATATCTTCCCATAAAAACTGGACAGAAGCATTCTCAGAAACTTGTTTATGCTGTATCTACTCAACTAACAAAGTTGAACCTTTCTTTTGATAGAGCAGTTTTGAAATGCTCTTTTTGTGGAATCTGCAAGTGGATATTTGGCTAGTTTTGAGGATTTCGTTGGAAGCGGGAATTCATACAAATTGCAGACTGCAGCGTTCTGAGAAACATCTTTGTGATGTTTGTATTCAGGACAGAGAGTTGAACATTCCCTATCATAGAGCAGGTTGGAATCACTCCTTTTGTAGTATCTGGAAGTGGACATTTGGAGCGCTTTCTGGCCTATCTTGAAAAAGGAAATATCTTCCCATAACAGCTAGACACAAGCATTCTCAGAAACTTGTTTGTGATGTGTGCCCTCTACTGACAGAGTTGAACCTTTCTTTTCATAGAGCAGTTTTGAAACACTCTTTTTGTAGAATCTGCAAGAGGATATTTGCATAGCTTTGAGGATTTCGTGGGAAACGGGATTGTCTTCAGGTAAAATCTAGACAGAAGCATTCTCAGAAACTTCTTTGGGATGTTTGCATTCAAGTCACAGAGCAGAACATTCCCTTTGGTAGAGCAGGCTTGAAACACTCTTTTTGTAGTATCTGGAAGTGGACATTTGGAGCGCTTTCAGGCCTATGTTGGAAAGGGAAATATCTTCCCGTAACAACTAGGCAGAAGCATTCTCAGAAACTTATTTGAGATGTGTGTACTCAACTAAGAGAATTGAACCACCGTTTTGAAGGAGCAGTTTTGAAACACTCTTTTTCTGGAATCTGCAAGAGTATATTTGCCTAGCCTTGAGGATTTCGTTGGAAACGGGATTGTCTTCAGATAAAATCTAGACAGAAGCATTCTCAGAAACTTCTTTGGGATGTTTGCATTCAAGTCACAGAGTAGAACATTCCCTTTGGTAGAGCAGGTTTGAAACACTCTTTTTTTAGTATATGGAAGTGGACATTTGGAGCGCTTTCAGGCCTACGTTGGAAAAGGAAATATCTTCCCATAACAACTAGACAGAAGCATTCTCAGAAACTAGTTTCTGATGTGTGTCCTCAACTAACACAGTTGAACATTTCTTTAGACAGAACAGTTTTGAAACTCTCTTTTTGTGGAATCTGCAAGTGTCTATTTGGCTAGATTTGAGGATTTCGTTGGAAACGGGATTACATATAAAAAGCAGACAGCAGCATTCTCAGAAAGTTCTTTGTGATGATTGCATTCAAGTCACAGAATTGAACATTCCCTTTCACAGAGCAGGTTTGAAACACTCTTTTTGTAGTGTGTGTAAGTGGACATTTGGAGCGCTTTCCGGCCTAAGGTGAAAAAGGAAATATCTTCCCATAGAAACTAGACAGAAGCATTCTCAGAAACTTACTCGTGATGTGTGTCCTCAACTAAAGGAGTAGAACCTTTCTTTTCATAGAGAAGTTTTGAAACGCTCTTTTTGTGGAATCTGCAAGTGGATATTTGGCTAGTTTGGAGGATTTCGTTGGAAGCGGGAATTCATACAAATTGCAGACTGCAGCGTTCTGAGAAACATCTTTGTGATGTTTGTATTCAGGACACAGAGTTGAACATTCCCTATCATAGAACAGGTTGTAATCACTCCTTTTGTAGTATCTGGAAGTGGACATTTGGAACGCTTTCAGGCCTATGTTGAAAAAGGATATATCTTCCCATAACAACTAGACACAAGCATTCCCAGAAACTTATTTGAGATGTGTGTACTCAACTAAGAGAATTGAACCACCGTTTTGAAGGAGCAGTTTGGAAACACTCTTTTTCTGGAATCTGCAAGTGGATATTTGGCTAGCTTTGGGGATTTCGCTGGAAGCGGGAATACATATAAAAAGCACACAGCAGCGTTCTGAGAAACTGCTTTCTGATGTTTGCATTCAAGTCAAAAGTTGAACACTCCCTTTCATAGAGCAGTCCTGAAACACCCCTTTTGTAGTATCTGGAACTGGACTTTTGGAGCGCTTTCAGGGCTAAGGTGAAAAAGGAAATATCTTCCCATAAAAACTGGACAGAAGCATTCTCAGAAACTTGTTTATGCTGTATCTACTCAACTAACAAAGTTGAACCTTTCTTTTGATAGAGCAGTTTTGAAATGCTCTTTTTGTGGAATCTGCAAGTGGATATTTGGCTAGTTTTGAGGATTTCGCTGGAAGCGGGAATTCATACAAATTGCAGACTGCAGCGTTCTGAGAAACATCTTTGTGATGTTTGTATTCAGGACAGAGAGTTGAACATTCCCTATCATAGAGCAGGTTGGAATCACTCCTTTTGTAGTATCTGGAAGTGGACATTTGGAGCGCTTTCAGGCCTATGTTGAAAAAGGAAATATCTTCCCATAACAACTAGACACAAGCATTCTCAGAAACTTGTTTGTGATGTGTGCCCTCTACTGACAGAGTTGAACCTTTCTTTTCATAGAGCAGTTTTGAAACACTCTTTTTGTAGAATCTGCAAGAGGATATTTGCATAGCTTTGAGGATTTCGTGGGAAACGGGATTGTCTTCAGGTAAAATCTAGACAGAAGCATTCTCAGAAACTTCTTTGGGATGTTTGCATTCAAGTCACAGAGTAGAACATTCCCTTTGGTAGAGCAGGTTTGAAACACTCTTTTTTTAGTATCTGGAAGTGGACATTTGGAGCGCTTTCAGGCCTATGTTGGAAAGGGAAATATCTTCCCGTAACAACTAGGCAGAAGCATTCTCAGAAACTTATTTGAGATGTGTGTACCCAACTAAGAGAACTGAACCACCGTTTTGAAGGAGCAGTTTTGAAACACTCTTTTTCTGGAATCTGCAAGAGTATATTTGCCTAGCCTTGAGGATTTCGTTGGAAACGGGATTGTCTTCAGATAAAATCTAGACAGAAGCATTCTCAGAAACTTCTTTGGGATGTTTGCATTCAAGTCACAGAGTAGAACATTCCCTTTGGTAGAGCAGGTTTGAAACACTCTTTTTTTAGTATATGGAAGTGGACATTTGGAGCGCTTTCAGGCCTACGTTGGAAAAGGAAATATCTTCCCATAACAACTAGACAGAAGCATTCTCAGAAACTAGTTTCTGATGTGTGTCCTCAACTAACACAGTTGTACATTTCTTTAGACAGAACAGTTTTGAAACACTCTTTTTGTGGAATCTGCAAGTGGATATTGGGCTAGATTTGAGGATTTCGTTGGAAACGGGATTACATATAAAAAGCAGACAGCAGCATTCTCAGAAAGTTCTTTGTGATGATTGCATTCAAGTCACAGAATTGAACATTCCCTTTCACAGAGGAGGTTTGAAACACTCTTTTTGTAGTGTGTGTAAGTGGACATTTGGAGCGCTTTCTGGCCTAAGGTGAAAAAGGACATATCTTCCCATAAAAACTAGACAGAAGCACTCTCAGAAACTTACTCGTGATGTGTGTCCTCAACTAAAGGAGTAGAACCTTTCTTTTCATAGAGAAGTTTTGAAACGCTCTTTTTGTGGAATCTGCAAGTGGATATTTGGCTAGTTTGGAGGATTTCGTTGGAAGCGGGAATTCATACAAATTGCAGACTGCAGCGTTCTGAGAAACATCTTTGTGATGTTTGTATTCAGGACACAGAGTTGAACGTTCCCTATCATAGAGCAGGTTTGAATCACTCCTTTTGTAGTATCTGGAAGTGGACATTTGGAGCGCTTTCCGGCCTCAGGTGAAAAAGGAAATATCTTCCCATAAAAACTAGACAGAAGCATTCTCAGAAACTTATTTGAGATGTGTGTACTCAACTAAGAGAATTGAACCACCGTTTTGAAGGAGCAGTTTTGAAACACTCTTTTTCTGGAATCTGCAAGTGGATATTTGGCTAGCTTTGGGGATTTCGCTGGAAGCGGGAATACATATAAAAAGCACACAGCAGCGTTCTGAGAAACTGCTTTCTGATGTTTGCATTCAAGTCAAAAGTTGAACACTCCCTTTCATAGAGCAGTCTTGAAACACCCCTTTTGTAGTATCTGGAACTGGACATTTGGAGCGCTTTCAGGGCTAAGGTGAAAAAGGAAATATCTTCCCATAAAAACTGGACAGAAGCATTCTCAGAAACTTGTTTATGCTGTATCTACTCAACTAACAAAGTTGAACCTTTCTTTTGATAGAGCAGTTTTGAAATGGTCTTTTTGTGGAATCTGCAAGTGGATATTTGGCTAGTTTTGAGGATTTCGTTGGAAGCGGGAATTCATACAAATTGCAGACTGCAGCGTTCTGAGAAACATCTTTGTGATGTTTGTATTCAGGACACAGAGTTGAACATTCCCTATCATAGAGCAGGTTTGAATCACTCCTTTTGTAGTATCTGGAAGTGGACATTTGGAGCGCTTTCAGGCCTATGTTGGAAAAGGAAATATCTTCCCATAACAACTAGACAGAAGCATTCCCAGAAACTTATTTGAGATGTGTGTACTCAACTAAGAGAATTGAACCACCGTTTTGAAGGAGCAGTTTGGAAACACTCTTTTTCTGGAATCTGCAAGTGGATATTTGGCTAGCTTTGGGGATTTCGCTGGAAGCGGGAATACATATAAAAAGCACACAGCAGCGTTCTGAGAAACTGCTTTCTGATGTTTGCATTCAAGTCAAAAGTTGAACACTCCCTTTCATAGAGCAGTCTTGAAACACCCCTTTTGTAGTATCTGGAACTGGAAATTTGGAGCGCTTTCAGGGCTAAGGTGAAAAAGGAAATATCTTCCCATAAAAACTGGACAGAAGCATTCTCAGAAACTTGTTTATGCTGTATCTACTCAACTAACAAAGTTGAACCTTTCTTTTGATAGAGCAGTTTTGAAATGCTCTTTTTGTGGAATCTGCAAGTGGATATTTGGCTAGTTTTGAGGATTTCGTTGGAAGCGGGAATTCATACAAATTGCAGACTGCAGCGTTCTGAGAAACATCTTTGTGATGTTTGTATTCAGGACACAGAGTTGAACATTCCCTATCATAGAGCAGGTTGGGATCACTCCTTTTGTAGTATCTGGAAGTGGACATTTGGAGCGCTTTCAGGCCTATGTTGAAAAAGGAAAAATCTTCCCATAACAACTAGACAGAAGCATTCTCAGAAACTTGTTGGTGATGTGTTTCCTCTACTGACAGAGTTGAACCTTTCTTTTCATAGAGCAGTTTCGAAACACTCTTTTTGTAGAATCTGCAAGAGGATATTTGCATAGCTCTGAGGATTTCGTGGGAAACGGGATTGTCTTCAGGTAAAATCTAGACAGAAGCATTCTCAGAAACTTCTTCGGGATGTTTGCATTCAAGTCACAGAGTAGAACATTCCCTTTGGTAGAGCAGGTTTGAAACACTCTTTTTGTCGTATCTGGAAGTGGACATTTGTTGCGCTTTCAGGTCTATGTTGGAAAGGGAAATATCTTCCCGTAACAACTAGGCAGAAGCATTCTCAGAAACTTATTTGAGATGTGTGTACTCAACTAAGAGAATTGAACCACCGTTTTGAAGGAGCAGTTTGGAAACACTCTTTTTCTGGAATCTGCAAGAGGATATTTGCCTAGCTTTGAGGATTTCGTTGGAAAAGGGATTGTCTTCAGATCAAATCTAGACAGAAGCATTCTCAGAAACTTCTTTGGGATGTTTGCATTCAAGTCACAGAGTAGAACATTCCCTTTGGTAGAGCAGGTTTGAAACACTCTTTTTGCAGTGTGTGTAAGTGGACATTTGGAGCGCTTTCAGGCCTACGTTGGAAAAGGAAATATCTTCCCATAACAACTAGACAGAAGCATTCTCAGAAACTAGTTTCTGATGTGTGTCCTCAACTAACACAGTTGAACATTTCTTTAGACAGAACAGTTTTGAAACACTCTTTTTGTGGAATCTGCAAGTGGATATTTGGCTAGATTTGAGGATTTCGTTGGAAACGGGATTACATATAAAAAGCAGACAGCAGCATTCTCAGAAACTTCTTTGTGATGATTGCATTCAAGTCACAGAATTGAACATTCCCTTTCACAGAGCAGGTTTGAAACACTCTTTTTGTAGTGTGTGTAAGTGGACAGTTGGAGCGCTTTCCGGCCTAAGGTGAACAAGGAAATATCTTCCCATAAAAACTAGACAGAAGCATTCTCAGAAACTTACTCGTGATGTGTGTCCTCAACTAAAGGAGTAGAACCTTTCTTTTCATAGAGAAGTTTTGAAACGCTCTTTTTGTGGAATCTGCAAGTGGATATTTGGCTAGTTTGGAGGATTTCGTTGGAAGCGGGAATTCATACAAATTGCAGACTGCAGCGTTCTGAGAAACGTCTTTGTGATGTTTGTATTCAGGACACAGAGTTGAACACTCCCTATCATAGAGAAGGCTGGAATCACTCCTTTTGTAGTATCTGGAAGTCGACATTTGGAGCGCTTTCAGGCCTATGTTGAAAAAGGAAATATCTTCCCATAACAACTAGGCAGAAGCATTCTCAGAAACTTGTTTGTGATGTGTGCCCTCTACTGACACAGTTGAACCTTTCTTTTCATAGAGCAGTTTCGAAACACTCTTTTTGTAGAATCTGCAAGAGGATATTTGCATAGCTTTGAGGATTTCGTGGGAAACGGGATTGTCTTCAGGTAAAATCTAGACAGAAGCATTCTCAGAAACTTCTTTGGGATGTTTGCATTCAAGTCACAGAGTAGAACATTCACTTTGGTAGAGCAGGTTTGAAACACTCTTTTTGTAGTGTGTGTAAGTGGACATTTGGAGCGCTTTCAGGCCTACGTTGGAAAAGGAAATATCTTCCCATAACAACTAGACAGAAGCATTCTCAGAAACTAGTTTCTGATGTGTGTCCTCAACTAACACAGTTGAACATTTCTTTAGACAGAACAGTTTTGAAACACTCTTTTTGTGGAATCTGCAAGTGGATATTTGGCTAGATTTGAGGATTTCGTTGGAAACGGGATTACATATAAAAAGCAGACAGCAGCATTCTCAGAAACTTCTTTGTGATGATTGCATTCAAGTCACAGAATTGAACATTCCCTTTCACAGAGCAGGTTTGAAACACTCTTTTTGTAGTGTGTGTAAGTGGACATTTGGAGCGCTTTCCGGCCTAAGGTGAAGAAGGAAATATCTTCCCATAAAAACTAGACAGAAGCATTCTCAGAAACTTACTCGTGATGTGTGTCCTCAACTAAAGGAGTAGAACCTTTCTTTTCATAGAGAAGTTTTGAAACGCTTTTTTTGTGGACTCTGCAAGTGGATATTTGGCTAGTTTTGAGGATTTCATTGGAAGCGGGAATTCATACAAATTGCAGACTGCAGCGTTCTGAGAAACTGCTTTCTGATGTTTGCATTCAAGTCAAAAGTTGAACACTCCCTTTCATAGAGCAGTCTTGAAACACCCCTTTTGTAGTATCTGGAACTGGACTTTTGGAGCGATTTCAGGGCTAAGGTGAAAAAGGAAATATCTTCCCATAAAAACTGGACAGAAGCATTCTCAGAAACTTGTTTATGCTGTATCTACTCAACTAACAAAGTTGAACCTTTCTTTTGATAGAGCAGTTTTGAAATGGTCTTTTTGTGGAATCTGCAAGTGGATATTTGGCTAGTTTTGAGGATTTCGTTGGAAGCGGGAATTCATACAAATTGCAGACTGCAGCGTTCTGAGAAACATCTTTGTGATGTTTGTATTCAGGACACAGAGTTGAACATTCCCTATCATAGAGCAGGTTTGAATCACTCCTTTTGTAGTATCTGGAAGTGGACATTTGGAGCGCTTTCAGGCCTATGTTGGAAAAGGAAATATCTTCCCATAACAACTAGACAGAAGCATTCTCAGAAACTTATTTGAGATGTGTGTACTCAACTAAGAGAATTGAACCACCGTTTTGAAGGAGCAGTTTTGAAACACTCTTTTTCTGGAATCTGCAAGTGGATATTTGGCTAGCTTTGGGGATTTCGCTGGAAGCGGGAATACATATAAAAAGCACACAGCAGCGTTCTGAGAAACTGCTTTCTGATGTTTGCATTCAAGTCAAAAGTTGAACACTCCCTTTCATAGAGCAGTCCTGAAACACCCCTTTTGTAGTATCTGGAACTGGACTTTTGGAGCGATTTCAGGGCTAAGGTGAAAAAGGAAATATCTTCCCATAAAAACTGGACAGAAGCATTCTCAGAAACTTGTTTATGCTGTATCTACTCAACTAACAAAGTTGAACCTTTCTTTTGATAGAGCAATTTTGAAATGCTCTTTTTGTGGAATCTGCAAGTGGATATTTGGCTAGTTTTGAGGATTTCGTTGGAAGCGGGAATTCATACAAATTGCAGACTGCAGCGTTCTGAGAAACATCTTTGTGATGTTTGTATTCAGGACAGAGAGTTGAACATTCCCTATCATAGAGCAGGTTGGAATCACTCCTTTTGTAGTATCTGGAAGTGGACATTTGGAGCGCTTTCAGGCCTATGTTGAAAAAGGAAATATCTTCCCATAACAACTAGACACAAGCATTTTCAGAAACTTGTTTGTGATGTGTGCCCTCTACTGACAGAGTTGAACCTTTCTTTTCATAGAGCAGTTTTGAAACACTCTTTTTGTAGAATCTGCAAGAGGATATTTGCATAGCTTTGAGGATTTCGTGGGAAACGGGATTGTCTTCAGGTAAAATCTAGACAGAAGCATTCTCAGAAACTTCTTTGGGATGTTTGCATTCAAGTCACAGAGTAGAACATTCCCTTTGGTAGAGCAGGTTTGAAACACTTTTTTTGTAGTATCTGGAAGTGGACATTTGGAGCGCTTTCAGGCCTATGTTGGAAAGGGAAATATCTTCCCGTAACAACTAGGCAGAAGCATTCTCAGAAACTTATTTGAGATGTGTGTACTCAACTAAGAGAATTGAACCACCGTTTTGAAGGAGCAGTTTTGAAACACTCTTTTTCTGGAATCTGCAAGAGGATATTTGCCTAGCCTTGAGGATTTCGTTGGAAACGGGATTGTCTTCAGATCAAATCTAGACAGAAGCATTCTCAGAAACTTCTTTGGGATGTTTGCATTCAAGTCACAGAGTAGAACATTCCCTTTGGTAGAGCAGGTTTGAAACACTCTTTTTTTAGTATATGGAAGTGGACATTTGGAGCGCTTTCAGGCCTACGTTGGAAAAGGAAATATCTTCCCATAACAACTAGACAGAAGCATTCTCAGAAACTAGTTTCTGATGTGTGTCCTCAACTAACACAGTTGAACATTTCTTTAGACAGAACAGTTTTGAAACACTCTTTTTGTGGAATCTGCAAGTGGCTATTTGGCTAGATTTGAGGATTTCGTTGGAAACGGGATTACATATAAAAAGCAGACAGCAGCATTCTCAGAAAGTTCTTTGTGATGATTGTATTCAAGTCACAGAATTGAACATTCCCTTTCACAGAGCAGGTTTGAAACACTCTTTTTGTAGTGTGTGTAAGTGGACATTTGGAGCACTTTCCGGCCTAAGGTGAAAAAGGGAATATCTTCCCATAAAAACTAGACAGAAGCATTCTCAGAAACTTACTCGTGATGTGTGTCCTCAACTAAAGGAGTAGAACCTTTGTTTTCATAGAGAAGTTTTGAAACGCTCTTTTTGTGGAATCTGCAAGTGGATATTTGGCTAGTTTGGAGGATTTCGTTGGAAGCGGGAATTCATACAAATTGCAGACTGCAGCGTTCTGAGAAACATCTTTGTGATGTTTGTATTCAGGACACAGAGTTGAACATTCCCTATCATAGAGCAGGTTTGAATCACTCCTTTTGTAGTATCTGGAAGTGGACATTTGGAGCGCTTTCAGGCCCTATGTTGGAAAAGGAAATATCTTCCCATAACAAATAGACAGGAAGCATTCTCAGAAACTTATTTGAGATGTGTGTACTCAACTAAGAGAATTGAACCACCGTTTTGAAGGAGCAGTTTTGAAACACTCTTTTTCTGGAATCTGCAAGTGGATATTTGGCTAGCTTTGGGGATTTCGCTGGAAGCGGGAATACATATAAAAAGCACACAGCAGCGTTCTGAGAAACTGCTTTCTGATGTTTGCATTCAAGTCAAAAGTTGAACACTCCCTTTCATAGAGCAGTCCTGAAACACTCCTTTTGTAGTATCTGGAACTGGACTTTTGGAGCGCTTTCAGGGCTAAGGTGAAAAAGGAAATATCTTCCCATAAAAACTGGACAGAAGCATTCTCAGAAACTTGTTTATGCTGTATCTACTCAACTAACAAAGTTGAACCTTTCTTTTGATAGAGCAGTTTTGAAATGCTCTTTTTGTGGAATCTGCAAGTGGATATTTGGCTAGTTTTGAGGATTTCGTTGGAAGCGGGAATTCATACAAATTGCAGACTGCAGTGTTCTGAGAAACATCTTTGTGATGTTTGTATTCAGGACAGAGAGTTGAACATTCCCTATCATAGAGCAGGTTGGAATCACTCCTTTTGTAGTATCTGGAAGTGGACATTTGGAGCGCTTTCAGGCCTATGTTGAAAAAGGAAATATCTTCCCATAACAACTAGACACAAGCATTCTCAGAAACTTGTTTGTGATGTGTGCCCTCTACTGACAGAGTTGAACCTTTCTTTTCATAGAGCAGTTTTGAAACACTCTTTTTGTAGAATCTGCAAGAGGATATTTGCATAGCTTTGAGGATTTCGTGGGAAACGGGATTGTCTTCAGGTAAAATCTAGACAGAAGCATTCTCAGAAACTTCTTTGGGATGTTTGCATTCAAGTCACAGAGCAGAACATTACCTTTGGTAGAGCAGGTTTGAAACACTCTTTTTGTAGTATCTGGAAGTGGACATTTGGAGCGCTTTCAGGCCTATGTTGGAAAGGGAAATATCTTCCCGTAACAACTAGGCAGAAGCATTCTCAGAAACTTATTTGAGATGTGTGTACTCAACTAAGAGAATTGAACCACCGTTTTGAAGGAGCAGTTTTGAAACACTCTTTTTCTGGAATCTGCAAGAGGATATTTGCCTAGCCTTGAGGATTTCGTTGGAAACGGGATTGTCTTCAGATCAAATCTAGACAGAAGCATTCTCAGAAACTTCTTTGGGATGTTTGCATTCAAGTCACAGAGTAGAACATTCCCTTTGGTAGAGCAGGTTTGAAACACTCTTTTTTTAGTATATGGAAGTGGACATTTGGAGCGCTTTCCGGCCTACGTTGGAAAAGGAAATATCTTCCCATAACAACTAGACAGAAGCATTCTCAGAAACTAGTTTCTGATGTGTGTCCTCAACTAACACAGTTGAACATTTCTTTAGACAGAACAGTTTTGAAACACTCTTTTTGTGGAATCTGCAAGTGGCTATTTGGCTAGATTTGAGGATTTCGTTGGAAACGGGATTACATATAAAAAGCAGACAGCAGCATTCTCAGAAAGTTCTTTGTGATGATTGCATTCAAGTCACAGAATTGAACATTCCCTTTCACAGAGCAGGTTTGAAACACTCTTTTTGTAGTGTGTGTAAGTGGACATTTGGAGCACTTTCCGGCCTAAGGTGAAAAAGGGAAATATCTTCCCATAAAAACTAGACAGAAGCATTCTCAGAAACTTACTCGTGATATGTGTCCTCAACTAAAGGAGTAGAACCTTTCTATTCATAGAGAAGATTTGAAACGCTCTTTTTGTGGAATCTCCAAGTGGATATTTGGCTAGTTTTGAGGATTTCGTTGGAAGCGGGAATTCATACAAATTGCAGACTGCAGCGTTCTGAGAAACATCTTTGTGATGTTTGTATTCAGGACAGAGTGTTGAACATTCCCTATCATAGAGCAGGTTTGAATCACTCCTTTTGTAGTATCTGGAAGTGGACATTTGGAGCGCTTTCAGGCCTATGTTGGAAAAGGAAATATCTTCCCATAACAACTAGACAGAAGCATTCTCAGAAACTTATTTGAGATGTGTGTACTCAACTAAGAGAATTGAACCACCGTTTTGAAGGAGCAGTTTTGAAACACTCTTTTTCTGGAATCTGCAAGTGGATATTTGGCTAGCTTTGGGGACTTCGCTGGAGGCGGGAATACATATAAAAAGCACACAGCAGCGTTCTGAGAAACTGCTTTCTGATGTTTGCATTCAAGTCAAAAGTTGAACACTCCCTTTCATAGAGCAGTCTTGAAACACCCCTTTTGTAGTATCTGGAACTGGACTTTTGGAGCGATTTCAGGGCTAAGGTGAAAAAGGAAATATCTTCCCATAAAAACTGGACAGAAGCATTCTCAGAAACTTGTTTATGCTGTATCTACTCAACTAACAAAGTTGAACCTTTCTTTTGATAGAGCAGTTTTGAAATGGTCTTTTTGTGGAATCTGCAAGTGGATATTTGGCTAGTTTTGAGGATTTCGTTGGAAGCGGGAATTCATACAAATTGCAGACTGCAGCGTTCTGAGAAACATCTTTGTGATGTTTGTATTCAGGACACAGAGTTGAACATTCCCTATCATAGAGCAGGTTGGAATCACTCCTTTTGTAGTATCTGGAAGTGGACATTTGGAGCGCTTTCAGGCCTATGTTGGAAAAGGAAATATCTTCCCATAACAACTAGACAGAAGCATTCTCAGAAACTTGTTTGTGATGTGTGCCCTCTACTGACAGAGTTGAACCTTTCTTTTCATAGAGCAGTTTTGAAACACTCTTTTTGTAGAATCTGCAAGAGGATATTTGCATAGCTTTGAGGATTTCGTGGGAAACGGGATTGTCTTCAGGTAAAATCTAGACAGAAGCATTCTCAGAAACTTCTTTGGGATGTTTGCATTCAAGTCACAGAGTAGAACATTCCCTTTGGTAGAGCAGGTTTGAAACCCTCTTTTTGTAGTATCTGGAAGTGGACATTTGGAGCGCTTTCAGGCCCATGTTGGAAAGGGAAATATCTTCCCGTAACAACTAGGCAGAAGCATTCTCAGAAACTTATTTGAGATGTGTGTACTCAACTAAGAGAATTGAACCACCGTTTTCAAGGAGCAGTTTTGAAACACTCTTTTTCTGGAATCTGCAAGAGTATATTTGCCTAGCCTTGAGGATTTCGTTGGAAACGGGATTGTCTTCAGATAAAATCTAGACAGAAGCATTCTCAGAAACTTCTTTGGGATGTTTGCATTCAAGTCACAGAGTAGAACATTCCCTTTGGTAGAGCAGGTTTGAAACACTCTTTTTTTAGTATATGGAAGTGGACATTTGGAGCGCTTTCAGGCCTACGTTGGAAAAGGAAATATCTTCCCATAACAACTAGACAGAAGCATTCTCAGAAACTAGTTTCTGATGTGTGTCCTCAACTAACACAGTTGAACATTTCTTTAGACAGAACAGTTTTGAAACACTCTTTTTGTGGAATCTGCAAGTGGCTATTTGGCTAGATTTGAGGATTTCGTTGGAAACGGGATTACATATAAAAAGCAGACAGCAGCATTCTCAGAAAGTTCTTTGTGATGATTGCATTCAAGTCACAGAATTGAACATTCCCTTTCACAGAGCAGGTTTGAAAGACTCTTTTTGTAGTGTGTGTAAGTGGACATTTGGAGCACTTACCGGCCTAAGGTGAAAAAGGAAATATCTTCCCATAAAAACTAGACAGAAGCATTCTCAGAAACTTACTCGTGATGTGTGTCCTCAACTAAAGGAGTAGAACCTTTCTTTTCATAGAGAAGTTTTGAAACGCTCTTTTTGTGGAATCTGCAAGTGGATATTTGGCTAGTTTGGAGGATTTCGTTGGAAGCGGGAATTCATACAAATTGCAGACTGCAGCTTTCCGAGAAACATCTTTGTGATGTCTGTATTCAGGACACAGAGTTGAACATTCCCTATCATAGAGCAGGTTTGAATCACTCCTTTTGTAGTATCTGGAAGTGGACATTTGGAGCGCTTTCAGGCCTATGTTGGAAAAGGAAATATCTTCCCATAACAACTAGACAGAAGCATTCTCAGAAACTTATTTGAGATGTGTGTACTCAACTAAGAGAATTGAACCACCGTTTTGAAGGAGCAGTTTTGAAACACTCTTTTTCTGGAATCTGCAAGTGGATATTTGGCTAGCTTTGGGGATTTCGCTGGAAGCGGGAATACATATAAAAAGCCCACAGCAGCGTTCTGAGAAACTGCTTTCTGATGTTTGCATTCAAGTCAAAAGTTGAACACTCCCTTTCATAGTGCAGTCCTGAAACACTCCTTTTGTAGTATCTGGAACTGGACTTTTGGAGCGCTTTCAGGGCTAAGGTGAAAAAGGAAATATCTTCCCATAAAAACTGGACAGAAGCATTCTCAGAAACTTGTTTATGCTGTATCTACTCAACTAACAAAGTTGAACCTTTCTTTTGATAGAGCAGTTTTGAAATGCTCTTTTTGTGGAATCTGCAAGTGGATATTTGGCTAGTTTTGAGGATTTCGCTGGAAGCGGGAATTCATACAAATTGCAGACTGCAGCGTTCTGAGAAACATCTTTGTGATGTTTGTATTCAGGACAGAGAGTTGAACATTCCCTATCATAGAGCAGGTTGGAATCACTCCTTTTGTAGTATCTGGAAGTGGACATTTGGAGCGCTTTCAGGCCTATGTTGAAAAAGGAAATATCTTCCCATAACAACTAGACACAAAGCATTCTCAGAAACTTGTTTGTGATGTGTGCCCTCTACTGACAGAGTTGAACCTTTCTTTTCATAGAGCAGTTTTGAAACACTCTTTTTGTAGAATCTGCAAGAGGATATTTGCATAGCTTTGAGGATTTCGTGGGAAACGGGATTGTCTTCAGGTAAAATCTAGACAGAGCATTCTCAGAAACTTCTTTGGGATGTTTGCATTCAAGTCACAGAGTAGAACATTCCCTTTGGTAGAGCAGGTTTGAAACACTCTTTTTGTAGTATCTGGAAGTGGACATTTGGAGCGCTTTCAAGCCTATGTTGGAAAGGGAAATATCTTCCCGTAACAACTAGGCAGAAGCATTCTCAGAAACTTATTTGAGATGTGTGTACTCAACTAAGAGAATTGAACCACCGTTTTGAAGGAGCAGTTTTGAAACACTCTTTTTCTGGAATCTGCAAGAGGATATTTGCCTAGCCTTGAGGATTTCGTTGGAAACGGGATTGTCTTCAGATCAAATCTAGACAGAAGCATTCTCAGAAACTTCTTTGGGATGTTTGCATTCAAGTCACAGAGTAGAACATTCCCTTTGGTAGAGCAGGTTTGAAACACTCTTTTTATAGTATCTGGAAGTGGACATTTGGAGCGCTTTCAGGCCTATGTTGGAAAGGGAAATATCTTCCCGTAACAACTAGGCAGAAGCATTCTCAGAAACTTATTTGAGATGTGTGTACTCAACTAAGAGAATTGAACCACCGTTTTGAAGGAGCAGTTTTGAAACAGTCTTTTTCTGGAATCTGCAAGAGGATATTTGCCTAGCTTTGAGGATTTCGTTGGAAACGGGATTGTCTTCAGATCAAATCTAGACAGAAGCATTCTCAGAAACTTCTTTGGGATGTTTGCATTCAAGTCACAGAGTAGAACATTCCCTTTGGTAGAGCAGGTTTGAAACACTCTTTTTTTAGTATATGGAAGTGGACATTTGGAGCGCTTTCAGGCCTACGTTGGAAAAGGAAATATCTTCCCATAACAACTAGACAGAAGCATTCTCAGAAACTAGTTTCTGATGTGTGTCCTCAACTAACACAGTTGAACTTTTCTTTAGACAGAACAGTTTTGAAACACTCTTTTTGTGGAATCTGCAAGTGGCTATTTGGCTAGATTTGAGGATTTCGTTGGAAACGGGATTACATATAAAAAGCAGACAGCAGCATTCTCAGAAAGTTCTTTGTGATGATTGCATTCAAGTCACAGAATTGAACATTCCCTTTCACAGAGCAGGTTTGAAACACTCTTTTTGTAGTGTGTGTAAGTGGACATTTGGAGCACTTACCGGCCTAAGGTGAAAAAGGAAATATCTTCCCATAAAAACTAGACAGAAGCATTCTCAGAAACTTACTCGTGATGTGTGTCCTCAACTAAAGGAGTAGAACCTTTCTATTCATAGAGAAGTTTTGAAACGCTCTTTTTGTGGAATCTCCAAGTGGATATTTGGCTAGTTTTGAGGATTTCGTTGGAAGCGGGAATTCATACAAATTGCAGACTGCAGCGTTCTGAGAAACATCGTTGTGATGTTTGTATTCAGGACACAGAGTTGAACATTCCCTATCATAGAGCAGGTTTGAATCACTCCTTTTGTAGTATCTGGAAGTGGACATTTGGAGCGCTTTCAGGCCTATGTTGGAAAAGGAAATATCTTCCCATAAGAACTAGACAGAAGCATTCTCAGAAACTTATTTGAGATGTGTGTACTCAACTAAGAGAATTGAACCACCGTTTTGAAGGAGCAGTTTTGAAACACTCTTTTTCTGGAATCTGCAAGTGGATATTTGGCTAGCTTTGGGGATTTCGCTGGAAGCGGGAATACATATAAAAAGCACACAGCAGCGTTCTGAGAAACTGCTTTCTGATGTTTGCATTCAAGTCAAAAGTTGAACACTCCCTTTCATAGAGCAGTCCTGAAACACCCCTTTTGTAGTATCTGGAACTGGACTTTTGGAGCGCTTTCAGGGCTAAGGTGAAAAAGGAAATATCTTCCCATAAAAACTGGACAGAAGCATTCTCAGAAACTTGTTTATGCTGTATCTACTCAACTAACAAAGTTGAACCTTTCTTTTGATAGAGCAGTTTTGAAATGCTCTTTTTGTGGAATCTGCAAGTGGATATTTGGCTAGTTTTGAGGATTTCCTTGGAAGCGGGAATTCATACAAATTGCAGACTGCAGCGTTCTGAGAAACATCTTTGTGATGTTTGTATTCAGGACAGAGAGTTGAACATTCCCTATCATAGAGCAGGTTGGAATCACTCCTTTTGTAGTATCTGGAAGTGGACATTTGGAGCGCTTTCAGGCCTATGTTGAAAAAGGAAATATCTTCCCATAACAACTAGACACAAGCATTCTCAGAAACTTGTTTGTGATGTGTGCCCTCTACTGACAGAGTTGAACCTTTCTTTTCATAGAGCAGTTTTGAAACACTCTTTTTGTAGAATCTGCAAGAGGATATTTGCATAGCTTTGAGGATTTCGTGGGAAACGGGACTGTCTTCAGGTAAAATCTAGACAGAAGCATTCTCAGAAACTTCTTTGGGATGTTTGCATTCAAGTCACAGAGTAGAACATTCCCTTTGGTAGAGCAGGTTTGAAACACTCTTTTTGTAGTATCTGGAAGTGGACATTTGGAGCGCTTTCAGGCCCATGTTGGAAAGGGAAATATCTTCCCGTAACAACTAGGCAGAAGCATTCTCAGAAACTTATTTGAGATGTGTGTACTCAACTAAGAGAATTGAACCACCGTTTTGAAGGAGCAGTTTTGAAACCCTCTTTTTCTGGAATCTGCAAGAGTATATTTGCCTAGCCTTGAGGATTTCGTTGGAAACGGGATTGTCTTCAGATAAAATCTAGACAGAAGCATTCTCAGAAACTTCTTTGGGATGTTTGCATTCAAGTCACAGAGTAGAACATTCCCTTTGGTAGAGCAGGTTTGAAACACTCTTTTTTTAGTATATGGAAGTGGACATTTGGAGCGCTTTCAGGCCTACGTTGGAAAAGGAAATATCTTCCCATAACAACTAGACAGAAGCATTCTCAGAAACTAGTTTCTGATGTGTGTCCTCAACTAACACAGTTGAACATTTCTTTAGACAGAACAGTTTTGAAACACTCTTTTTGTGGAATCTGCAAGTGGCTATTTGGCTAGATTTGAGGATTTCGTTGGAAACGGGATTACATATAAAAAGCAGACAGCAGCATTCTCAGAAACTTCTTTGTGATGATTGCATTCAAGTCACAGAATTGAACATTCCCTTTCACAGAGCAGGTTTGAAACACTCTTTTTGTAGTGTGTGTAAGTGGACATTTGGAGCACTTTCCGGCCTAAGGTGAAAAAGGAAATATCTTCCCATAAAAACTAGACAGAAGCACTCTCAGAAACTTACTCGTGATGTGTGTCCTCAACTAAAGGAGTAGAACCTTTCTTTTCATAGAGAAGTTTTGAAACGCTCTTTTTGTGGAATCTGCAAGTGGATATTTGGCTAGTTTGGAGGATTTCGTTGGAAGCGGGAATTCATACAAATTGCAGACTGCAGCGTTCTGAGAAACATCTTTGTGATGTTTGTATTCAGGACACAGAGTTGAACATTCCCTATCATAGAGCAGGTTTGAATCACTCCTTTTGTAGTATCTGGAAGTGGACATTTGGAGCGCTTTCAGGCCTATGTTGGAAAAGGAAATATCTTCCCATAACAACTAGACAGAAGCATTCTCAGAAACTTATTTGAGATGTGTGTACTCAACTAAGAGAATTGAACCACCGTTTTGAAGGAGCAGTTTTGAAACACTCTTTTCCTGGAATCTGCAAGTGGATATTTGGCTAGCTTTGGGGATTTCGCTGGAAGCGGGAATACATATAAAAAGCACACAGCAGCGTTCTGAGAAACTGCTTTCTGATGTTTGCATTCAAGTCAAAAGTTGAACACTCCCTTTCATAGTGCAGTCCTGAAACACTCCTTTTGTAGTATCTGGAACTGGACTTTTGGAGCGCTTTCAGGGCTAAGGTGAAAAAGGAAATATCTTCCCATAAAAACTGGACAGAAGCATTCTCAGAAACTTGTTTATGCTGTATCTACTCAACTAACAAAGTTGAACCTTTCTTTTGATAGAGCAGTTTTGAAATGCTCTTTTTGTGGAATCTGCAAGTGGATATTTGGCTAGTTTTGAGGATTTCGTTGGAAGCGGGAATTCATACAAATTGCAGACTGCAGCGTTCTGAGAAACATCTTTGTGATGTTTGTATTCAGGACACAGAGTTGAACATTCCCTATCATAGAGCAGGTTGGAATCACTCCTTTTGTAGTATCTGGAAGTGGACATTTGGAGCGCTTTCAGGCCTATTTTGGAAAGGGAAATATCTTCCCGTAACAACTATGCAGAAGCATTCTCAGAAACTTGTTTGTGATGTGTGCCCTCTACTGACAGAGTTGAACCTTTCTTTTCATAGAGCAGTTTTGAAACACTCTTTTTGTAGAATCTGCAAGAGGATATTTGCATAGCTTTGAGGATTTCGTGGGAAACGGGATTGTCTTCAGGTAAAATCTAGACAGAAGCATTCTCAGAAACTTCTTTGGGATGTTTGCATTCAAGTCACAGAGTAGAACATTCCCTTTGGTAGAGCAGGTTTGAAACACTCTTTTTGTAGTATCTGGAAGTGGACATTTGGAGCGCTTTCAGGCCCATGTTGGAAAGGGAAATATCTTCCCGTAACAACTAGGCAGAAGCATTCTCAGAAACTTTTTTGAGATGTGTGTACTCAACTAAGAGAATTGAACCACCGTTTTGAAGGAGCAGTTTTGAAACCCTCTTTTTCTGGAATCTGCAAGAGTATATTTGCCTAGCCTTGAGGATTTCGTTGGAAACGGGATTGTCTTCAGATAAAATCTAGACAGAAGCATTCTCAGAAACTTCTTTGGGATGTTTGCATTCAAGTCACAGAGTAGAACATTCCCTTTGGTAGAGCAGGTTTGAAACACTCTTTTTGTAGTATCTGGAAGTGGACATTTGGAGCGCTTTCAGGCCTACGTTGGAAAAGGAAATATCTTCCCATAACAACTAGACAGAAGCATTCTCAGAAACTAGTTTCTGATGTGTGTCCTCAACTAACACAGTTGAACTTTTCTTTAGACAGAACAGTTTTGAAACACTCTTTTTGTGGAATCTGCAAGTGGATATTTGGCTAGATTTGAGGATTTCGTTGGAAACGGGATTACATATAAAAAGCAGACAGCAGCATTCTCAGAAAGTTCTTTGTGATGATTGCATTCAAGTCACAGAATTGAACATTCCCTTTCACAGAGCAGGTTTGAAACACTCTTTTTGTAGTGTGTGTAAGTGGACATTTGGAGCGCTTTCCGGCCTAAGGTGAAAAAGGAAATATCTTCCCATAAAAACTAGACAGAAGCATTCTCAGAAACTTACTCGTGATGTGTTTCCTCAACTAAAGGAGTAGAACCTTTCTATTCATAGAGAAGTTTTGAAACGCTCTTTTTGTGGAATCTCCAAGTGGATATTTGGCTAGTTTTGAGGATTTCGTTGGAAGCGGGAATTCATCCAAATTGCAGACTGCAGCGTTCTGAGAAACATCTTTGTGATGTTTGTATTCAGGACACAGAGATGAACATTCCCTATCATAGACCAGGTTGGAATCACTCCTTTTGTAGTATCTGGAAGTGGACATTTGGAGCGCTTTCAGGCCTATGTTGAAAAAGGAAATATCTTCCCATAACAACTAGACACAAGCATTCTCAGAAACTTATTTGAGATGTGTGTACTCAACTAAGAGAATTGAACCACCGTTTTGAAGGAGCAGTTTTGAAACACTCTTTTTCTGGAATCTGCAAGTGGATATTTGGCTAGCTTTGGGGATTTCGCTGGAAGCGGGAATACATATAAAAAGCACACAGCAGCGTTCTGAGAAACTGCTTTCTGATGTTTGCATTCAAGTCAAAAGTTGAACACTCCCTTTCATAGAGCAGTCTTGAAACACCCCTTTTGTAGTATCTGGAACTGGACTTTTGGGGCGCTTTCAGGGCTAAGGTGAAAAAGGAAATATCTTCCCATAAAAACTGGACAGAAGCATTCTCAGAAACTTGTTTATGCTGTATCTACTCAACTAACAAAGTTGAACCTTTCTTTTGATAGAGCAGTTTTGAAATGGTCTTTTTGTGGAATCTGCAAGTGGATATTTGGCTAGTTTTGAGGATTTCGTTGGAAGCGGGAATTCATACAAATTTGCAGACTGCAGCGTTCTGAGAAACATCTTTGTGATGTTTGTATTCAGGACACAGAGTTGAACATTCCCTATCATAGAGCAGGTTTGAATCACTCCTTTTGTAGTATCTGGAAGTGGACATTTGGAGCGCTTTCAGGCCTATGTTGGAAAAGGAAATATCTTCCCATAACAACTAGACAGAAGCATTCCCAGAAACTTATTTGAGATGTGTGTACTCAACTAAGAGAATTGAACCACCGTTTTGAAGGAGCAGTTTGGAAACACTCTTTTTCTGGAATCTGCAAGTGGATATTTGGCTAGCTTTGGGGATTTCGCTGGAAGCGGGAATATATATAAAAAGCACACAGCAGCATTCTCAGAAACTTATTTGAGATGTGTGTACTCAACTAAGAGAATTGAACCACCGTTTTGAAGGAGCAGTTTTGAAACTCTCTTTTTCTGGAATCTGCAAGTGGATATTTGGCTAGCTTTGGGGATTTCGCTGGAAGCGGGAATACATATAAAAAGCACACAGCAGCGTTCTGAGAAACTGCTTTCTGATGTTTGCATTCAAGTCAAAAGTTGAACACTCCCTTTCATAGAGCAGTCTTGAAACACCCCTTTTGTAGTATCTGGAACTGGACTTTTGGAGCGATTTCAGGGCTAAGGTGAAAAAGGAAATATCTTCCCATAAAAACTGGACAGAAGCATTCTCAGAAACTTGTTTATGCTGTATCTACTCAACTAACAAAGTTGAACCTTTCTTTTGATAGAGCAGTTTTGAAATGGTCTTTTTGTGGAATCTGCAAGTGGATATTTGGCTAGTTTTGAGGATTTCGTTGGAAGCGGGAATTCATACAAATTGCAGACTGCAGCGTTCTGAGAAACATCTTTGTGATGTTTGTATTCAGGACACAGAGTTGAACATTCCCTATCATAGAGCAGGTTGGAATCACTCCTTTTGTAGTATCTGGAAGTGGACATTTGGAGCGCTTTCAGGCCTATTTTGGAAAGGGAAATATCTTCCCGTAACAACTATGCAGAAGCATTCTCAGAAACTTGTTTGTGATGTGTGCCCTCTACTGACAGAGTTGAACCTTTCTTTTCATAGAGCAGTTTTGAAACACTCTTTTTGTAGAATCCGCAAGAGGATATTTGCATAGCTTTGAGGATTTCGTGGGAAACGGGATTGTCTTCAGGTAAAATCTAGACAGAAGCATTCTCAGCAAACTTCTTTGGGATGTTTGCATTCAAGTCACAGAGTAGAACATTCCCTTTGGTAGAGCAGGTTTGAAACACTCTTTTTGTAGTATCTGGAAGTGGACATTTGGAGCGCTTTCAGGCCCATGTTGGAAAAGGAAATATCTTCCCGTAACAACTAGGCAGAAGCATTCTCAGAAACTTATTTGAGATGTGTGTACTCAACTAAGAGAATTGAACCACCGTTTTGAAGGAGCAGTTTTGAAACACTCTTTTTCTGGAATCTGCAAGAGTATATTTGCCTAGCCTTGAGGATTTCGTTGGAAACGGGATTGTCTTCAGAGAAAATCTAGACAGAAGCATTCTCAGAAACTTCTTTGGGATGTTTGCATTCAAGTCACAGAGTAGAACATTCCCTTTGGTAGAGCAGGTTTGAAACACTCTTTTTTTAGTATATGGAAGTGGACATTTGGAGCGCTTTCAGGCCTACGTTGGAAAAGGAAATATCTTCCCATAACAACTAGACAGAAGCATTCTCAGAAACTAGTTTCTGATGTGTGTCCTCAACTAACACAGTTGAACATTTCTTTAGACAGAACAGTTTTGAAACACTCTTTTTGTGGAATCTGCAAGTGGCTATTTGGCTAGATTTGAGGATTTCGTTGGAAACGGGATTACATATAAAAAGCAGTCAGCAGCATTCTCAGAAAGTTCTTTGTGATGATTGCATTCAAGTCACAGAATTGAACATTCCCTTTCACAGAGCAGGTTTGAAACACTCTTTTTGTAGTGTGTGTAAGTGGACATTTGGAGCACTTACCGGCCTAAGGTGGAAAAGGAAATATCTTCCCATAAAAACTAGACAGAAGCATTCTCAGAAACTTACTCGTGATGTGTGTCCTCAACTAAAGGAGTAGAACCTTTCTTTTCATAGAGAAGTTTTGAAACGCTCTTTTTGTGGAATCTGCAAGTGGATATTTGGCTAGTTTGGAGGATTTCGTTGGAAGCGGGAATTCATACAAATTGCAGACTGCAGCGTTCTGAGAAACATCTTTGTGATGTTTGTATTCAGGACACAGAGTTGAACATTCCCTATCATAGAGCAGGTTTGAATCACTCCTTTTGTAGTATCTGGAAGTGGACATTTGGAGCGCTTTCAGGCCTATGTTGGAAAAGGAAATATCTTCCCATAACAACTAGACAGAAGCATTCTCAGAAACTTGATTGTGATGTGTGCCCTCTACTGACAGAGTTGAACCTTTCTTTTCATAGAGCAGTTTTGAAACACTCTTTTTGTAGAATCCGAAAGAGGATATTTGCATAGCTTTGAGGATTTCGTGGGAAACGGGATTGTCTTCAGGTAAAATCTAGACAGAAGCGTTCTGAGAAACTGCTTTCTGATGTTTGCATTCAAGTCAAAAGTTGAACACTCCCTTTCATAGAGCAGTCTTGAAACACCCCTTTTGTAGTATCTGGAACTGGACTTTTGGAGCGATTTCAGGGCTAAGGTGAAAAAGGAAATATCTTCCCATAAAAACTGGACAGAAGCATTCTCAGAAACTTGTTTATGCTGTATCTACTCAACTAACAAAGTTGAACCTTTCTTTTGATAGAGCAGTTTTGAAATGGTCTTTTTGTGGAATCTGCAAGTGGATATTTGGCTAGTTTTGAGGATTTCGTTGGAAGCGGGAATTCATACAAATTGCAGACTGCAGCGTTCTGAGAAACATCTTTGTGATGTTTGTATTCAGGACACAGAGTTGAACATTCCCTATCATAGAGCAGGTTGGAATCACTCCTTTTGTAGTATCTGGAAGTGGACATTTGGAGCGCTTTCAGGCCTATGTTGGAAAGGGAAATATCTTCCCGTAACAACTATGCAGAAGCATTCTCAGAAACTTGTTTGTGATGTGTGCCCTCTACTGACAGAGTTGAACCTTTCTTTTCATAGAGCAGTTTTGAAACACTCTTTTTGTAGAATCTGCAAGAGGATATTTGCATAGCTTTGAGGATTTCGTGGGAAACGGGATTGTCTTCACGTAAAATCTAGACAGAAGCATTCTCAGAACTTCTTTGGGATGTTTGCATTCAAGTCACAGAGTAGAACATTCCCTTTGGTAGAGCAGGTTTGAAACACTCTTTTTGTAGTATCTGGAAGTGGACATTTGGAGCGCTTTCAGGCCCATGTTGGAAAGGGAAATATCTTCCCGTAACAACTAGGCAGAAAGCATTCTCAGAAACTTATTTGAGATGTGTGTACTCAACTAAGTAGCAATTGAACCACCGTTTTGAAGGAGCAGTTTTGAAACACTCTTTTTCTGGAATCTGCAAGAGGATATTTGCCTAGCCTTGAGGATTTCGTTGGAAACGGGATTGTCTTCAGATCAAATCTAGACAGAAGCATTCTCAGAAACTTCTTTGGGATGTTTGCATTCAAGTCACAGAGTAGAACATTCCCTTTGGTAGAGCAGGTTTGAAACACTCTTTTTTTAGTATATGGAAGTGGACATTTGGAGCGCTTTCAGGCCTACGTTGGAAAAGGAAATATCTTCCCATAACAACTAGACAGAAGCATTCTCAGAAACTAGTTTCTGATGTGTGTCCTCAACTAACACAGTTGAACTTTTCTTTAGACAGAACAGTTTTGAAACACTCTTTTTGTGGAATCTGCAAGTGGATATTTGGCTAGATTTGAGGATTTCGTTGGAAACGGGATTACATATAAAAAGCAGACAGCAGCATTCTCAGAAAGTTCTTTGTGATGATTGCATTCAAGTCACAGAATTGAACATTCCCTTTCACAGAGCAGGTTTGAAACACTCTTTTTGTAGTGTGTGTAAGTGGACATTTGGAGCGCTTTCCGGCCTAAGGTGAAAAAGGAAATATCTTCCCATAAAAACTAGACAGAAGCATTCTCAGAAACTTACTCGTGATGTGTTTCCTCAACTAAAGGAGTAGAACCTTTCTATTCATAGAGAAGTTTTGAAACGCTCTTTTTGTGGAATCTCCAAGTGGATATTTGGCTAGTTTTGAGGATTTCGTTGGAAGCGGGAATTCATACAAATTGCAGACTGCAGCGTTCTGAGAAACATCTTTGTGATGTTTGTATTCAGGACACAGAGATGAACATTCCCTATCATAGAGCATGTTGGAATCACTCCTTTTGTAGTATCTGGAAGTGGACATTTGGAGCGCTTTCAGGCCTATGTTGAAAAAGGAAATATCTTCCCATAACAACTAGACACAAGCATTCTCAGAAACTTATTTGAGATGTGTGTACTCAACTAAGAGAATTGAACCACCGTTTTGAAGGAGCAGTTTTGAAACACTCTTTTTCTGGAATCTGCAAGTGGATATTTGGCTAGCTTTGGGGATTTCGCTGGAAGCGGGAATACATATAAAAAGCACACAGCAGCGTTCTGAGAAACTGCTTTCTGATGTTTGCATTCAAGTCAAAAGTTGAACACTCCCTTTCATAGAGCAGTCTTGAAACACCCCTTTTGTAGTATCTGGAACTGGACTTTTGGAGCGATTTCAGGGCTAAGGTGAAAAAGGAAATATCTTCCCATAAAAACTGGACAGAAGCATTCTCAGAAACTTGTTTATGCTGTATCTACTCAACTAACAAAGTTGAACCTTTCTTTTGATAGAGCAGTTTTGAAATGGTCTTTTTGTGGAATCTGCAAGTGGATATTTGGCTAGTTTTGAGGATTTCGTTGGAAGCGGGAATTCATACAAATTGCAGACTGCAGCGTTCTGAGAAACATCTTTGTGATGTTTGTATTCAGGACAGAGAGTTGAACATTCCCTATCATAGAGCAGGTTGGAATCACTCCTTTTGTAGTATCTGGAAGTGGACATTTGGAGCGCTTTCAGGCCTATGTTGAAAAAGGAAATATCTTCCCATAACAACTAGACACAAGCATTCTCAGAAACTTGTTTGTGATGTGTGCCCTCTACTGACAGAGTTGAACCTTTCTTTTCATAGAGCAGTTTTGAAACACTCTTTTTGTAGAATCTGCAAGAGGATAATTGCATAGCTTTGAGGATTTCGTGGGAAACGGGATTGTCTTCAGGTAAAATCTAGACAGAAGCATTCTCAGAAACTTCTTTGGGATGTTTGCATTCAAGTCACAGAGCAGAACATTCCCTTTGGTAGAGCAGGTTTGAAACACTCTTTTTGTAGTATCTGGAAGTGGACATTTGGAGCGCTTTCAGGCCTATGTTGGAAAGGGAAATATCTTCCCGTAACAACTAGGCAGAAGCATTCTCAGAAACTTATTTGAGATGTGTGTACTCAACTAAGAGAATTGAACCACCGTTTTGAAGGAGCAGTTTTGAAACACTCTTTTTCTGGAATCTGCAAGAGGATATTTGCCTAGCCTTGAGGATTTCGTTGGAAACGGGATTGTCTTCAGATCAAATCTAGACAGAAGCATTCTCAGAAACTTCTTTGGGATATTTGCATTCAAGTCACGGAGTAGAACATTCCCTTTGGTAGAGCAGGTTTGAAACACTCTTTTTTTAGTATATGGAAGTGGACATTTGGAGCGCTTTCAGGCCTACGTTGGAAAAGGAAATATCTTCCCATAACAACTAGACAGAAGCATTCTCAGAAACTAGTTTCTGATATGTGTCCTCAACTAACACAGTTGAACATTTCTTTAGACAGAACAGTTTTGAAACACTCTTTTTGTGGAATCTGCAAGTGGCTATTTGGCTAGATTTGAGGATTTCGTTGGAAACGGGATTACATATAAAAAGCAGACAGCAGCATTCTCAGAAAGTTCTTTGTGATGATTGCATTCAAGTCACAGAATTGAACATTCCCTTTCACAGAGCAGGTTTGAAACACTCTTTTTGTAGTGTGTGTAAGTGGACATTTGGAGCGCTTTCCGGCCTAAGGTGAAAAAAGAAATATCTTCCCATAAAAACTAGACAGAAGCATTCTCAGAAACTTACTCGTGATGTGTGTCCTCAACTAAAGGAGTAGAACCTTTCTTTTCATAGAGAAGTTTTGAAACGCTCTTTTTGTGGAATCTGCAAGTGGATATTTGGCTAGTTTTGAGGATTTCGTTGGAAGCGGGAATTCATACAAATTGCAGACTGCAGCATTCTCAGAAACTTATTTGAGATGTGTGTACTCAACTAAGAGAATTGAACCACCGTTTTGAAGGAGCAGTTTTGAAACTCTCTTTTTCTGGAATCTGCAAGTGGATATTTGGCTAGCTTTGGGGATTTCGCTGGAAGCGGGAATACATATAAAAAGCACACAGCAGCGTTCTGAGAAACTGCTTTCTGATGTTTGCATTCAAGTCAAAAGTTGAACACTCCCTTTCATAGAGCAGTCCTGAAACACCCCTTTTGTAGTATCTGGAACTGGACTTTTGGAGCGATTTCAGGGCTAAGGTGAAAAAGGAAATATCTTCCCATAAAAACTGGACAGAAGCATTCTCAGAAACTTGTTTATGCTGTATCTACTCAACTAACAAAGTTGAACCTTTCTTTTGATAGAGCAGTTTTGAAATGGTCTTTTTGTGGAATCTGCAAGTGGATATTTGGCTAGTTTGGAGGATTTCGTTGGAAGCGGGAATTCATACAAATTGCAGACTGCAGCGTTCTGAGAAACATCTTTGTGATGTTTGTATTCAGGACACAGAGTTGAACATTCCCTATCATAGAGCAGGTTGGAATCACTCCTTTTGTAGTATCTGGAAGTGGACATTTGGAGCGCTTTCAGGCCTATGTTGAAAAAGGAAATATCTTCCCATAACAACTAGACACAAGCATTCTCAGAAACTTGTTTGTGATGTGTGCCCTCTACTGACAGAGTTGAACCTTTCTTTTCATAGAGCAGTTTTGAAACACTCTTTTTGTAGAATCCGCAAGAGGATATTTGCATAGCTTTGAGGATTTCGTGGGAAACGGGATTGTCTTCAGGTAAAATCTAGACAGAAGCATTCTCAGAAACTTCTTTAGGATGTTTGCATTCAAGTCACAGAGTAGAACATTCCCTTTGGTAGAGCAGGTTTGAAACACTCTTTTTGTAGTATCTGGAAGTGGACATTTGGAGCGCTTTCAGGCCTATGTTGGAAAGGGAAATATCTTCCCGTAACAACTAGGCAGAAGCATTCTCAGAAACTTATTTGAGATGTGTGTACTCAACTAAGAGAATTGAACCACCGTTTTGAAGGAGCAGTTTTGAAACACTCTTTTTCTGGAATCTGCAAGAGGATATTTGCCTAGCCTTGAGGATTTCGTTGGAAACGGGATTGTCTTCAGATCAAATCTAGACAGAAGCATTCTCAGAAACTTCTTTGGGATGTTTGCATTCAAGTCACAGAGTAGAACATTCCCTTTGGTAGAGCAGGTTTGAAACACTCTTTTTTTAGTATATGGAAGTGGACATTTGGAGCGCTTTCAGGCCTACGTTGGAAAAGGAAATATCTTCCCATAACAACTAGACAGAAGCATTCTCAGAAACTAGTTTCTGATGTGTGTCCTCAACTAACACAGTTGAACTTTTCTTTACACAGAACAGTTTTGAAACACTCTTTTTGTGGAATCTGCAAGTGGATATTTGACTAGATTTGAAGATTTCGTTGGAAACGGGATTACATATAAAAAGCAGACAGCAGCATTCTCAGAAAGTTCTTTGTGATGATTGCATTCAAGTCACAGAATTGAACATTCCCTTTCACAGAGCAGGTTTGAAACACTCTTTTTGTAGTGTGTGTAAGTGGACATTTGGAACCCTTACCGGTCTAAGGTGAAAAAGGAAATATCTTCCCATAAAAACTAGACAGAAGCATTCTCAGAAACTTACTCGTGATGTGTGTCCTCAACTAAAGGAGTAGAACCTTTCTTTTCATAGAGAAGTTTTGAAACGCTCTTTTTGTGGAATCTGCAAGTGGATATTTGGCTAGTTTTGAGGATTTCGTTGGAAGCGGGAATTCATACAAATTGCAGACTGCAGCATTCTCAGAAACTTGTTTATGCTGTATCTACTCAACTAACAAAGTTGAACCTTTCTTTTGATAGAGCAGTTTTGAAATGCTCTTTTTGTGGAATCTGCAAGTGGATATTTGGCTAGTTTTGAGGATTTCGTTGGAAGCGGGAATTCATACAAATTGCAGACTGCAGCGTTCTGAGAAACATCTTTGTGATGTTTGTATTCAGGACAGAGAGTTGAACATTCCCTATCATAGAGCAGGTTGGAATCACTCCTTTTGTAGTATCTGGAAGTGGACATTTGGAGCGCTTTCAGGCCTATGTTGAAAAAGGAAATATCTTCCCATAACAACTAGACACAAGCATTCTCAGAAACTTGTTTGTGATGTGTGCCCTCTACTGACAGAGTTGAACCTTTCTTTTCATAGAGCAGTTTTGAAACACTCTTTTTGTAGAATCTGCAAGAGGATATTTGCATAGCTTTGAGGATTTCGTGGGAAACGGGATTGTCTTCAGGTAAAATCTAGACAGAAAGCATTCTCAGAAACTTCTTCGGGATGTTTGCATTCAAGTCACAGAGTAGAACATTCCCTTCGGTAGAGCAGGTTTGAAACACTCTTTTTGTCGTATCTGGAAGTGGACATTTGTTGCGCTTTCAGGCCTATGTTGGAAAGGGAAATATCTTCCCGTAACAACTACGCAGAAGCATTCTCAGAAACTTATTTGAGATGTGTGTACTCAACTAAGAGAATTGAACCACCGTTTTGAAGGAGCAGTTTGGAAACACTCTTTTTCTGGAATCTGCAAGAGGATATTTGCCTAGCTTTGAGGATTTCGTTGGAAAAGGGATTGTCTTCAGATCAAATCTAGACAGAAGCATTCTCAGAAACTTCTTTGGGATGTTTGCATTCAAGTCACAGAGTAGAACATTCCTTTGGTAGAGCAGGTTTGAAACACTCTTTTTTTAGTATATGGAAGTGGACATTTGGAGCGCTTTCAGGCCTACGTTGGAAAAGGAAATATCTTCCCATAACAACTAGACGGAAGCATTCTCAGAAACTAGTTTCTGATGTGTGTCCTCAACTAACACAGTTGAACATTTCTTTAGACAGAACAGTTTTGAAACACTCTTTTTGTGGAATCTGCAAGTGGATATTTGGCTAGATTTGAGGATTTCGTTGGAAACGCGATTACATATAAAAAGCAGACAGCAGCATTCTCAGAAAGTTCTTTGTGATGATTGCATTCAAGTCACAGAATTGAACATTCCCTTTCACAGAGCAGGTTTGAAACACTCTTTTTATAGTGTGTGTAAGTGGACATTTGGAGCACTTTCCGGCCTAAGGTGAAAAAGGAAATATCTTCCCATAAAAACTAGACAGAAGCATTCTCAGAAACTTACTCGTAATGTGTGTCCTCAACTAAAGGAGTAGAACCTTTCTTTTCATAGAGAAGTTTTGAAACGCTCTTTTTGTGGAATCTGCAAGTGGATATTTGGCTAGTTTGGAGGATTTCGTTGGAAGCGGGAATTCATACAAATTGCAGACTGCAGCGTTCTGAGAAACATCTTTGTGATGTTTGTATTCAGGACACAGAGTTGAACATTCCCTATCATAGAGCAGGTTTGAATCACTCCTTTTGTAGTATCTGGAAGTGGACATTTGGAGCGCTTTCAGGCCTATGTTGGAAAAGGAAATATCTTCCCATAACAACTAGACAGAAGCATTCTCAGAAACTTATTTGAGATGTGTGTACTCAACTAAGAGAATTGAACCACCGTTTTGAAGGAGCAGTTTTGAAACACTCTTTTTCTGGAATCTGCAAGTGGATATTTGGCTAGCTTTGGGGATTTCGCTGGAAGCGGGAATACATATAAAAAGCACACAGCAGCGTTCTGAGAAACAGCTTTCTGATGTTTGCATTCAAGTCAAAAGTTGAACACTCCCTTTGATAGAGCAGTCTTGAAACACCCCTTTTGTAGTATCTGGAACTGGACATTTGGAGCGCTTTCAGGGCTAAGGTGAAAAAGGAAATATCTTCCCATAAAAACTGGACAGAAGCAATCTCAGAAACTTGTTTATGCTGTATCTACTCTACTAACAAATTTGAACCTTTCTTTTGATAGAGCAGTTTTGAAATGCTCTTTTTGTGGAATCTGCAAGTGGATATTTGGCTAGTTTTGAGGATTTCGTTGGAAGCTAGAATTCATACAAATTGCAGACTGCAGCGTTCTGAGAAACATCTTTGTGATGTTTTTATTCAGGAAACAGAGTTGAACATTCCCTGTCCTAGAGCAGGTTGGAATCACTCCTTTTGTAGTATCTGGAAGTGGACATTTGGAGCGCTTTCAGGCCTATTTTGGAAAGGGAAATATCTTCCCATAACAACTATGCAGAAGCATTCTCAGAAACTTGTTTGTGATGTGTGCCCTCTACTGACAGAGTTGAACCTTTCTTTTCATAGAGCAGTTTTGAAACACTCTTTTTGTAGAATCTGCAAGAGGATATTTGCATAGCTTTGAGGATTTCGTGGGAAACGGGATTGTCTTCAGGTAAAATCTAGACAGAAGCATTCTCAGAAACTTCTTTGGGATGTTTGCATTCAAGTCACAGAGTAGAACATTCCCTTTGGTAGAGCAGGTTTGAAACACTCTTTTTGTAGTATCTGGAAGTGGACATTTGGAGCGCTTTCAGGCCCATGTTGGAAAGGGAAATATCTTCCCGTAACAACTAGGCAGAAGCATTCTCAGAAACTTATTTGAGATGTGTGTACTCAACTAAGAGAATTGAACCACCGTTTTGAAGGAGCAGTTTTGAAACACTCTTTTTCTGGAATCTGCAAGAGGATATTTGCCTAGCCTTGAGGATTTCGTTGGAAACGGGATTGTCTTCAGATCAAATCTAGACAGAAGCATTCTCAGAAACTTCTTTGGGATGTTTGCATTCAAGTCACAGAGTAGAACATTCCCTTTGGTAGAGCAGGTTTGAAACACTCTTTTTTTAGTATATGGAAGTGGACATTTGGAGCGCTTTCAGGCCTACGTTGGAAAAGGAAATATCTTCCCATAACAATTAGACAGAAGCATTCTCAGAAACTAGTTTCTGATGTGTGTCCTCAACTAACACAGTTGAACATTTCTTTAGACAGAACAGTTTTGAAACTCTCTTTTTGTGGAATCTGCAAGTGGCTATTTGGCTAGATTTGAGGATTTCGTTGGAAACGGGATTACATATAAAAAGCAGACAGCAGCATTCTCAGAAAGTTCTTTGTGATGATTGCATTCAAGTCACAGAATTGAACATTCCCTTTCACAGAGCAGGTTTGAAACACTCTTTTTGTAGTGTGTGTAAGTGGACATTTGGAGCACTTTCCGGCCTAAGGTGAGAAAGGAAATATCTTCCCATAAAAACTAGACAGAAGCATTCTCAGAAACTTACTCGTGATGTGTGTCCTCAACTAAAGGAGTAGAACCTTTCTTTCGCAGAGAAGTTTTGAAACGCTCTTTTTGTGGAATCTGCAAGTGGATATTTGGCTAGTTTTGAGGATTTCGTTGGAAGCGGGAATTCATACAAATTGCAGACTGCAGCGTTCTGAGAAACATCTTTGTGATGTTTGTATTCAGGACACAGAGTTGAACATTCCCTATCATAGAGCAGGTTTGAATCACTCCTTTTGTAGTATCTGGAAGTGGACATTTGGAGCGCTTTCAGGCCTATGTTGGAAAAGGAAATATCTTCCCATAACAACTAGACAGAAGCATTCTCAGAAACTTATTTGAGATGTGTGTACTCAACTAAGAGAATTGAACCACCGTTTTGAAGGAGCAGTTTTGAAACACTCTTTTTCTGGAATCTGCAAGTGGATATTTGGCTAGCTTTGGGGATTTCGCTGGAAGCGGGAATACATATAAAAAGCACACAGCAGCGTTCTGAGAAACTGCTTTCTGATGTTTGCATTCAAGTCAAAAGTTGAACACTCCCTTTCATAGAGCAGTCTTGAAACACCCCTTTTGTAGTATCTGGAACTGGACTTTTGGAGCGATTTCAGGGCTAAGGTGAAAAAGGAAATATCTTCCCATAAAAACTGGACAGAAGCATTCTCAGAAACTTGTTTATGCTGTATCTACTCAACTAACAAAGTTGAACCTTTCTTTTGATAGAGCAGTTTTGAAATGGTCTTTTTGTGGAATCTGGAAGTGGATATTTGGCTAGTTTTGAGGATTTCGTTGGAAGCGGGAATTCATACAAATTGCAGACTGCAGCGTTCTGAGAAACATCTTTGTGATGTTTGTATTCAGGACACAGAGTTGAACATTCCCTATCATAGAGCAGGTTGGAATCACTCCTTTTGTAGTATCTGGAAGTGGACATTTGGAGCGCTTTCAGGCCTATTTTGGAAAGGGAAATATCTTCCCGTAACAACTATGCAGAAGCATTCTCAGAAACTTGTTTGTGATGTGTGCCCTCTACTGACAGAGTTGAACCTTTCTTTTCATAGAGCAGTTTTGAAACACTCTTTTTGTAGAATCTGCAAGAGGATATTTGCATAGCTTTGAGGATTTCGTGGGAAACGGGATTGTCTTCAGGTAAAATCTAGACAGAAGCATTCTCAGAAACTTCTTTGGGATGTTTGCATTCAAGTCACAGAGCAGAACATTCCCTTTGGTAGAGCAGGTTTGAAACACTCTTTTTGTAGTATCTGGAAGTGGACATTTGGAGCGCTTTCAGGCCTATGTTGGAAAGGGAAATATCTTCCCGTAACAACTAGGCAGAAGCATTCTCAGAAACTTATTTGAGATGTGTGTACTCAACTAAGAGAATTGAACCACCGTTTTGAAGGAGCAGTTTTGAAACACTCTTTTTCTGGAATCTGCAAGAGGATATTTGCCTAGCTTTGAGGATTTCGTTGGAAACGGGATTGTCTTCAGATCAAATCTAGACAGAAGCATTCTCAGAAACTTCTTTGGGATGTTTGCATTCAAGTCACAGAGTAGAACATTCCCTTTGGTAGAGCAGGTTTGAAACACTCTTTTTTTAGTATATGGAAGTGGACATTTGGAGCGCTTTCAGGCCTATGTTGGAAAAGGAAATATCTTCCCATAACAACTAGACAGAAGCATTCTCAGAAACTAGTTTCTGATGTGTGTCCTCAACTAACACAGTTGAACATTTCTTTAGACAGAACAGTTTTGAAACACTCTTTTTGTGGAATCTGCAAGTGGCTATTTGGCTAGATTTGAGGATTTCGTTGGAAACGGGATTACATATAAAAAGCAGACAGCAGCATTCTCAGAAAGTTCTTTGGGATGATTGCATTCAAGTCACAGAATTGAACATTCCCTTTCACAGAGCAGGTTTGAAACACTCTTTTTGTAGTGTGTGTAAGTGGACATTTGGAGCACTTTCCGGCCTAAGGTGAAAAAGGAAATATCTTCCCATAAAAACTAGACAGAAGCATTCTCAGAAACTTACTCGTGATGTGTGTCCTCAACTAAAGGAGTAGAACCTTTCTTTTCATAGAGAAGTTTTGAAACGCTCTTTTTGTGGAATCTGCAAGTGGATATTTGGCTAGTTTTGAGGATTTCGTTGGAAGCGGGAATTCATACAAATTGCAGACTGCAGCATTCTCAGAAACTTGTTTATGCTGTATCTACTCAACTAACAAAGTTGAACCTTTCTTTTGATAGAGCAGTTTTGAAATGCTCTTTTTGTGGAATCTGCAAGTGGATATTTGGCTAGTTTTGAGGATTTCGCTGGAAGCGGGAATTCATACAAATTGCAGACTGCAGCGTTCTGAGAAACATCTTTGTGATGTTTGCATTCAGGACAGAGAGTTGAACATTCCCTATCATAGAGCAGGTTGGAATCACTCCTTTTGTAGTATCTGGAAGTGGACATTTGGAGCGCTTTCTGGCCTATGTTGAAAAAGGAAATATCTTCCCATAACAACTAGACACAAGCATTCTCAGAAACTTGTTTGTGATGTGTGCCCTCTACTGACAGAGTTGAACCTTTCTTTTCATAGAGCAGTTTTGAAACACTCTTTTTGTAGAATCCGCAAGAGGATATTTGCATAGCTTTGAGGATTTCGTGGGAAACGGGATTGTCTTCAGGTAAAATCTAGACAGAAGCATTCTCAGAAACTTCTTTGGGATGTTTGCATTCAAGTCACAGAGTAGAACATTCCCTTTGGTAGAGCAGGTTTGAAACACTCTTTTTGTAGTATCTGGAAGTGGACATTTGGAGCGCTTTCAGGCCCATGTTGGAAAGGGAAATATCTTCCCGTAACAACTAGGCAGAAGCATTCTCAGAAACTTATTTGAGATGTGTGTACTCAACTAAGAGAATTGAACCACCGTTTTGAAGGAGCAGTTTTGAAACACTCTTTTTCTGGAATCTGCAAGAGTATATTTGCCTAGCCTTGAGGATTTCGTTGGAAACGGGATTGTCTTCAGAGAAAATCTAGACAGAAGCATTCTCAGAAACTTCTTTGGGATGTTTGCATTCAAGTCACAGAGTAGAACATTCCCTTTGGTAGAGCAGGTTTGAAACACTCTTTTTTTAGTATATGGAAGTGGACATTTGGAGCGCTTTCAGGCCTACGTTGGAAAAGGAAATATCTTCCCATAACAACTAGACAGAAGCATTCTCAGAAACTAGTTTCTGATGTGTGTCCTCAACTAACACAGTTGAACATTTCTTTAGACAGAACAGTTTTGAAACACTCTTTTTGTGGAATCTGCAAGTGGCTATTTGGCTAGATTTGAGGATTTCGTTGGAAACGGGATTACATATAAAAAGCAGTCAGCAGCATTCTCAGAAAGTTCTTTGTGATGATTGCATTCAAGTCACAGAATTGAACATTCCCTTTCACAGAGCAGGTTTGAAACACTCTTTTTGTAGTGTGTGTAAGTGGACATTTGGAGCACTTACCGGCCTAAGGTGAAAAAGGAAATAATCTTCCCATAAAAACTAGACAGAAGCATTCTCAGAAACTTACTCGTGATGTGTGTCCTCAACTAAAGGAGTAGAACCTTTCTTTTCATAGAGAAGTTTTGAAACGCTCTTTTTGTGGAATCTGCAAGTGGATATTTGGCTAGTTTTGAGGATTTCGTTGGAAGCGGGAATTCATACAAATTGCAGACTGCAGCGTTCTGAGAAACTGCTTTCTGATGTTTGCATTCAAGTCAAAAGTTGAACACTCCCTTTCATAGAGCAGTCCTGAAACACTCCTTTTGTAGTATCTGGAACTGGACTTTTGGAGCGCTTTCAGGGCTAAGGTGAAAAAGGAAATATCTTCCCATAAAAACTGGACAGAAGCATTCTCAGAAACTTGTTTATGCTGTATCTACTCAACTAACAAAGTTGAACCTTTCTTTTGATAGAGCAGTTTTGAAATGCTCTTTTTGTGGAATCTGCAAGTGGATATTTGGCTAGTTTTGAGGATTTCGTTGGAAGCGGGAATTCATACAAATTGCAGACTGCAGCGTTCTGAGAAACATCTTTGTGATGTTTGTATTCAGGACAGAGAGTTGAACATTCCCTATCATAGAGCAGGTTGGAATCACTCCTTTTGTAGTATCTGGAAGTGGACATTTGGAGCGCTTTCAGGCCTATGTTGAAAAAGGAAATATCTTCCCATAACAACTAGACACAAGCATTCTCAGAAACTTGTTTGTGATGTGTGCCCTCTACCGACAGAGTTGAACCTTTCTTTTCATAGAGCAGTTTTGAAACACTCTTTTTGTAGAATCTGCAAGAGGATATTTGCATAGCTTTGAGGATTTCGTGGGAAACGGGATTGTCTTCAGGTAAAATCTAGACAGAAGCATTCTCAGAAACTTCTTTGGGATGTTTGCATTCAAGTCACAGAGTAGAACATTCCCTTTGGTAGAGCTGGTTTCAAACACTCTTTTTGTAGTATCTGGAAGTGGACATTTTTAGGGCTTTCAGGCCCATGTTGGAAAGGGAAATATCTTCCCGTAACAACTAGGCAGAAGCATTCTCAGAAACTTATTTGAGATGTGTATACTCAACTAAGAGAATTGAACCACTGTTTTGAAGGAGCAGTTTTGAAACACTCTTTTTCTGGAATCTGCAAGAGGATATTTGCCTAGCCTTGAGGATTTCGTTGGAAACGGGATTGTCTTCAGATCAAATCTAGACAGAAGCATTCTCAGAAACTTCTTTGGGATGTTTGCATTCAAGTCACAGAGTAGAACATTCCCTTTGGTAGAGCAGGTTTGAAACACTCTTTTTTTAGTATATGGAAGTGGACATTTGGAGCGCTTTCAGGCCTACGTTGGAAAAGGAAATATCTTCCCATAACAACTAGACAGAAGCATTCTCAGAAACTAGTTTCTGACGTGTGTCCTCAACTAACACAGTTGTACATTTCTTTAGACAGAACAGTTTTGAAACACTCTTTTTGTGGAATCTGCAAGTGGATATTGGGCTAGATTTGAGGATTTCGTTGGAAACGGGATTACATATAAAAAGCAGTCAGCAGCATTCTCAGAAAGTTCTTTGTGATGATTGCATTCAAGTCACAGAATTGAACATTCCCTTTCACAGAGCAGGTTTGAAACACTCTTTTTGTAGTGTGTGTAAGTGGACATTTGGAGCGCTTTCCGGCCTAAGGTGAAAAAGGACATATCTTCCCATAAAAACTAGACAGAAGCATTCTCAGAAACTTACTCGTGATGTGTGTCCTCAACTAAAGGAGTAGAACCTTTCTTTTCATAGAGAAGTTTTGAAACGCTCTTTTTGTGGAATCTGCAAGTGGATATTTGGCTAGTTTTGAGGATTTCGTTGGAAGCGGGAATTCATACAAATTGCAGACTGCAGCGTTCTGAGAAACATCTTTGTGATGTTTGTATTCAGGACACAGAGTTGAACATTCCCTATCATAGAGCAGGTTGGAATCACTCCTTTTGTAGTATCTGGAAGTGGACATTTGGAGCGCTTTCAGGCCTATGTTGGAAAAGGAAATATCTTCCCATAACAACTAGACAGAAGCATTCTCAGAAACTTATTTGAGATGTGTGTACTCAACTAAGAGAATTGAACCACCGTTTTGAAGGAGCAGTTTTGAAACTCTCTTTTTCTGGAATCTGCAAGTGGATATTTGGCTAGCTTTGGGGATTTCGCTGGAAGCGGGAATACATATAAAAAGCACACAGCAGCGTTCTGAGAAACTGCTTTCTGATGTTTGCATTCAAGTCAAAAGTTGAACACTCCCTTTCATAGAGCAGTCTTGAAACACCCCTTTTGTAGTATCTGGAACTGGACTTTTGGAGCGATTTCAGGGCTAAGGTGAAAAAGGAAATATCTTCCCATAAAAACTGGACAGAAGCATTCTCAGAAACTTGGTTATGCTGTATCTACTCAACTAACAAAGTTGAACCTTTCTTTTGATAGAGCAGTTTTGAAATGGTCTTTTTGTGGAATCTGCAAGTGGATATTTGGCTAGTTTTGAGGATTTCGTTGGAAGCGGGAATTCATACAAATTGCAGACTGCAGCGTTCTGAGAAACATCTTTGTGATGTTTGTATTCAGGACACAGAGTTGAACATTCCCTATCATAGAGCAGGTTGGAATCACTCCTTTTGTAGTATCTGGAAGTGGACATTTGGAGCGCTTTCAGGCCTATTTTGGAAAGGGAAATATCTTCCCGTAACAACTATGCAGAAGCATTCTCAGAAACTTGTTTGTGATGTGTGCCCTCTACTGACAGAGTTGAACCTTTCTTTTCATAGAGCAGTTTTGAAACACTCTTTTTGTAGAATCTGCAAGAGGATATTTGCATAGCTTTGAGGATTTCGTGGGAAACGGGATTGTCTTCTGGTAAAATCTAGACAGAAGCATTCTCAGAAACTTCTTTGGGATGTTTGCATTCAAGTCACAGAGTAGAACATTCCCTTTGGTAGAGCAGGTTTGAAACACTCTTTTTGTAGTATCTGGAAGTGGACATTTGGAGCGCTTTCAGGCCCATGTTGGAAAGGGAAATATCTTCCCGTAACAACTAGGCAGAAGCATTCTCAGAAACTTATTTGAGATGTGTGTACTCAACTAAGAGAATTGAACCACCGTTTTGAAGGAGCAGTTTTGAAACACTCTTTTTCTGGAATCTGCAAGAGTATATTTGCCTAGCCTTGAGGATTTCGTTGGAAACGGGATTGTCTTCAGAGAAAATCTAGACAGAAGCATTCTCAGAAACTTCTTTGGGATGTTTGCATTCAAGTCACAGAGTAGAACATTCCCTTTGGTAGAGCAGGTTTGAAACACTCTTTTTTTAGTATATGGAAGTGGACATTTGGAGCACTTTCAGGCCTACGTTGGAAAAGGAAATATCTTCCCATAACAACTAGACAGAGAGCATTCTCAGAAACTAGTTTCTGATGTGTGTCCTCAACTACCACAGTTGTACATTTCTTTACACAGAACAGTTTTGAAACACTCTTTTTGTGGAATCTGCAAGTGGATATTGGGGTAGATTTGAGGATTTCGTTGGAAACGGGATTACATATAAAAAGCAGACAGCAGCATTCTCAGAAAGTTCTTTGTGATGATTGCATTCAAGTCACAGAATTGAACATTCCCTTTCACAGAGCAGGTTTGAAACACTCTTTTTGTAGTGTGTGTAAGTGGACATTTGGAGCGCTTTCCGGCCTAAGGTGAAAAAGGACATATCTTCCCATAAAAACTAGACAGAAGCATTCTCAGAAACTTACTCGTGATGTGTGTCCTCAACTAAAGGAGTAGAACCTTTCTTTTCATAGAGAAGTTTTGAAACGCTCTTTTTGTGGAATCTGCAAGTGGATATTTGGCTAGTTTTGAGGATTTCGTTGGAAGCGGGAATTCATACAAATTGCAGACTGCAGCGTTCTGAGAAACTTCTTTCTGATGTTCGCATTCAAGTCAAAAGTTGAACACTCCCTTTCGTAGAGCAGTCTTGAAACTCCCCTTTTGTGGTATCTGGAAGTGGACATTTGGAGTGCTTTCAGGGCTAAGGTGAAAAAGGAAATATCTTCCCATAAAAACTGGACAGAAGCATTCTCAGAAACTTGTTTATGCTGTATCTACTCAGCTAACAAAGTTGAACCTTTCTTTTGATAGAGCAGTTTTGAAATGCTCTTTTTGTGGAGTCTGCAAGTGGATATTTGGCTAGTTTTGAGGATTTCGTTGGAAGCGGGAATTCATACAAATTGCAGACTGCAGCGTTCTGAGAAACATCTTTGTGATGTTTGTATTCAGGACACAGAGTTGAACATTCCCTATCATAGAGCAGGTTGGAATCACTCCTTTTGTAGTATCTGGAAGTGGCCATTTCGAGCGCTTTCAGGCCTATGTTGAAAAAGGAAATATCTTCCCATAACAAGTAGACACAAGCATTCTCAGAAACTTGTTTGTGATGTGTGCCCTCTACTGACAGAGTTGAACCTTTCTTTTCATAGAGCAGTTTTGAAACACTCTTTTTTTAGGATCTGCAAGAGGATATTTGCATAGCTTTGAGGATTTCGTGGGAAACGGGATTGTCTTCAGGTAAAATCTAGACAGAAGCATTCTCAGAAACTTCTTTGGGATGTTTGCATTCACGTCACAGAGTAGAACATTCCCTTTGGTAGAGCAGGTTTGAAACACTCTTTTTGTAGTATCTGGAAGTGGACATTTTGAGCGCTTTCAGGCCCATGTTGGAAAGGGAAATATCTTCCCGTAACAACTAGGCAGAAGCATTCTCAGAAACTTATTTGAGATGTGTGTACTCAACTAAGAGAATTGAACCACCGTTTTGAAGGAGCAGTTTTGAAACACTCTTTTTCTGGAATCTGCAAGAGTATATTTGCCTAGCCTTGAGGATTTCGTTGGAAACGGGATTGTCTTCAGATCAAATCTAGACAGAAGCATTCTCAGAAACTTCTTTGGGATGTTTGCATTCATGTCACAGAGTAGAACATTCCCTTTGGTAGAGCAGGTTTGAAACACTCTTTTTTAAGTATATGGAAGTGGACATTTGGAGCGCTTTCAGGCCTACGTTGGAAAAGGAAATATCTTCCCATAACAACTAGACAGAAGCATTCTCAGAAACTAGTTTCTGATGTGTGTCCTCAACTAACACAGTTGAACATTTCTTTAGACAGAACAGTTTTGAAACACTCTCTTTGTGGAATCTGCAAGTGGATATTTGGCTAGATTTGAGGATTTCGATGGAAACGGGATTACATATAAAAAGCAGACAGCAGCATTCTCAGAAACTTCTTTGTGATGATTGCATTCAAGTCACAGAATTGAACATTCCCTTTCACAGAGCAGGTTTGAAACACTCTTTTTGTAGTGTGTGTAAGTGGACATTTGGAGCGCTTTCCGGCCTAAGGTGAACAAGGAAATATCTTCCCATAAAAACTAGACAGAAGCATTCTCAGAAACTTACTCGTGATGTGTGTCCTCAACTAAAGGAGTAGAACCTTTCTTTTCATAGAGAAGTTTTGAAACGCTCTTTTTGTGGAATCTGCAAGTGGATATTTGGCTAGTTTTGAGGATTTCGTTGGAAGCGGGAATTCATACAAATTGCAGACTGCAGCGTTCTGAGAAACATCTTTGTGATGTTTGTATTCAGGACACAGAGTTGAACGTTCCCTATCATAGAGCAGGTTTGAATCACTCCTTTTGTAGTATCTGGAAGTGGACATTTGGAGCGCTTTCCGGCCTCAGGTGAAAAAGGAAATATCTTCCCATAAAAACTAGACAGAAGCATTCTCAGAAACTTATTTGAGATGTGTGTACTCAACTAAGAGAATTGAACCACCGTTTTGAAGGAGCAGTTTTGAAACACTCTTTTTCTGGAATCTGCAATTGGATATTTGGCTAGCTTTGGGGATTTCGCTGGAAGCGGGAATACATATAAAAAGCACACAGCAGCGTTCTGAGAAACTGCTTTCTGATGTTTGCATTCAAGTCAAAAGTTGAACACTCCCTTTCATAGAGCAGTCTTGAAACACCCCTTTTGTAGTATCTGGAACTGGACATTTGGAGCGCTTTCAGGGCTAAGGTGAAAAAGGAAATATCTTCCCATAAAAACTGGACAGAAGCATTCTCAGAAACTTGTTTATGCTGTATCTACTCAACTAACAAAGTTGAACCTTTCTTTTGATAGAGCAGTTTTGAAATGGTCTTTTTGTGGAATCTGCAAGTGGATATTTGGCTAGTTTTGAGGATTTCGTTGGAAGCGGGAATTCATACAAATTGCAGACTGCAGCGTTCTGAGAAACATCTTTGTGATGTTTGTATTCAGGACACAGAGTTGAACATTCCCTATCATAGAGCAGGTTGGAATCACTCCTTTTGTAGTATCTGGAAGTGGACATTTGGAGCGCTTTCAGGCCTATGTTGAAAAAGGAAATATCTTCCCATAACAACTAGACACAAGCATTCTCAGAAACTTGTTTGTGATGTGTGCCCTCTACTGACAGAGTTGAACCTTTCTTTTCATAGAGCAGTTTTGAAACACTCTTTTTGTAGAATCTGCAAGAGGATATTTGCATAGCTTTGAGGATTTCGTGGGAAACGGGATTGTCTTCAGGTAAAATCTAGACAGAAGCATTCTCAGAAACTTCTTTGGGATGTTTGCATTCAAGTCACAGAGTAGAACATTCCCTTTGGTAGAGCAGGTTTGAAACACTCTTTTTGTAGTATCTGGAAGTGGACATTTGGAGCGCTTTCAGGCCCATGTTGGAAAGGGAAATATCTTCCCGTAACAACTAGGCAGAAGCATTCTCAGAAACTTATTTGAGATGTGTGTACTCAACTAAGAGAATTGAACCACCGTTTTGAAGGAGCAGTTTTGAAACACTCTTTTTCTGGAATCTGCAAGAGTATATTTGCCTAGCCTTGAGGATTTCGTTGGAAACGGGATTGTCTTCAGAGAAAATCTAGACAGAAGCATTCTCAGAAACTTCTTTGGGATGTTTGCATTCATGTCACAGAGTAGAACATTCCCTTTGGTAGAGCAGGTTTGAAACACTCTTTTTTTAGTATATGGAAGTGGACATTTGGAGCGCTTTCAGGCCTACGTTGGAAAAGGAAATATCTTCCCATAACAACTAGACAGAAGCATTCTCAGAAACTAGTTTCTGATGTGTGTCCTCAACTAACACAGTTGAACATTTCTTTAGACAGAACAGTTTTGAAACACTCTTTTTGTGGAATCTGCAAGTGGCTATTTGGCTAGATTTGAGGATTTCGTTGGAAACGGGATTACATATAAAAAGCAGACAGCAGCATTCTCAGAAAGTTCTTTGTGATGATTGCATTCAAGTCACAGAATTGAACATTCCCTTTCACAGAGCAGGTTTGAAACACTCTTTTTGTAGTGTGTGTAAGTGGTCATTTGGAGCACTTTCCGGCCTAAGGTGAAAAAGGAAATATCTTCCCATAAAAACTAGACAGAAGCACTCTCAGAAACTTACTCGTGATGTGTGTCCTCAACTAAAGGAGTAGAACCTTTGTTTTCATAGAGAAGTTTTGAAACGCTCTTTTTGTGGAATCTGCAAGTGGATATTTGGCTAGTTTGGAGGATTTCGTTGGAAGCGGGAATTCATACAAATTGCAGACTGCAGCGTTCTGAGAAACATCTTTGTGATGTTTGTATTCAGGACACAGAGTTGAACATTCCCTATCATAGAGCAGGTTGGAATCACTCCTTTTGTAGTATCTGGAAGTGGACATTTGGAGCGCTTTCAGGCCTATGTTGGAAAAGGAAATATCTTCCCATAACAACTAGACAGAAGCATTCTCAGAAACTTATTTGAGATGTGTGTACTCAACTAAGAGAATTGAACCACCGTTTTGAAGGAGCAGTTTTGAAACACTCTTTTTCTGGAATCTGCAAGTGGATATTTGGCTAGCTTTGGGGATTTCGCTGGAAGCGGGAATACATATAAAAAGCACACAGCAGCGTTCTGAGAAACTGCTTTCTGATGTTTGCATTCAAGTCAAAAGTTGAACACTCCCTTTCATAGAGCAGTCTTGAAACACCCCTTTTGTAGTATCTGGAACTGGACTTTTGGAGCGATTTCAGGGCTAAGGTGAAAAAGGAAATATCTTCCCATAAAAACTGGACAGAAGCATTCTCAGAAACTTGTTTATGCTGTATCTACTCAACTAACAAAGTTGAACCTTTCTTTTGATAGAGCAGTTTTGAAATGGTCTTTTTGTGGAATCTGCAAGTGGATATTTGGCTAGTTTTGAGGATTTCGTTGGAAGCGGGAATTCATACAAATTGCAGACTGCAGCGTTCTGAGAAACATCTTTGTGATGTTTGTATTCAGGACACAGAGATGAACATTCCCTATCATAGAGCAGGTTGGAATCACTCCTTTTGTAGTATCTGGAAGTGGACATTTGGAGCGCTTTCAGGCCTATGTTGAAAAAGGAAATATCTTCCCATAACAACTAGACACAAGCATTCTCAGAAACTTGTTTGTGATGTGTGCCCTCTGCTGACAGAGTTGAACCTTTCTTTTCATAGAGCAGTTTTGAAACACTCTTTTTGTAGAATCTGCAAGAGGATATTTGCATAGCTTTGAGGATTTCGTGGGAAACGGGATTGTCTTCAGGTAAAATCTAGACAGAAGCATTCTCAGAAACTTCTTTGGGATGTTTGCATTCAAGTCACAGAGTAGAACATTCCCTTTGGTAGAGCAGGTTTGAAACCCTCTTTTTGTAGTATCTGGAAGTGGACATTTGGAGCGCTTTCAGGCCCATGTTGGAAAGGGAAATATCTTCCCGTAACAACTAGGCAGAAGCATTCTCAGAAACTTATTTGAGATGTGTGTACTCAACTAAGAGAATTGAACCACCGTTTTGAAGGAGCAGTTTTGAAACACTCTTTTTCTGGAATCTGCAAGAGTATATTTGCCTAGCCTTGAGGATTTCGTTGGAAACGGGATTGTCTTCAGATAAAATCTAGACAGAAGCATTCTCAGAAACTTCTTTGGGATGTTTGCATTCAAGTCACAGAGTAGAACATTCCCTTTGGTAGAGCAGTTTTGAAACACTCTTTTTTTAGTATATGGAAGTGGACATTTGGAGCGCTTTCAGGCCTACGTTGGAAAAGGAAATATCTTCCCATAACAACTAGACAGAAGCATTCTCAGAAACTAGTTTCTGATGTGTGTCCTCAACTAACACAGTTGAACATTTCTTTAGACAGAACAGTTTTGAAACTCTCTTTTTGTGGAATCTGCAAGTGGCTATTTGGCTAGATTTGAGGATTTCGTTGGAAACGGGATTACATATAAAAAGCAGACAGCAGCATTCTCAGAACGTTCTTTGTGATGATTGCATTCAAGTCACAGAATTGAACATTCCCTTTCACAGAGCAGGTTTGAAACACTCTTTTTGTAGTGTGTGTAAGTGGACATTTGGAGCACTTTCCGGCCTAAGGTGAAAAAGGAAATATCTTCCCATAAAAACTAGACAGAAGCATTCTCAGAAACTTACTCGTGATGTGTGTCCTCAACTAAAGGAGTAGAACCTTTCTATTCATAGAGAAGTTTTGAAACGCTCTTTTTGTGGAATCTCCAAGTGGATATTTGGCTAGTCTTGAGGATTTCGTTGGAAGCGGGAATTCATACAAATTGCAGACTGGCCAGCGTTCTGAGAACATCTTTGTGATGTTTGTATTCAGGACACAGAGTTGAACATTCCCTATCATAGAGCAGGTTGGAATCACTCCTTTTGTAGTATCTGGAAGTGGACATTTGGAGCGCTTTCAGGCCTATGTTGGAAAAGGAAATATCTTCCCATAACAACTAGACAGAGCATTCTCAGAAACTTATTTGAGATGTGTGTACTCAACTAAGAGAATTGAACCACCGTTTTGAAGGAGCAGTTTTGAAACTCTCTTTTTCTGGAATCTGCAAGTGGATATTTGGCTAGCTTTGGGGATTTCGCTGGAAGCGGGAATACATATAAAAAGCACACAGCAGCGTTCTGAGAAACTGCTTTCTGATGTTTGCATTCAAGTCAAAAGTTGAACACTCCCTTTCATAGAGCAGTCTTGAAACACCCCTTTTGTAGTATCTGGAACTGGACTTTTGGAGCGATTTCAGGGCTAAGGTGAAAAAGGAAATATCTTCCCATAAAAACTGGACAGAAGCATTCTCAGAAACTTGTTTATGCTGTATCTACTCAACTAACAAAGTTGAACCTTTCTTTTGATAGAGCAGTTTTGAAATGGTCTTTTTGTGGAATCTGCAAGTGGATATTTGGCTAGTTTTGAGGATTTCGTTGGAAGCGGGAATTCATACAAATTGCAGACTGCAGCGTTCTGAGAAACATCTTTGTGATGTTTGTATTCAGGACACAGAGTTGAACATTCCCTATCATAGAGCAGGTTGGAATCACTCCTTTTGTAGTATCTGGAAGTGGACATTTGGAGCGCTTTCAGGCCTATTTTGGAAAGGGAAATATCTTCCCGTAACAACTATGCAGAAGCATTCTCAGAAACTTGTTTGTGATGTGTGCCCTCTGCTGACAGAGTTGAACCTTTCTTTTCATAGAGCAGTTTTGAAACACTCTTTTTGTAGAATCTGCAAGAGGATATTTGCATAGCTTTGAGGATTTCGTGGGAAACGGGATTGTCTTCAGCTAAAATCTAGACAGAAGCATTCTCAGAAACTTCTTTGTGATGTTTGCATTCAAGTCACAGAGTAGAACATTCCCTTTGGTATAGCAGGTTTGAAACCCTCTTTTTGTACTATCTGGAAGTGGACATTTGGAGCGCTATCAGGCCCATGTTGGAAAGGGAAATATCTTCCCGTAACAACTAGGCAGAAGCATTCTCAGAAGCTTATTTGAGATGTGTGTACTCAACTAAGAGAATTGAACCACCGTTTTGAAGGAGCAGTTTTGAAACACTCTTTTTCTGGAATCTGCAAGAGTATATTTGCCTAGCCTTGAGGATTTCGTTGGAAACGGGATTGTCTTCAGATAAAATCTAGACAGAAGCATTCTCAGAAACTTCTTTGGGATGTTTGCATTCAAGTCACAGAGTAGAACATTCCTTTGGTAGAGCAGGTTTGAAACACTCTTTTTTTAGTATATGGAAGTGGACATTTGGAGCGCTTTCAGGCCTACGTTGGAAAAGGAAATATCTTCCCATAACAACTAGACAGAAGCATTCTCAGAAACTAGTTTCTGATGTGTGTCCTCAACTAACACAGTTGAACATTTCTTTAGACAGAACAGTTTTGAAACACTCTTTTTGTGGAATCTGCAAGTGGATATTTGGCTAGATTTGAGGATTTCGTTGGAAACGGGATTACATTTAAAAAGCAGACAGCAGCATTCTCAGAAACTTCTTTGTGATGATTGCATTCAAGTCACAGAATTGAACATTCCCTTTCACAGAGCAGGTTTGAAACACTCTTTTTGTAGTGTGTGTAAGTGGACATTTGGAGCGCTTTCCGGCCTAAGGTGAACAAGGAAATATCTTCCCATAAAAACTAGACAGAAGCATTCTCAGAAACTTACTCGTGATGTGTGTCCCCAACTAAAAGAGTAGAACCTTTCTTTTCATAGAGAAGTTTTGAAACGCTCTTTATGTGGAATCTGCAAGTGGATATTTGGCTAGTTTTGAGGATTTCGTTGGAAGCGGGAATTCATACAAATTGCAGACTGCAGCGTTCTGAGAAACATCTTTGTGATGTTTGTATTCAGGACACAGAGTTGAACATTCCCTATCATAGAGCAGGTTTGAATCACTCCTTTTCTAGTATCTGGAAGTGGACATTTGGAGCGCTTTCCGGCCTCAGGTGAAAAAGGAAATATCTTCCCATAACAACTAGACAGAAGCATTCTCAGAAACTTATTTGAGATGTGTGTAATCAACTAAGAGAATTGAACCACCGTTTTGAAGGAGCAGTTTTGAAACTCTCTTTTTCTGGAATCTGCAAGTGGATATTTGGCTAGCTTTGGGGATTTCGCTGGAAGCGGGAATACATATAAAAAGCACACAGCAGCGTTCTGAGAAACTGCTTTCTGATGTTTGCATTCAAGTCAAAAGTTGAACACTCCCTTTCATAGAGCAGTCTTGAAACACCCCTTTTGTAGTATCTGGAACTGGACTTTTGGAGCGATTTCAGGGCTAAGGTGAAAAAGGAAATATCTTCCCATAAAAACTGGACAGAAGCATTCTCAGAAACTTGTTTATGCTGTATCTACTCAACTAACAAAGTTGAACCTTTCTTTTGATAGAGCAGTTTTGAAATGGTCTTTTTGTGGAATCTGCAAGTGGATATTTGGCTAGTTTTGAGGATTTCGTTGGAAGCGGGAATTCATACAAATTGCAGACTGCAGCGTTCTGAGAAACATCTTTGTGATGTTTGTATTCAGGACACAGAGTTGAACATTCCCTATCATAGAGCAGGTTGGAATCACTCCTTTTGTAGTATCTGGAAGTGGACATTTGGAGCGCTTTCAGGCCTATGTTGGAAAAGGAAATATCTTCCCATAACAACTAGACAGAAGCATTCTCAGAAACTTGTTGGTGATGTGTTTCCTCTACTGACAGAGTTGAACCTTTCTTTTCATAGAGCAGTTTCGAAACACTCTTTTTGTAGAATCTGCAAGAGGATATTTGCATAGCTCTGAGGATTTCGTGGGAAACGGGATTGTCTTCAGGTAAAATCTAGACAGAAGCATTCTCAGAAACTTCTTCGGGATGTTTGCATTCAAGTCACAGAGTAGAACATTCCCTTCGGTAGAGCAGGTTTGAAACACTCTTTTTGTAGTATCTGGAAGTGGACATTTGTTGCGCTTTCAGGCCTATTTTGGAAAGGGAAATATCTTCCCGTAACAACTAGGCAGAAGCATTCTCAGAAACTTATTTGAGATGTGTGTACTCAACTAAGAGAATTGAACCACCGTTTTGAAGGACCAGTTTTGAAACACTCTTTTTCTGGAATCTGCTAGAGTATATTTGCCTAGCTTTGAGGATTTCATTGGAAACGGGATTGTCTTCAGCTAAAATCTAGACAGAAGCATTCTCAGAAACTTCTTTGGGATGTTTGCATTCAAGTCACAGAGTAGAACATTCCCTTTGGTAGAGCAGGTTTGAAACACTCTTTTTTTAGTATATGGAAGTGGACATTTGGAGCGCTTTCAGGCCTACGTTGGAAAAGGAAATATCTTCCCATAACAACTAGACAGAAGCATTCTCAGAAACTAGTTTCTGATGTGTGTCCTCAACTAACACAGTTGAACATTTCTTTAGACAGAACAGTTTTGAAACTCTCTTTTTGTGGAATCTGCAAGTGGCTATTTGGCTAGATTTGAGGATTTCGTTGGAAACGGGATTACATATAAAAAGCAGACAGCAGCATTCTCAGAAAGTTCTTTGTGATGATTGCATTCAAGTCAAAGAATTGAACATTCCCTTTCACAGAGCAGGTTTGAAACACTCTTTTTATAGTGTGTGTAAGTGGACATTTGGAGCACTTTCCGGCCTAAGGTGAAAAAGGAAATATCTTCCCATAAAAACTAGACAGAAGCATTCTCAGAAACTTACTCGTGATGTGTGTCCTCAACTAAAGGAGTAGAACCTTTGTTTTCATAGAGAAGTTTTGAAACGCTCTTTTTGTGGAATCTGCAAGTGGATATTTGGCTAGTTTGGAGGATTTCGTTGGAAGCGGGAATTCATACAAATTGCAGACTGCAGCGTTCTGAGAAACATCTTTGTGATGTTTGTATTCAGGACACAGAGTTGAACATTCCCTATCATAGAGCAGGTTGGAATCACTCCTTTTGTGGTATCTGGAAGTGGACATTTGGAGCGCTTTCAGGCCTATGTTGGAAAAGGAAATATCTTCCCATAACAACTAGACAGAAGCATTCTCAGAAACTTGTTTGTGATGTGTGCCCTCTACTGACAGAGTTGAACCTTTCTTTTCATAGAGCAGTTTTGAAACACTCTTTTTGTAGAATCTGCAAGAGGATATTTGCATAGCTTTGAGGATTTCGTGGGAAACGGGATTGTCTTCAGGTAAAATCTAGACAGAAGCATTCTCAGAAACTTCTTTGGGATGTTTGCATTCAAGTCACAGAGTAGAACATTCCCTTTGGTAGAGCAGGTTTGAAACACTCTTTTTGTAGTATCTGGAAGTGGACATTTGGAGCGCTTTCAGGCCCATGTTGGAAAGGGAAATATCTTCCCGTAACAACTAGGCAGAAGCATTCTCAGAAACTTATTTGAGATGTGTGTACTCAACTAAGAGAATTGAACCACTGTTTTGAAGGAGCAGTTTTGAAACACTCTTTTTCTGGAATCTGCAAGAGTATATTTGCCTAGCCTTGAGGATTTCGTTGGAAACGGGATTGTCTTCAGAGAAAATCTAGACAGAAGCATTCTCAGAAACTTCTTTGGGATGTTTGCATTCAAGTCACAGAGTAGAACATTCCTTTGGTAGAGCAGGTTTGAAACACTCTTTTTTTAGTATATGGAAGTGGACATTTGGAGCGCTTTCAGGCCTACGTTGGAAAAGGAAATATCTTCCCATAACAACTAGACAGAAAGCATTCTCAGAAACTAGTTTCTGATGTGTGTCCTCAACTAACACAGTTGAACATTTCTTTAGACAGAACAGTTTTGAAACACTCTTTTTGTGGAATCTGCAAGTGGATATTTGGCTAGATTTGAGGATTTCGTTGGAAACGGGATTACATATAAAAAGCAGACAGCAGCATTCTCAGAAACTTCTTTGTGATGATTGCATTCAAGTCACAGAATTGAACATTCCCTTTCACAGAGCAGGTTTGAAACACTCTTTTTGTAGTGTGTGTAAGTGGACATTTGGAGCGCTTTGCGGCCTAAGGTGAACAAGGAAATATCTTCCCATAAAAACTAGACAGAAGCATTCTCAGAAACTTACTCGTGATGTGTGTCCTCAACTAAAGGAGTAGAACCTTTCTTTTCATAGAGAAGTTTTGAAACGCTCTTTTTGTGGAATCTGCAAGTGGATATTTGGCTAGTTTGGAGGATTTCGTTGGAAGCGGGAATTCATACAAGATGCAGACTGCAGCGTTCTGAGAAACATCTTTGTGATGTTTGTATTCAGGACACAGAGTTGAACATTCCCTATCATAGAGCAGGTTTGAATCACTCCTTTTGTAGTATCTGGAAGTGGACATTTGGAGCGCTTTCAGGCCTATGTTGGAAAAGGAAATATCTTCCCATAACAACTAGACAGAAGCATTCTCAGAAACTTATTTGAGATGTGTGTACTCAACTAAGAGAATTGAACCACCGTTTTGAAGGAGCAGTTTTGAAACACTCTTTTTCTGGAATCTGCAAGTGGATATTTGGCTAGCTTTGGGGATTTCGCTGGAAGCGGGAATACATATAAAAAGCACACAGCAGCGTTCTGAGAAACTGCTTTCTGATGTTTGCATTCAAGTCAAAAGTTGAACACTCCCTTTCATAGAGCAGTCTTGAAACACCCCTTTTGTAGTATCTGGAACTGGACTTTTGGAGCGATTTCAGGGCTAAGGTGAAAAAGGAAATATCTTCCCATAAAAACTGGACAGAAGCATTCTCAGAAACTTGTTTATGCTGTATCTACTCAACTAACAAAGTTGAACCTTTCTTTTGATAGAGCAGTTTTGAAATGCTCTTTTTGTGGAATCTGCAAGTGGATATTTGGCTAGTTTTGAGGATTTCGTTGGAAGCGGGAATTCATACAAATTGCAGACTGCAGCGTTCTGAGAAACATCTTTGTGATGTTTGTATTCAGGACACAGAGTTGAACATTCCCTATCATAGAGCAGGTTGGAATCACTCCTTTTGTAGTATCTGGAAGTGGACATTTGGAGCGCTTTCAGGCCTATGTTGAAAAAGGAAATGTCTTCCCATAACAACTAGACACAAGTATTCTCAGAAACTTGTTTGTGATGTGTGCCCTCTACTGACAGAGTTGAACCTTTCTTTTCATAGAGCAGTTTTGAAACACTCTTTTTGTAGAATCTGCAAGAGGATATTTGCATAGCTTTGAGGATTTCGTGGGAAACGGGATTGTCTTCAGGTAAAATCTAGACAGAAGCATTCTCAGAAACTTCTTTGGGATGTTTGCATTCAAGTCACAGAGTAGAACATTCCCTTTGGTAGAGCAGGTTTCAAACACTCTTTTTGTAGTATCTGGAAGTGGACATTTGAAGCGCTTTCAGGCCTATGTTGGAAAGGGAAATATCTTCCCGTAACAACTAGGCAGAAGCATTCTCAGAAACTTATTTGAGATGTGTGTACTCAACTAAGAGAATTGAACCACCGTTTTGAAGGAGCAGTTTCGAAACACTCTTTTTCTGGAATCTGCAAGAGGATATTTGCCTAGCCTTGAGGATTTCGTTGGAAACGGGATTGTCTTCAGATCAAATCTAGACAGAAGCATTCTCAGAAACTTCTTTGGGATGTTTGCATTCAAGTCACAGAGTAGAACATTCCCTTTGGTAGAGCAGGTTTGAAACACTCTTTTTTTAGTATATGGAAGTGGACATTTGGAGCGCTTTCAGGCCTACGTTGGAAAAGGAAATATCTTCCCATAACAACTAGACAGAAAGCATTCTCAGAAACTAGTTTCTGATGTGTGTCCTCAACTAACACAGTTCTACATTTCTTTAGACAGAACAGTTTTGAAACACTCTTTTTGTGGAATCTGCAAGTGGATATTTGGCTAGATTTGAGGATTTCGTTGGAAACGGGATTACATATAAAAAGCAGACAGCAGCATTCTCAGTAAAGTTCTTTGTGATGATTGTATTCAAGTCACAGAATTGAACATTCCCTTTCATAGAGCAGGTTTGAAACACTCTTTTTGTAGTGTGTGTAAGTGGACATTTGGAGCGCTTTCCGGCCTAAGGTGAAAAAGGACATATCTTCCCATAAAAACTAGACAGAAGCATTCTCAGAAACTTACTCGTGATGTGTGTCCTCAACTAAAGGAGTAGAACCTTTCTTTTCATAGAGAAGTTTTGAAACGCTCTTTTTGTGGAATCTGCAAGTGGATATTTGGCTAGTTTTGAGGATTTCGTTGGAAGCGGGAATTCATACAAATTGCAGACTGCAGCGTTCTGAGAAACATCTTTGTGATGTTTGTATTCAGGACACAGAGTTGAACATTCCCTATCATAGAGCAGGTTTGAATCACTCCTTTTGTAGTATCTGGAAGTGGACATTTGGAGCGCTTTCAGGCCTATGTTGGAAAAGGAAATATCTTCCCATAACAACTAGACAGAAGCATTCTCAGAAACTTATTTGAGATGTGTGTACTCAACTAAGAGAATTGAACCACCGTTTTGAAGGAGCAGTTTTGAAACTCTCTTTTTCTGGAATCTGCAAGTGGATATTTGGCTAGCTTTGGGGATTTCGCTGGAAGCGGGAATACATATAAAAAGCACACAGCAGCGTTCTGAGAAACTGCTTTCTGATGTTTGCATTCAAGTCAAAAGTTGAACACTCCCTTTCATAGAGCAGTCTTGAAACACCCCTTTTGTAGTATCTGGAACTGGACTTTTGGAGCGATTTCAGGGCTAAGGTGAAAAAGGAAATATCTTCCCATAAAAACTGGACAGAAGCATTCTCAGAAACTTGTTTATGCTGTATCTACTCAACTAACAAAGTTGAACCTTTCTTTTGATAGAGCAGTTTTGAAATGGTCTTTTTGTGGAATCTGCAAGTGGATATTTGGCTAGTTTTGAGGATTTCGTTGGAAGCGGGAATTCATACAAATTGCAGACTGCAGCGTTCTGAGAAACATCTTTGTGATGTTTGTATTCAGGACACAGAGTTGAACATTCCCTATCATAGAGCAGGTTGGAATCACTCCTTTTGTAGTATCTGGAAGTGGACATTTGGAGCGCTTTCAGGCCTATGTTGAAAAAGGAAATATCTTCCCATAACAACTAGACAGAAGCATTCTCAGAAACTTGTTTGTGATGTGTGCCCTCTACTGACACAGTTGAATCTTTCTTTTCATAGAGCAGTTTCGAAACACTCTTTTTGTAGAATCTGCAAGAGGATATTTGCATAGCTTTGAGGATTTCGTGGGAAACGGGATTGTCTTCAGGTAAAATCTAGACAGAAGCATTCTCAGAAACTTCTTTGGGATGTTTGCATTCAAGTCACAGAGTAGAACATTCCCTTTGGTAGAGCAGGTTTGAAACACTCTTTTTGTAGTGTGTGTAAGTGGACATTTGGAGCGCTTTCTGGCCTACGTTGGAAAAGGAAATATCTTCCCATAACAACTAGACAGAAGCATTCTCAGAAACTAGTTTCTGATGTGTGTCCTCAACTAACACAGTTGAACATTTCTTTAGACAGAACAGTTTTGAAACACTCTTTTTGTGGAATCTGCAAGTGGATATTTGGCTAGATTTGAGGATTTCGTTGGAAACGGGATTACATATAAAAAGCAGACAGCAGCATTCTCAGAAACTTCTTTGTGATGATTGCATTCAAGTCACAGAATTGAACATTCCCTTTCACAGAGCAGGTTTGAAACACTCTTTTTGTAGTGTGTGTAAGTGGACATTTGGAGCGCTTTCCGGCCTAAGGTGAACAAGGAAATATCTTCCCATAAAAACTAGACAGAAGCATTCTCAGAAACTTACTCGTGATGTGTGTCCTCAACTAAAGGAGTAGAACCTTTCTTTTCATAGAGAAGTTTTGAAACGCTCTTTTTGTGGAATCTGCAAGTGGATATTTGGCTAGTTTTGAGGATTTCGTTGGAAGCGGGAATTCATACAAGATGCAGACTGCAGCGTTCTGAGAAACATCTTTGTGATGTTTGTATTCAGGACACAGAGTTGAACATTCCCTATCATAGAGCAGGTTTGAATCACTCCTTTTGTAGTATCTGGAAGTGGACATTTGGAGCGCTTTCAGGCCTATGTTGGAAAAGGAAATATCTTCCCATAACAACTAGACAGAAGCTTTCCCAGAAACTTATTTGAGATGTGTGTACTCAACTAAGAGAATTGAACCACCGTTTTGAAGGAGCAGTTTGGAAACACTCTTTTTCTGGAATCTGCAAGTGGATATTTGGCTAGCTTTGGGGATTTCGCTGGAAGCGGGAATACATATAAATAGCACACAGCAGCGTTCTGAGAAACTGCTTTCTGATGTTTGCATTCAAGTCAAAAGTTGAACACTCCCTTTCATAGAGCAGTCCTGAAACACTCCTTTTGTAGTATCTGGAACTGGACTTTTGGAGCGCTTTCAGGGCTAAGGTGAAAAAGGAAATATCTTCCCATAAAAACTGGACAGAAGCATTCTCAGAAACTTGTTTATGCTGTATCTACTCAACTAACAAAGTTGAACCTTTCTTTTGATAGAGCAGTTTTGAAATGGTCTTTTTGTGGAATCTGCAAGTGGATATTTGGCTAGTTTTGAGGATTTCGTTGGAAGCGGGAATTCATACAAATTGCAGACTGCAGCGTTCTGAGAAACATCTTTGTGATGTTTGTATTCAGGACACAGAGTTGAACATTCCCTATCATAGAGCAGGTTGGAATCACTCCTTTTGTAGTATCTGGAAGTGGACATTTGGAGCGCTTTCAGGCCTATTTTGGAAAGGGAAATATCTTCCCGTAACAACTATGCAGAAGCATTCTCAGAAACTTGTTTGTGATGTGTGCCCTCTACTGACAGAGTTGAACCTTTCTTTTCATAGAGCAGTTTTGAAACACTCTTTTTGTAGAATCTGCAAGAGGATATTTGCATAGCTTTGAGGATTTCGTGGGAAACGGGATTGTCTTCAGGTAAAATCTAGACAGAAGCATTCTCAGAAACTTCTTCGGGATGTTTGCATTCAAGTCACAGAGTAGAACATTCCCTTTGGTAGAGCAGGTTTGAAACACTCTTTTTGTCGTATCTGGAAGTGGACATTTGTTGCGCTTTCAGGCCTATGTTGGAAAGGGAAATATCTTCCCGTAACAACTAGGCAGAAGCATTCTCAGAAACTTATTTGAGATGTGTGTGCTCAACTAAGAGAATTGAACCACCGTTTTGAAGGAGCAGTTTGGAAACACTCTTTTTCTGGAATCTGCAAGAGGATATTTGCCTAGCTTTGAGGATTTCGTTGGAAAAGGGATTGTCTTCAGATCAAATCTAGACAGAAGCATTCTCAGAAACTTCTTTGGGATGTTTGCATTCAAGTCACAGAGTAGAACATTCCTTTGGTAGAGCAGGTTTGAAACACTCTTTTTTTAGTATATGGAAGTGGACATTTGGAGCGCTTTCAGGCCTACGTTGGAAAAGGAAATATCTTCCCATAACAACTAGACAGAAGCATTCTCAGAAACTAGTTTCTGATGTGTGTCCTCAACTAACACAGTTGAACATTTCTTTAGACAGAACAGTTTTGAAACACTCTTTTTGTGGAATCTGCAAGTGGCTATTTGGCTAGATTTGAGGATTTCGTTGGAAACGGGATTACATATAAAAAGCAGTCAGCAGCATTCTCAGAAAGTTCTTTGTGATGATTGCATTCAAGTCACAGAATTGAACATTCCCTTTCACAGAGCAGGTTTGAAACACTCTTTTTGTAGTGTGTGTAAGTGGACATTTGGAGCACTTACCGGCCTAAGGTGAAAAAGGAAATATCTTCCCATAAAAACTAGACAGAAGCATTCTCAGAAACTTACTCGTGATGTGTGTCCTCAACTAAAGGAGTAGAACCTTTCTTTTCATAGAGAAGTTTTGAAACGCTCTTTTTGTGGAATCTGCAAGTGGATATTTGGCTAGTTTTGAGGATTTCGTTGGAAGCGGGAATTCATACAAATTGCAGACTGCAGCGTTCTGAGAAACATCTTTGTGATGTTTGTATTCAGGACACAGAGTTGAACATTCCCTATCATAGAGCAGGTTGGAATCACTCCTTTTGTAGTATCTGGAAGTGGACATTTGGAGCGCTTTCAGGCCTATGTTGAAAAAGGAAATATCTTCCCATAACAACTAGACAGAAGCATTCTCAGAAACTTATTTGAGATGTGTGTACTCAACTAAGAGAATTGAACCACCGTTTTGAAGGAGCAGTTTTGAAACACTCTTTTTCTGGAATCTGCAATTGGATATTTGGCTAGCTTTGGGGATTTCGCTGGAAGCGGGAATACATATAAAAAGCACACAGCAGCGTTCTGAGAAACTGCTTTCTGATGTTTGCATTCAAGTCAAAAGTTGAACACTCCCTTTCATAGAGCAGTCTTGAAACACCCCTTTTGTAGTATCTGGAACTGGACTTTTGGAGCGATTTCAGGGCTAAGGTGAAAAAGGAAATATCTTCCCATAAAAACTGGACAGAAGCATTCTCAGAAACTTGTTTATGCTGTATCTACTCAACTAACAAAGTTGAACCTTTCTTTTGATAGAGCAGTTTTGAAATGCTCTTTTTGTGGAATCTGCAAGTGGATATTTGGCTAGTTTTGAGGATTTCGCTGGAAGCGGGAATTCATACAAATTGCAGACTGCAGCGTTCTGAGAAACATCTTTGTGATGTTTGTATTCAGGACAGAGAGTTGAACATTCCCTATCATAGAGCAGGTTGGAATCACTCCTTTTGTAGTATCTGGAAGTGGACATTTGGAGCGCTTTCAGGCCTATGTTGAAAAAGGAAATATCTTCCCATAACAACTAGACACAAGCATTCTCAGAAACTTGTTTGTGATGTGTGCCCTCTACTGACAGAGTTGAACCTTTCTTTTCATAGAGCAGTTTTGAAACACTCTTTTTGTAGAATCTGCAAGAGGATATTTGCATAGCTTTGAGGATTTCGTGGGAAACGGGATTGTCTTCAGGTAAAATCTAGACAGAAGCATTCTCAGAAACTTCTTTGGGATGTTTGCATTCAAGTCACAGAGTAGAACATTCCCTTTGGTAGAGCAGGTTTGAAACACTCTTTTTGTAGTATCTGGAAGTGGACATTTGGAGCGCTTTCAGGCCTATGTTGGAAAGGGAAATATCTTCCCGTAACAACTAGGCAGAAGCCTTCTCAGAAACTTATTTGAGATGTGTGTACTCAACTAAGAGAATTGAACCACCCTTTTGAAGGAGCAGTTTTGAAACACTCTTTTTCTGGAATCTGAAAGAGTATATTTGCCTAGCTTTGAGGATTTCGTTGGAAACGGGATTGTCTTCAGATCAAATCTAGACAGAAGCATTCTCAGAAACTTCTTTGGGATGTTTGCATTCAAGTCACAGAGTAGAACATTCCCTTTGGTAGAGCAGGTTTGAAACACTCTTTTTTTAGTATATGGAAGTGGACATTTGGAGCGCTTTCAGGCCTACTTTGGAAAAGGAAATATCTTCCCATAACAACTAGACAGAAGCATTCTCAGAAACTAGTTTCTGATGTGTGTCCTCAACTAACACAGTTGAACATTTCTTTAGACAGAACAGTTTTGAAACACTCTTTTTGTGGAATCTGCAAGTGGCTATTTGGCTAGATTTGAGGATTTCGTTGGAAACGGGATTACATATAAAAAGCAGTCAGCGGCATTCTCAGAAAGTTCTTTGTGATGATTGCATTCAAGTCACAGAATTGAACATTCCCTTTCACAGAGCAGGTTTGAAACACTCTTTTTGTAGTGTGTGTAAGTGGACATTTGGAGCACTTACCGGCCTAAGGTGAAAAAGGAAATAATCTTCCCATAAAAACTAGACAGAAGCATTCTCAGAAACTTACTCGTGATGTGTGTCCTCAACTAAAGGAGTAGAACCTTTCTTTTCATAGAGAAGTTTTGAAACGCTCTTTTTGTGGAATCTGCAAGTGGATATTTGGCTAGTTTGAGGATTTCGTTGGAAGCGGGAATTCATACAAATTGCAGACTGCAGCGTTCTGAGAAACTGCTTTCTGATGTTTGCATTCAAGTCAAAAGTTGAACACTCCCTTTCATAGAGCAGTCCTGAAACACTCCTTTTGTAGTATCTGGAACTGGACTTTTGGAGCGCTTTCAAGGCTAAGGTGAAAAAGGAAATATCTTCCCATAAAAACTGGACAGAAGCATTCTCAGAAACTTGTTTATGCTGTATCTACTCAACTAAGAAAGTTGAACCTTTCTTTTGATAGAGCAGTTTTGAAATGCTCTTTTTGTGGAATCTGCAAGTGGATATTTGGCTAGTTTTGAGGATTTCGCTGGAAGCGGGAATTCATACAAATTGCAGACTGCAGCGTTCTGAGAAACATCTTTGTGATGTTTGTATTCAGGACAGAGAGTTGAACATTCCCTATCATAGAGCAGGTTGGAATCACTCCTTTTGTAGTATCTGGAAGTGGACATTTGGAGCGCTTTCAGGCCTATGTTGAAAAAGGAAATATCTTCCCATAACAACTAGACACAAGCATTCTCAGAAACTTGTTTGTGATGTGTGCCCTCTACTGACAGAGTTGAACCTTTCTTTTCATAGAGCAGTTTTGAAACACTCTTTTTGTAGAATCTGCAAGAGGATATTTGCATAGCTTTGAGGATTTCGTGGGAAACGGGATTGTCTTCAGGTAAAATCTAGACAGAAGCATTCTCAGAAACTTCTTTGGGATGTTTGCATTCAAGTCACAGAGTAGAACATTCCCTTTGGTAGAGCAGGTTTGAAACACTCTTTTTGTAGTATCTGGAAGTGGACATTTGGAGCGCTTTCAGGCCTATGTTGGAAAGGGAAATATCTTCCCGTAACAACTAGGCAGAAGCACTCTCAGAAACTTATTTGAGATGTGTGTACTCAACTAAGAGAATTGAACCACCGTTTTGAAGGAGCAGTTTTGAAACACTCTTTTTCTGGAATCTGCAAGAGGATATTTGCCTAGCCTTGAGGATTTCGTTGGAAACGGGATTGTCTTCAGATCAAATCTAGACAGAAGCATTCTCAGAAACTTCTTTGGGATGTTTGCATTCATGTCACAGAGTAGAACATTCCCTTTGGTAGAGCAGGTTTGAAACACTCTTTTTTAAGTATATGGAAGTGGACATTTGGAGCGCTTTCAGGCCTACGTTGTAAAAGGAAATATCTTCCCATAACAACTAGACAGAAGCATTCTCAGAAACTAGTTTCTGATGTGTGTCCTCAACTAACACAGTTGAACTTTTCTTTAGACAGAACAGTTTTGAAACACTCTTTTTGTGGAATCTGCAAGTGGCTATTTGGCTAGATTTGAGGATTTCGTTGGAAACGGGATTACATATAAAAAGCAGACAGCAGCATTCTCAGAACGTTCTTTGTGATGATTGCATTCAAGTCACAGAATTGAACATTCCCTTTCACAGAGCAGGTTTGAAACACTCTTTTTGTAGTGTGTGTAAGTGGACATTTGGAGCACTTTCCGGCCTAAGGTGAAAAAGGAAATATCTTCCCATAAAAACTAGACAGAAGCATTCTCAGAAACTTACTCGTGATGTGTGTCCTCAACTAAAGGAGTAGAACCTTTCTTTTCATAGAGAAGTTTTGAAACGCTCTTTTTGTGGAATCTGCAAGTGGATATTTGGCTAGTTTGGAGGATTTCGTTGGAAGCGGGAATTCATACAAATTGCAGACTGCAGCGTTCTGAGAAACATCTTTGTGATGTTTGTATTCAGGACACAGAGTTGAACATTCCCTATCATAGAGCAGGTTGGAATCACTCCTTTTGTAGTATCTGGAAGTGGACATTTGGAGCGCTTTCAGGCCTATGTTGGAAAAGGAAATATCTTCCCATAACAACTAGACAGAAGCATTCTCAGAAACTTATTTGAGATGTGTGTACTCAACTAAGAGAATTGAACCACCGTTTTGAAGGAGCAGTTTTGAAACTCTCTTTTTCTGGAATCTGCAAGTGGATATTTGGCTAGCTTTGGGGATTTCGCTGGAAGCGGGAATACATATAAAAAGCACACAGCAGCGTTCTGAGAAACTGCTTTCTGATGTTTGCATTCAAGTCAAAAGTTGAACACTCCCTTTCATAGAGCAGTCTTGAAACACCCCTTTTGTAGTATCTGGAACTGGACTTTTGGAGCGATTTCAGGGCTAAGGTGAAAAAGGAAATATCTTCCCATAAAAACTGGACAGAAGCATTCTCAGAAACTTGTTTATGCTGTATCTACTCAACTAACAAAGTTGAACCTTTCTTTTGATAGAGCAGTTTTGAAATGGTCTTTTTGTGGAATCTGCAAGTGGATATTTGGCTAGTTTTGAGGATTTCGTTGGAAGCGGGAATTCATACAAATTGCAGACTGCAGCGTTCTGAGAAACATCTTTGTGATGTTTGTATTCAGGACACAGAGATGAACATTCCCTATCATAGAGCAGGTTGGAATCACTCCTTTTGTAGTATCTGGAAGTGGACATTTGGAGCGCTTTCAGGCCTATGTTGAAAAAGGAAATATCTTCCCATAACAACTAGACACAAGCATTCTCAGAAACTTGTTTGTGATGTGTGCCCTCTACTGACAGAGTTGAACCTTTCTTTTCATAGAGCAGTTTTGAAACACTCTTTTTGTAGAATCCGCAAGAGGATATTTGCATCGCTTTGAGGAATTCGTGGGAAACGGGATTGTCTTCAGGTAAAATCTAGACAGAAGCATTCTCAGAAACTTCTTTGGGATGTTTGCATTCAAGTCACAGAGTAGAACATTCCCTTTGGTAGAGCAGGTTTGAAACACTCTTTTTGTAGTATCTGGAAGTGGACATTTGGAGCGCTTTCAGGCCCATGTTGGAAAGGGAAATATCTTCCCGTAACAACTAGGCAGAAGCATTCTCAGAAACTTATTTGAGATGTGTGTACTCAACTAAGAGAATTGAACCACCGTTTTGAAGGAGCAGTTTTGAAACACTCTTTTTCTGGAATCTGCAAGAGGATATTTGCCTAGCCTTGAGGATTTCGTTGGAAACGGGATTGTCTTCAGATCAAATCTAGACAGAAGCATTCTCAGAAACTTCTTTGGGATGTTTGCATTCAAGTCACAGAGTAGAACATTCCCTTTGGTAGAGCAGGTTTGAAACACTCTTTTTTTAGTATATGGAAGTGGACATTTGGAGCGCTTTCAGGCCTACGTTGGAAAAGGAAATATCTTCCCATAACAACTAGACAGAAAGCATTCTCAGAAACTAGTTTCTGATGTGTGTCCTCAACTAACACAGTTGAACTTTTCTTTAGACAGAACAGTTTTGAAACACTCTTTTTGTGGAATCTGCAAGTGGATATTTGGCTAGATTTGAGGATTTCGTTGGAAACGGGATTACATATAAAAAGCAGACAGCAGCATTCTCAGAAAGTTCTTTGTGATGATTGCATTCAAGTCACAGAATTGAACATTCCCTTTCACAGAGCAGGTTTGAAACACTCTTTTTGTAGTGTGTGTAAGTGGACATTTGGAGCGCTTTCCGGCCTAAGGTGAAAAAGGAAATATCTTCCCATAAAAACTAGACAGAAGCATTCTCAGAAACTTACTCGTGATGTGTGTCCTCAACTAAAGGAGTAGAACCTTTCTTTTCATAGAGAAGTTTTGAAACGCTCTTTTTGTGGAATCTGCAAGTGGATATTTGGCTAGTTTTGAGGATTTCGTTGGAAGCGGGAATTCATACAAATTGCAGACTGCAGCATTCTCAGAAACTTATTTGAGATGAGTGTACTCAACTAAGAGAATTGAACCACCGTTTTGAAGGAGCAGTTTTGACACACTCTTTTTCTGGAATCTGCAAGTGGATATTTGGCTAGCTTTGGGGATTTCGCTGGAAGCGGGAATACATATAAAAAGCACACAGCAGCATTCTCAGAAACTTATTTGAGATGTGTGTACTCAACTAAGAGAATTGAACCACCGTTTTGAAGGAGCAGTTTTGAAACACTCTTTTTCTGGAATCTGCAAGTGGCTATTTGGCTAGCTTTGGGGATTTCGCTGGAAGCGGGAATACATATAAAAAGCACACAGCAGCGTTCTGAGAAACTGCTTTCTGATGTTTGCATTCAAGTCAAAAGTTGAACACTCCCTTTCATAGGGCAGTCCTGAAACACCCCTTTTGTAGTATCTGGAACTGGACTTTTGGAGCGATTTCAGGGCTAAGGTGAAAAAGGAAATATCTTCCCATAAAAACTGGACAGAAGCATTCTCAGAAACTTGGTTATGCTGTATCTACTCAACTAACAAAGTTGAACCTTTCTTTTGATAGAGCAGTTTTGAAATGGTCTTTTTGTGGAATCTGCAAGTGGATATTTGGCTAGTTTTGAGGATTTCGTTGGAAGCGGGAATTCATACAAATTGCAGACTGCAGCGTTCTGAGAAACATCTTTGTGATGTTTGTATTCAGGACACAGAGTTGAACATTCCCTATCATAGAGCAGGTTTGAATCACTCCTTTTGTAGTATCTGGAAGTGGACATTTGGAGCGCTTTCAGGCCTATGTTGGAAAAGGAAATATCTTCCCATAACAACTAGACAGAAGCATTCTCAGAAACTTATTTGAGATGTGTGTACTCAACTAAGAGAATTGAACCACCGTTTTGAAGGAGCAGTTTTGAAACTCTCTTTTTCTGGAATCTGCAAGTGGATATTTGGCTAGCTTTGGGGATTTCGCTGGAAGCGGGAATACATATAAAAAGCACACAGCAGCGTTCTGAGAAACTGCTTTCTGATGTTTGCATTCAAGTCAAAAGTTGAACACTCCCTTTCATAGAGCAGTCTTGAAACACCCCTTTTGTAGTATCTGGAACTGGACTTTTGGAGCGATTTCAGGGCTAAGGTGAAAAAGGAAATATCTTCCCATAAAAACTGGACAGAAGCATTCTCAGAAACTTGTTTATGCTGTATCTACTCAACTAACAAAGTTGAACCTTTCTTTTGATAGAGCAGTTTTGAAATGCTCTTTTTGTGGAATCTGCAAGTGGATATTTGGCTAGTTTTGAGGATTTCGTTGGAAGCGGGAATTCATACAAATTGCAGACTGCAGCGTTCTGAGAAACATCTTTGTGATGTTTGTATTCAGGACACAGAGTTGAACATTCCCTATCATAGAGCAGGTTGGAATCACTCCTTTTGTAGTATCTGGAAGTGGACATTTGGAGCGCTTTCAGGCCTATGTTGAAAAAGGAAATGTCTTCCCATAACAACTAGACACAAGCATTCTCAGAAACTTGTTTGTGATGTGTGCCCTCTACTGACAGAGTTGAACCTTTCTTTTCATAGAGCAGTTTTGAAACACTCTTTTTGTAGAATCTGCAAGAGGATATTTGCATAGCTTTGAGGATTTCGTGGGAAACGGGATTGTCTTCAGGTAAAATCTAGACAGAAGCATTCTCAGAAACTTCTTTGGGATGTTTGCATTCAAGTCACAGAGTAGAACATTCCCTTTGGTAGAGCAGGTTTGAAACACTCTTTTTGTAGTATCTGGAAGTGGACATTTGGAGCGCTTTCAGGCCTATGTTGGAAAGGGAAATATCTTCCCGTAACAACTAGGCAGAAGCATTCTCAGAAACTTATTTGAGATGTGTGTATTCAACTAAGAGAATTGAACCACCGTTTTGAAGGAGCAGTTTTGAAACACTCTTTTTCTGGAATCTGCAAGAGGATATTTGCCTAGCCTTGAGGATTTCGTTGGAAACGGGATTGTCTTCAGATCAAATCTATACAGAAGCATTCTCAGAAACTTCCTTGGGATGTTTGCATTCAAGTCACAGAGTAGAACATTCCCTTTGGTAGAGCAGGTTTGAAACACTCTTTTTTTAGTATATGGAAGTGGACATTTGGAGCGCATTCAGGCCTACGTTGGAAAAGGAAATATCTTCCCATAACAACTAGACAGAAGCATTCTCAGAAACTAGTTTCTGATGTGTGTCCTCAACTAACACAGTTGTACATTTCTTTAGACAGAACAGTTTTGAAACACTCTTTTTGTGGAATCTGCAAGTGGATATTGGGCTAGATTTGAGGATTTCGTTGGAAACGGGATTACATATAAAAAGCAGACAGCAGCATTCTCAGAAAGTTCTTTGTGATGATTGCATTCAAGTCACAGAATTGAACATTCCCTTTCACAGAGCAGGTTTGAAACACTCTTTTTATAGTGTGTGTAAGTGGACATTTGGAGCACTTTCCGGCCTAAGGTGAAAAAGGAAATATCTTCCCATAAAAACTAGACAGAAGCATTCTCAGAAACTTACTCGTGATGTGTGTCCTCAACTAAAGGAGTAGAACCTTTCTTTTCATAGAGAAGTTTTGAAACGCTCTTTTTGTGGAATCTGCAAGTGGATATTTGGCTAGTTTTGAGGATTTCGTTTGAAGCGGGAATTCATACAAATTGCAGACTGCAGCGTTCTGAGAAACATCTTTGTGATGTTTGTATTCAGGACACAGAGTTGAACATTCCCTATCATAGAGCAGGTTGGAATCACTCCTTTTGTAGTATCTGGAAGTGGACATTTGGAGCGCTTTCAAGCCTATGTTGGAAAAGGAAATATCTTCCCATAACAACTAGACAGAAGCATCCTCAGAAACTTATTTGAGATGTGTGTACTCAACTATGAGAATTGAACCACCGTTTTGAAGGAGCAGTTTTGAAACACTCTTTTTCTGGAATCTGCAAGTGGATATTTGGCTAGCTTTGGGGATTTCGCTGGAAGCGGGAATACATATAAAAAGCACACAGCAGCGTTCTGAGAAACTGCTTTCTGATGTTTGCATTCAAGTCAAAAGTTGAACACCCCCTTTCATAGAGCAGTCTTGAAACACCCCTTTTGTAGTATCTGGAACTGGACATTTGGAGCGCTTTCAGGGCTAAGGTGAAAAAGGAAATATCTTCCCATAAAAACTGGACAGAAGCATTCTCAGAAACTTGTTTATGCTGTATCTACTCAACTAACAAAGTTGAACCTTTCTTTTGATAGAGCAGTTTTGAAATGGTCTTTTTGTGGAATCTGCAAGTGGATATTTGGCTAGTTTTGAGGATTTCGTTGGAAGCGGGAATTCATACAAATTGCAGACTGCAGCGTTCTGAGAAACATCTTTGTGATGTTTGTATTCAGGACACAGAGTTGAACATTCCCTATCATAGAGCAGGTTGGAATCACTCCTTTTGTAGTATCTGGAAGTGGACATTTGGAGCGCTTTCAGGCCTATTTTGGAAAGGGAAATATCTTCCCGTAACAACTATGCAGAAGCATTCTCAGAAACTTGTTTGTGATGTGTGCCCTCTACTGACAGAGTTGAACCTTTCTTTTCATAGAGCAGTTTTGAAACACTCTTTTTGTAGAATCTGCAAGAGGATATTTGCATAGCTTTGAGGATTTCGTGGGAAACGGGATTGTCTTCAGGTAAAATCTAGACAGAAGCATTCTCAGAAACTTCTTTGGGATGTTTGCATTCAAGTCACAGAGTAGAACATTCCCTTTGGTAGAGCAGGTTTGAAACCCTCTTTTTGTAGTATCTGGAAGTGGACATTTGGAGCGCTTTCAGGCCCATGTTGGAAAGGGAAATATCTTCCCGTAACAACTAGGCAGAAGCATTCTCAGAAACTTATTTGAGATGTGTGTACTCAACTAAGAGAATTGAACCACCGTTTTGAAGGAGCAGTTTTGAAACACTCTTTTTCTGGAATCTGCAAGAGTATATTTGCCTAGCCTTGAAGATTTCGTTGGAAACGGGATTGTCTTCAGATAAAATCTAGACAGAAGCATTCTCAGAAACTTCTTTGGGATGTTTGCATTCAAGTCACAGAGTAGAACATTCCCTTTGGTAGAGCAGGTTTGAAACACTCTTTTTGTAGTATATGGAAGGACATTTGGAGCGCTTTCAGGCCTACGTTGGAAAAGGAAATCTCTTCCCATAACAACTAGACAGAAGCATTCTCAGAAACTAGTTTCTGATGTGTGTCCTCAACTAACACAGTTGAACTTTTCTTTAGACAGAACAGTTTTGAAACACTCTTTTTGTGGAATCTGCAAGTGGCTATTTAGCTAGATTTGAGGATTTCGTTGGAAACGGGATTACATATAAAAAGCAGACAGCAGCATTCTCAGAAAGTTCTTTGTGATGATTGCATTCAAGTCACAGAATTGAACATTCCCTTTCACAGAGCAGGTTTGAAACACTCTTTTTGTAGTGTGTGTAAGTGGACATTTGGAGCACTTTCCGGCCTAAGGTGAAAAAGGAAATATCTTCCCATAAAAACTAGACAGAAGCATTCTCAGAAACTTACTCGTGATGTGTGTCCTCAACTAAAGGAGTAGAACCTTTCTTTTCATAGAGAAGTTTTGAAACGCTCTTTTTGTGGAATCTGCAAGTGGATATTTGGCTAGTTTTGAGGATTTCGTTGGAAGCGGGAATTCATACAAATTGCAGACTGCAGCGTTCTGAGAAACTGCTTTCTGATGTTTGCATTCAAGTCAAAAGTTGAACACTCCCTTTCATAGAGCAGTCTTGAAACACCCCTTTTGTAGTATCTGGAACTGGACTTTTGGAGCGATTTCAGGGCTAAGGTGAAAAAGGAAATATCTTCCCATAAAAACTGGACAGAAGCATTCTCAGAAACTTGTTTATGCTGTATCTACTCAACTAACAAAGTTGAACCTTTCTTTTGATAGAGCAGTTTTGAAATGGTCTTTTTGTGGAATCTGCAAGTGGATATTTGGCTAGTTTTGAGGATTTCGTTGGAAGCGGGAATTCATACAAATTGCAGACTGCAGCGTTCTGAGAAACATCTTTGTGATGTTTGTATTCAGGACACAGAGTTGAACATTCCCTATCATAGAGCAGGTTGGAATCACTCCTTTTGTAGTATCTGGAAGTGGACATTTGGAGCGCTTTCAGGCCTATGTTGGAAAAGGAAATATCTTCCCATAACAACTAGACAGAAGCATTCTCAGCAAACTTGTTTGTGATGTGTGCCCTCTACTGACAGAGTTGAACCTTTCTTTTCATAGAGCAGTTTTGAAACACTCTTTTTGTAGAATCTGCAAGAGGATATTTGCATAGCTTTGAGGATTTCGTGGGAAACGGGATTGTCTTCAGGTAAAATCTAGACAGAAGCATTCTCAGAAACTTCTTTGGGATGTTTGCATTCAAGTCACAGAGTAGAACATTCCCTTTGGTAGAGCAGGTTTGAAACACTCTTTTTGTAGTATCTGGAAGTGGACATTTGGAGCGCTTTCAGGCCCATGTTGGAAAGGGAAATATCTTCCCGTAACAACTAGGCAGAAGCATTCTCAGAAACTTATTTGAGATGTGTGTACTCAACTAAGAGAATTGAACCACCGTTTTGAAGGAGCAGTTTTGAAACACTCTTTTTCTGGAATCTGCAAGAGTATATTTGCCTAGCCTTGAGGATTTCGTTGGAAACGGGATTGTCTTCAGAGAAAATCTAGACAGAAGCATTCTCAGAAACTTCTTTGGGATGCTTGCATTCAAGTCACAGAGTAGAACATTCCCTTTGGTAGAGCAGGTTTGAAACACTCTTTTTGTAGTATCTGGAAGTGGACATTTGGAGCGCTTTCAGGCCTACGTTGGAAAAGGAAATATCTTCCCATAACAACTAGACAGAAGCATTCTCAGAAACTAGTTTCTGATGTGTGTCCTCAACTAACACAGTTGAACATTTCTTTAGACAGAACAGTTTTGAAACACTCTTTTTGTGGAATCTGCAAGTGGCTATTTGGCTAGATTTGAGGATTTCGTTGGAAACGGGATTACATATAAAAAGCAGTCAGCAGCATTCTCAGAAAGTTCTTTGTGATGATTGCATTCAAGTCACAGAATTGAACATTCCCTTTCACAGAGCAGGTTTGAAAGACTCTTTTTGTAGTGTGTGTAAGTGGACATTTGGAGCACTTACCGGCCTAAGGTGAAAAAGGAAATATCTTCCCATAAAAACTAGACAGAAGCATTCTCAGAAACTTACTCGTGATGTGTGTCCTCAACTAAAGGAGTAGAACCTTCCTTTTCATAGAGAAGTTTTGAAACGCTCTTTTTGTGGAATCTGCAAGTGGATATTTGGCTAGTTTTGAGGATTTCCGTTGGAAGCGGGAATTCATACAAATTGCAGACTGCAGCGTTCTGAGAAACATCTTTGTGATGTTTGTATTCAGGACACAGAGTTGAACATTCCCTATCATAGAGCAGGTTTGAATCACTCCTTTTGTAGTATCTGGAAGTGGACATTTGGAGCGCTTTCAGGCCTATGTTGGAAAAGGAAATATCTTCCCATAACAACTAGACAGAAGCATTCTCAGAAACTTATTTGAGATGTGTGTACTCAACTAAGAGAATTGAACCACCGTTTTGAAGGAGCAGTTTTGAAACACTCTTTTTCTGGAATCTGCAAGTGGATATTTGGCTAGCTTTGGGGATTTCGCTGGAAGCGGGAATACATATAAAAAGCACACAGCAGCGTTCTGAGAAACTGCTTTCTGATGTTTGCATTCAAGTCAAAAGTTGAACACTCCCTTTCATAGAGCAGTCCTGAAACACCCCTTTTGTAGTATCTGGAACTGGACTTTTGGAGCGATTTCAGGGCTAAGGTGAAAAAGGAAATATCTTCCCATAAAAACTGGACAGAAGCATTCTCAGAAACTTGTTTATGCTGTATCTACTCAACTAACAAAGTTGAACCTTTCTTTTGATAGAGCAGTTTTGAAATGGTCTTTTTGTGGAATCTGCAAGTGGATATTTGGCTAGTTTTGAGGATTTCGTTGGAAGCGGGAATTCATACAAATTGCAGACTGCAGCGTTCTGAGAAACATCTTTGTGATGTTTGTATTCAGGACAGAGAGTTGAACATTCCCTATCATAGAGCAGGTTGGAATCACTCCTTTTGTAGTATCTGGAAGTGGACATTTGGAGCGCTTTCAGGCCTATGTTGAAAAAGGAAATATCTTCCCATAACAACTAGACACAAGCATTCTCAGAAACTTGTTTGTGATGTGTGCCCTCTACTGACAGAGTTGAACCTTTCTTTTCATAGAGCAGTTTTGAAACACTCTTTTTGTAGAATCTGCAAGAGGATATTTGCATAGCTTTGAGGATTTCGTGGGAAACGGGATTGTCTTCAGGTAAAATCTAGACAGAAGCATTCTCAGAAACTTCTTTGGGATGTTTGCATTCAAGTCACAGAGCAGAACATTCCCTTTGGTAGAGCAGGTTTGAAACACTCTTTTTGTAGTATCTGGAAGTGGACATTTGGAGCGCTTTCAGGCCTATGTTGGAAAGGGAAATATCTTCCCGTAACAACTAGGCAGAAGCATTCTCAGAAACTTATTTTAGATGTGTGTACTCAACTAAGAGAATTGAACCACCGTTTTGAAGGAGCAGTTTTGAAACACTCTTTTTCTGGAATCTGCAAGAGGATATTTGCCTAGCCTTGAGGATTTCGTTGGAAACGGGATTGTCTTCAGATCAAATCTAGACAGAAGCATTCTCAGAAACTTCTTTGGGATGTTTGCATTCAAGTCACAGAGTAGAACATTCCCTTTGGTAGAGCAGGTTTGAAACACTCTTTTTTTAGTATATGGAAGTGGACATTTGGAGCGCTTTCAGGCCTACGTTGGAAAAGGAAATATCTTCCCATAACAACTAGACAGAAGCATTCTCAGAAACTAGTTTCTGATGTGTGTCCTCAACTAACACAGTTGAACATTTCTTTAGACAGAACAGTTTTGAAACACTCTTTTTGTGGAATCTGCAAGTGGCTATTTGGCTAGATTTGAGGATTTCGTTGGAAACGGGATTACATATAAAAAGCAGACAGCAGCATTCTCAGAAAGTTCTTTGTGATGATTGCATTCAAGTCACAGAATTGAACACTCCCTTTCACAGAGCAGGTTTGAAACACTCTTTTTGTAGTGTGTGTAAGTGGACATTTGGAGCACTTTCCGGCCTAAGGTGAAAAAGGAAATATCTTCCCATAAAAACTAGACAGAAGCACTCTCAGAAACTTACTCGTGATGTGTGTCCTCAACTAAAGGAGTAGAACCTTTCTTTTCATAGAGAAGTTTTGAAACGCTCTTTTTGTGGAATCTGCAAGTGGATATTTGGCTAGTTTTGAGGATTTCGTTGGAAGCGGGAATTCATACAAATTGCAGACTGCAGCGTTCTGAGAAACATCTTTGTGATGTTTGTATTCAGGACACAGAGTTGAACATTCCCTATCATAGAGCAGGTTTGAATCACTCCTTTTGTAGTATCTGGAAGTGGACATTTGGAGCGCTTTCAGGCCTATGTTGGAAAAGGAAATATCTTCCCATAACAACTAGACAGAAGCATTCTCAGAAACTTATTTGAGATGTGTGTACTCAACTAAGAGAATTGAACCACCGTTTTGAAGGAGCAGTTTTGAAACACTCTTTTTCTGGAATCTGCAAGTGGATATTTGGCTAGCTTTGGGGATTTCGCTGGAAGCGGGAATACATATAAAAAGCACACAGCAGCGTTCTGAGAAACTGCTTTCTGATGTTTGCATTCAAGTCAAAAGTTGAACACTCCCTTTCATAGAGCAGTCTTGAAACACCCCTTTTGTAGTATCTGGAACTGGACTTTTGGAGCGATTTCAGGGCTAAGGTGAAAAAGGAAATATCTTCCCATAAAAACTGGACAGAAGCATTCTCAGAAACTTGTTTATGCTGTATCTACTCAACTAACAAAGTTGAACCTTTCTTTTGATAGAGCAGTTTTGAAATGCTCTTTTTGTGGAATCTGCAAGTGGATATTTGGCTAGTTTTGAGGATTTCGCTGGAAGCGGGAATTCATACAAATTGCAGACTGCAGCGTTCTGAGAAACATCTTTGTGATGTTTGTATTCAGGACACAGAGTTGAACATTCCCTATCATAGAGCAGGTTGGAATCACTCCTTTTGTAGTATCTGGAAGTGGACATTTGGAGCGCTTTCAGGCCTATTTTGGAAAGGGAAATATCTTCCCGTAACAACTATGCAGAAGCATTCTCAGAAACTTGTTTGTGATGTGTGCCCTCTACTGACAGAGTTGAACCTTTCTTTTCATAGAGCAGTTTTGAAACACTCTTTTTGTAGAATCTGCAAGAGGATATTTGCATAGCTTTGAGGATTTCGTGGGAAACGGGATTGTCTTCAGGTAAAATCTAGACAGAAGCATTCTCAGAAACTTCTTTGGGATGTTTGCATTCAAGTCACAGAGTAGAACATTCCCTTTGGTAGAGCAGGTTTGAAACACTCTTTTTGTAGTATCTGGAAGTGGACATTTGCAGCACTTTCAGGCCCATGTTGGAAAGGGAAATATCTTCCCGTAACAACTAGGCAGAAGCATTCTCTGAAACTTTTTTGAGATGTGTGTACTCAACTAAGAGAATTGAACCACCGTTTCGAAGGAGCAGTTTTGAAACACTCTTTTTCTGGAATCTGCTAGACGATATTTGCCTAGCCTTGAGGATTTCGTTGGAAACGGGATTGTCTTCAGATAAAATCTAGACAGAAGCATTCTCAGAAACTTCATTGGGATGTTTGTATTCAAGTCACAGAGTAGAACATTCCCTTTGATAGAGCAGGTTTGAAACACTCTTTTTTTAGTATATGGAAATGGACATTTGGAGCGCTTTCAGGCCTACGTTGGAAAAGGAAATATCTTCCCGTAACAACTAGACAGAAGCATTCTCAGAAACTAGTTTCTGATGTGTGTCCTCAACTAACACAGTTGAACATTTCTTTAGACAGAACAGTTTTGAAACACTCTTTTTGTGGAATCTGCAAGTGGCTATTTGGCTAGATTTGAGGATTTCGTTGGAAACGGGATTACATATAAAAAGCAGTCAGCAGCATTCTCAGAAAGTTCTTTGTGATGATTGCATTCAAGTCACAGAATTGAACATTCCCTTTCACAGAGCAGGTTTGAAACACTCTTTTTGTAGTGTGTGTAAGTGGACATTTGGAGCACTTACCGGCCTAAGGTGAAAAAGGAAATATCTTCCCATAAAAACTAGACAGAAGCATTCTCAGAAACTTACTCGTGATGTGTGTCCTCAACTAAAGGAGTAGAACCTTTCTTTTCATAGAGAAGTTTTGAAACGCTCTTTTTGTGGAATCTGCAAGTGGATATTTGGCTAGTTTTGAGGATTTCGTTGGAAGCGGGAATTCATACAAATTGCAGACTGCAGCGTTCTGAGAAACTGCTTTCTGATGTTTGCATTCAAGTCAAAAGTTGAACACTCCCTTTCATAGAGCAGTCCTGAAACACCCCTTTTGTAGTATCTGGAACTGGACTTTTGGAGCGATTTCAGGGCTAAGGTGAAAAAGGAAATATCTTCCCATAAAAACTGGACAGAAGCATTCTCAGAAACTTGTTTATGATGTATCTACTCAACTAACAAAGTTGAACCTTTCTTTTGATAGAGCAGTTTTGAAATGCTCTTTTTGTGGAATCTGCAAGTGGATATTTGGCTAGTTTTGAGGATTTCGTTGGAAGCGGGAATTCATACAAATTGCAGACTGCAGCGTTCTGAGAAACATCTTTGTGATGTTTGTATTCAGGACAGAGAGTTGAACATTCCCTATCATAGAGCAGGTTGGAATCACTCCTTTTGTAGTATCTGGAAGTGGACATTTGGAGCGCTTTCAGGCCTATGTTGAAAAAGGAGATATCTTCCCATAACAACTAGACACAAGCATTCTCAGAAACTTGTTTGTGATGTGTGCCCTCTACTGACAGAGTTGAACCTTTCTTTTCATAGAGCAGTTTTGAAACACTCTTTTTGTAGAATCCGCAAGAGGATATTTGCATAGCTTTGAGGATTTCGTGGGAAACGGGATTGTCTTCAGGTAAAATCTAGACAGAAGCATTCTCAGAAACTTCTTTGGGATGTTTGCATTCAAGTCACAGAGTAGAACATTCCCTTTGGTAGAGCAGGTTTGAAACACTCTTTTTGTAGTATCTGGAAGTGGACATTTGGAGCGCTTTCAGGCCCATGTTGGAAAGGGAAATATCTTCCCGTAACAACTAGGCAGAAGCATTCTCAGAAACTTATTTGAGATGTGTGTACTCAACTAAGAGAATTGAACCACCGTTTTGAAGGAGCAGTTTTGAAACACTCTTTTTCTGGAATCTGCAAGAGGATATTTGCCTAGCCTTGAGGATTTCGTTGGAAACGGGATTGTCTTCACATCAAATCTAGACAGAAGCATTCTCAGAAAGTTCTTTGGGATGTTTGCATTCAAGTCACAGAGTAGAACGTTCCCTTTGGTACAGCAGGTTTGAAACACTCTTTTTTTAGTATATAGAAGTGGACATTTGGAGCGCTTTCAGGCCTACGTTGGAAAAGGAAATATCTTCCCATAACAACTAGACAGAAGCATTCTCAGAAACTAGTTTCTGATGTGTGTCCTCAACTAACACAGTTGAACTTTTCTTTAGACAGAACAGTTTTGAAACACTCTTTTTGTGGAATCTGCAAGTGGATATTTGGCTAGATTTGAGGATTTCGTTGGAAACGGGATTACATATAAAAAGCAGACAGCAGCATTCTCAGAAAGTTCTTTGTGATGATTGCATTCAAGTCACAGAATTGAACATTCCCTTTCACAGAGCAGGTTTGAAACACTCTTTTTGTAGTGTGTGTAAGTGGACATTTGGAGCGCTTTCCGGCCTAAGGTGAAAAAGGAAATATCTTCCCATAAAAACTAGACAGAAGCATTCTCAGAAACTTACTCGTGATGTGTGTCCTCAACTAAAGGAGTAGAACCTTTCTTTTCATAGAGAAGTTTTGAAACGCTCTTTTTGTGGAATCTGCAAGTGGATATTTGGCTAGTTTTGAGGATTTCGTTGGAAGCGGGAATTCATACACATTGCAGACTGCAGCGTTCTGAGAAACATCTTTGTGATGTTTGTATTCAGGACACAGAGTTGAACATTCCCTATCATAGAGCAGGTTTGAATCACTCCTTTTGTAGTATCTGGAAGTGGACATTTGGAGCGCTTTCAGGCCTATGTTGGAAAAGGAAATATCTTCCCATAACAACTAGACAGAAGCATTCTCAGAAACTTATTTGAGATGTGTGTACTCAACTAAGAGAATTGAACCACCGTTTTGAAGGAGCAGTTTTGAAACACTCTTTTTCTGGAATCTGCAAGTGGATATTTGGCTAGCTTTGGGGATTTCGCTGGAAGCGGGAATACATATAAAAAGCACACAGCAGCGTTCTGAGAAACTGCTTTCTGATGTTTGCATTCAAGTCAAAAGTTGAACACTCCCTTTCATAGAGCAGTCTTGAAACACCCCTTTTGTAGTATCTGGAACTGGACATTTGGAGAGCTTTCAGGGCTAAGGTGAAAAAGGAAATATCTTCCCATAAAAACTGGACAGAAGCATTCTCAGAAACTTGTTTATGCTGTATCTACTCAACTAACAAAGTTGAACCTTTCTTTTGATAGAGCAGTTTTGAAATGCTCTTTTTGTGGAATCTGCAAGTGGATATTTGGCTAGTTTTGAGGATTTCGTTGGAAGCGGGAATTCATACAAATTGCAGACTGCAGCGTTCTGAGAAACATCTTTGTGATGTTTGTATTCAGGACACAGAGTTGAACATTCCCTATCATAGAGCAGGTTGGAATCACTCCTTTTGTAGTATCTGGAAGTGGACATTTGGAGCGCTTTCAGGCCTATGTTGAAAAAGGAAATGTCTTCCCATAACAACTAGACACAAGTATTCTCAGAAACTTGTTTGTGATGTGTGCCCTCTACTGACAGAGTTGAACCTTTCTTTTCATAGAGCAGTTTTGAAACACTCTTTTTGTAGAATCTGCAAGAGGATATTTGCATAGCTTTGAGGATTTCGTGGGAAACGGGATTGTCTTCAGGTAAAATCTAGACAGAAGCATTCTCATAAACTTCTTTGGGATGTTTGCATTCAAGTCACAGAGTAGAACATTCCCTTTGGTAGAGCAGGTTTGAAACACTCTTTTTGTAGTATCTGGAAGTGGACATTTGCAGCACTTTCAGGCCCATGTTGGAAAGGGAAATATCTTCCCGTAACAACTAGGCAGAAGCATTCTCAGAAACTTATTTGAGATGTGTGTACTCAACTAAGAGAATTGAACCACCGTTTTGAAGGAGCAGTTTTGAAACACTCTTTTTCTGGAATCTGCTAGACGATATTTGCCTAGCCTTGAGGATTTCGTTGGAAACGGGATTGTCTTCAGATAAAATGCTAGACAGAAGCATTCTCAGAAACTTCTTTGGGATGTTTGCATTCAAGTCACAGAGTAGAACATTCCCTTTGGTAGAGCAGGTTTGAAACACTCTTTTTTTAGTATATGGAAGTGGACATTTGGAGCGCCTTCAGGCCTACGTTGGAAAAGGAAATATCTTCCCGTAACAACTAGACAGAAGCATTCTCAGGAAACTAGTTTCTGATGTGTGTCCTCAACTAACACAGTTGAACATTTCTTTAGACAGAACAGTTTTGAAACTCTCTTTTTGTGGAATCTGCAAGTGGCTATTTGGCTAGATTTGAGGATTTCGTTGGAAACGGGATTACATATAAAAAGCAGACAGCAGCATTCTCAGAAAGTTCTTTGTGATGATTGCATTCAAGTCACAGAATTGAACATTCCCTTTCACAGAGCAGGTTTGAAACACTCTTTTTATAGTGTGTGTAAGTGGACATTTGGAGCACTTTCCGGCCTAAGGTGAAAAAGGAAATATCTTCCCATAAAAACTAGACAGAAGCATTCTCAGAAACTTACTCGTGATGTGTGTCCTCAACTAAAGGAGTAGAACCTTTCTTTTCATAGAGAAGTTTTGAAACGCTCTTTTTGTGGAATCTGCAAGTGGATATTTGGCTAGTTTGGAGGATTTCGTTGGAAGCGGGAATTCATACAAATTGCAGACTGCAGCGTTCTGAGAAACATCTTTGTGATGTTTGTATTCAGGACACAGAGTGGAACATTCCCTATCATAGAGCAGGTTTGAATCACTCCTTTTGTAGTATCTGGAAGTGGACATTTGGAGCGCTTTCAGGCCTATGTTGGAAAAGGAAATATCTTCCCATAACAACTAGACAGAAGCATTCTCAGAAACTTATTTGAGATGTGTGTACTCAACTAAGAGAATTGAACCACCGTTTTGAAGGAGCAGTTTTGAAACACTCTTTTTCTGGAATCTGCAAGTGGATATTTGGCTAGCTTTGGGGATTTCGCTGGAAGCGGGAATACATATAAAAAGCACACAGCAGCGTTCTGAGAAACTGCTTTCTGATGTTTGCATTCAAGTCAAAAGTTGAACACTCCCTTTCATAGTGCAGTCCTGAAACACTCCTTTTGTAGTATCTGGAACTGGACTTTTGGAGCGCTTTCAGGGCTAAGTTGAAAAAGGAAATATCTTCCCATAAAAACTGGACAGAAGCATTCTCAGAAACTTGTTTATGCTGTATCTACTCAACTAACAAAGTTGAACCTTTCTTTTGATAGAGCAGTTTTGAAATGCTCTTTTTGTGGAATCTGCAAGTGGATATTTGGCTAGTTTTGAGGATTTCGTTGGAAGCGGGAATTCATACAAATTGCAGACTGCAGCGTTCTGAGAAACATCTTTGTGATGTTTGTATTCAGGACACAGAGTTGAACATTCCCTATCATAGAGCAGGTTGGAATCACTCCTTTTGTAGTATCTGGAAGTGGACATTTGGAGCGCTTTCAGGCCTATTTTGGAAAGGGAAATATCTTCCCGTAACAACTATGCAGAAGCATTCTCAGAAACTTGTTTGTGATGTGTGCCCTCTACTGACAGAGTTGAACCTTTCTTTTCATAGAGCAGTTTTGAAACACTCTTTTTGTAGAATCTGCAAGAGGATATTTGCATAGCTTTGAGGATTTCGTGGGAAACGGGATTGTCTTCAGGTAAAATCTAGACAGAAGCATTCTCAGAAACTTCTTTGGGATGTTTGCATTCAAGTCACAGAGTAGAACATTCCCTTTGGTAGAGCAGGTTTGAAACACTCTTTTTGTAGTATCTGGAAGTGGACATTTGGAGCGCTTTCAGGCCCATGTTGGAAAGGGAAATATCTTCCCGTAACAACTAGGCAGAAGCATTCTCAGAAACTTATTTGAGATGTGTGGACTAAACTAAGAGAATTGAACCACCGTTTTGAAGGAGCAGTTTTGAAACCCTCTTTTTCTGGAATCTGCAAGAGTATATTTGCCTAGCCTTGAGGATTTCGTTGGAAACGGGATTGTCTTCAGATAAAATCTAGACAGAAGCATTCTCAGAAACTTCTTTGGGATGTTTGCATTCAAGTCACAGAGTAGAACATTCCCTTTGGTAGAGCATGTTTGAAACACTCTTTTTTTAGTATATGGAAGTGGACATTTGGAGCGCTTTCAGGCCTACGTTCGAAAAGGAAATATCTTCCCATAACAACTAGACAGAAGCATTCTCAGAAACTAGTTTCTGATGTGTGTCCTCAACTAACACAGTTGAACTTTTCTTTAGACAGAACAGTTTGGAAACACTCTTTTTGTGGAATCTGCAAGTGGATATTTGGCTAGATTTGAGGATTTCGTTGGAAACGGGATTACATATAAAAAGCAGACTGCAGCGTTCTGAGAAACTGCTTTCTGATGTTTGCATTCAAGTCAAAAGTTGAACACTCCCTTTCATAGAGCAGTCCTGAAACACTCCTTTTGTAGTATCTGGAACTGGACTTTTGGAGCGCTTTCAGGGCTAAGGTGAAAATGGAAATATCTTCCCATAAACACTGGACAGAAGCATTCTCAGAAACTTGTTTATGCTGTATCTACTCAACTAACAAAGTTGAACCTTTCTTTTGATAGAGCAGTTTTGAAATGCTCTTTTTGTGGAATCTGCAAGTGGATATTTGGCTTGTTTTGAGGATTTCGCTGGAAGCGGGAATTCATACAAATTGCAGACTGCAGCGTTCTGAGAAACATCTTTGTGATGTTTGTATTCAGGACAGAGTGTTGAACATTCCCTATCATAGAGCAGGTTGGAATCACTCCTTTTGTAGTATCTGGAAGTGGACATTTGGAGCGCTTTCAGGCCTATGTTGAAAAAGGAAATATCTTCCCATAAAAACTAGACAGAAGCATTCTCAGAAACTTATTTGAGATGTGTGTACTCAACTAAGAGAATTGAACCACCGTTTTGAAGGAGCAGTTTTGAAACACTCTTTTTCTGGAATCTGCAAGTGGATATTTGGCTAGCTTTGGGGATTTCGCTGGAAGCGGGAATACATATAAAAAGCACACAGCAGCGTTCTGAGAAACTGCTTTCTGATGTTTGCATTCAAGTCAAAAGTTGAACACTCCCTTTCATAGAGCAGTCTTGAAACACCCCTTTTGTAGTATCTGGAACTGGACATTTGGAGCGCTTTCAGGGCTAAGGTGAAAAAGGAAATATCTTCCCATAAAAACTGGACAGAAGCATTCTCAGAAACTTGTTTATGCTGTATCTACTCAACTAACAAAGTTGAACCTTTCTTTTGATAGAGCAGTTTTGAAATGGTCTTTTTGTGGAATCTGCAAGTGGATATTTGGCTAGTTTTGAGGATTTCGTTGGAAGCGGGAATTCATACAAATTGCAGACTGCAGCGTTCTGAGAAACATCTTTGTGATGTTTGTATTCAGGACAGAGAGTTGAACATTCCCTATCATAGAGCAGGTTAGAATCACTCCTTTTGTAGTATCTGGAAGTGGACATTTGGAGCGCTTTCAGGCCTATGTTGAAAAAGGAAATATCTTCCCATGACAACTAGACACAAGCATTCTCAGAAACTTGTTTGTGATGTGTGCCCTCTACTGACAGAGTTGAACCTTTCTTTTCATAGAGCAGTTTTGAAACACTCTTTTTGTAGAATCTGCAAGAGGATATTTGCATAGCTTTGAGGATTTCGTGGGAAACGGGATTGTCTTCAGGTAAAATCTAGACAGAAGCATTCTCAGAAACTTCTTTGGGATGTTTGCATTCAAGTCACAGAGTAGAACATTCCCTTTGGTAGAGCAGGTTTGAAACACTCTTTTTGTAGTATCTGGAAGTGGACATTTGGAGCGCTTTCAGGCCTATGTTGGAAAGGGAAATATCTTCCGGTAACAACTAGGCAGAAGCATTCTCAGAAACTTATTTGAGATGTGTGCACTCAACTAAGAGAATTGAACCACCGTTTTGAAGGAGCAGTTTTGAAACACTCTTTTTCTGGAATCTGCAAGAGGATATTTGCCTAGCTTTGAGGATTTCGTTGGAAACGGGATTGTGTTCAGATCAAATCTAGACAGAAGCATTCTCAGAAACTTCTTTGGGATGTTTGCATTCAAGTCACAGAGTAGAACATTCCCTTTGGTAGAGCAGGTGTGAAACACTCTTTTTTTAGTATATGGAAGTGGACATTTGGAGCGCTTTCAGGCCTACGTTGGAAAACGAAATATCTTCCCATAACAACTAGACAGAAGCATTCTCAGAAACTAGTTTCTGATGTGTGTCCTCAACTAACACAGTTGAACATTTCTTTAGACAGAACAGTTTTGAAACTCTCTTTTTGTGGAATCTGCAAGTGGCTATTTGGCTAGATTTGAGGATTTCGTTGGAAACGGGATTACATATAAAAAGCAGACAGCAGCATTCTCAGAAAGTTCTTTGTGATGATTGCATTCAAGTCACAGAATTGAACATTCCCTTTCACAGAGCAGGTTTGAAACACTCTTTTTGTAGTGTGTGTAAGTGGACATTTGGAGCACTTACCGGCCTAAGGTGAAAAAGGAAATATCTTCCCATAAAAACTAGACAGAAGCATTCTCAGAAACTTACTCGTGATGTGTGTCCTCAACTAAAGGAGTAGAACCTTTCTTTTCATAGAGAAGTTTTGAAACGCTCTTTTTGTGGAATCTGCAAGTGGATATTTGGCTAGTTTTGAGGATTTCGTTGGAAGCGGGGAATTCATACAAATTGCAGACTGCAGCGTTCTGAGAAACATCTTTGTGATGTTTGTATTCAGGACACAGAGTTGAACATTCCCTATCATAGAGCAGGTTTGAATCACTCCTTTTGTAGTATCTGGAAGTGGACATTTGGAGCACTTTCAGGCCTATGTTGGAAAAGGAAATATCTTCCCATAACAACTAGACAGAAGCATTCTCAGAAACTTATTTGAGATGTGTGTACTCAACTAAGAGAATTGAACCACCGTTTTGAAGGAGCAGTTTTGAAACTCTCTTTTTCTGGAATCTGCAAGTGGATATTTGGCTAGCTTTGGGGATTTCGCTGGAAGCGGGAATACATATAAAAAGCACACAGCAGCGTTCTGAGAAACTGCTTTCTGATGTTTGCATTCAAGTCAAAAGTTGAACACTCCCTTTCATAGAGCAGTCCTGAAACACTCCTTTTGTAGTATCTGGAACTGGACTTTTGGAGCGCTTTCAGGGCTAAGGTGAAAAAGGAAATATCTTCCCATAAAAACTGGACAGAAGCATTCTCAGAAACTTGGTTATGCTGTATCTACTCAACTAACAAAGTTGAACCTTTCTTTTGATAGAGCAGTTTTGAAATGGTCTTTTTGTGGAATCTGCAAGTGGATATTTGGCTAGTTTTGAGGATTTCGTTGGAAGCGGGAATTCATACAAATTGCAGACTGCAGCGTGTTCTGAGAAACATCTTTGTGATGTTTGTATTCAGGACACAGAGTTGAACATTCCCTATCATAGAGCAGGTTGGAATCACTCCTTTTGTAGTATCTGGAAGTGGACATTTGGAGCGCTTTCAGGCCTATTTTGGAAAGGGAAATATCTTCCCGTAACAACTATGCAGAAGCATTCTCAGAAACTTGTTTGTGATGTGTGCCCTCTACTGACAGAGTTGAACCTTTCTTTTCATAGAGCAGTTTTGAAACACTCTTTTTGTAGAATCTGCAAGAGGATATTTGCATAGCTTTGAGGATTTCGTGGGAAACGGGATTGTCTTCAGGTAAAATCTAGACAGAAGCATTCTCAGAAACTTCTTTGGGATATTTGCATTCAAGTCACAGAGCAGAACATTCCCTTTGGTAGAGCAGGTTTGAAACACTCTTTTTGTAGTATCTGGAAGTGGACATTTGGAGCGCTTTCAGGCCTATGTTGGAAAGGGAAATATCTTCCCGTAACAACTAGGCAGAAGCATTCTCAGAAACTTATTTGAGATGTGTGTACTCAACTAAGAGAATTGAACCACCGTTTTGAAGGAGCAGTTTTGAAACACTCTTTTTCTGGAATCTGCAAGAGGATATTTGCCTAGCCTTGAGGATTTCGTTGGAAACGGGATTGTCTTCAGATCAAATCGAGACAGAAGCATTCTCAGAAACTTCTTTGGGATGTTTGCATTCAAGTCACAGAGTAGAACATTCCCTTTGGTAGAGCAGGTTTGAAACACTCTTTTTTTAGTATATGGAAGTGGACATTTGGAGCGCTTTCAGGCCTACGTTGGAAAAGGAAATATCTTCCCATAACAACTAGACAGAAGCATTCTCAGAAACTAGTTTCTGATGTGTGTCCTCAACTAACACAGTTGAACTTTTCTTTAGACAGAACAGTTTTGAAACACTCTTTTTGTGGAATCTGCAAGTGGATATTTTGCTAGATTTGAGGATTTCTTTGGAAACGGGATTACATATAAAAAGCAGACAGCAGCATTCTCAGAAAGTTCTTTGTGATGATTGCATTCAAGTCACAGAATTGAACATTCCCTTTCACAGAGCAGGTTTGAAACACTCTTTTTGTAGTGTGTGTAAGTGGACATTTGGAGCACTTTCCGGCCTAAGGTGAAAAAGGAAATATCTTCCCATAAAAACTAGACAGAAGCACTCTCAGAAACTTACTCGTGATGTGTGTCCTCAACTAAAGGAGTAGAACCTTTCTTTTCATAGAGAAGTTTTGAAACGCTCTTTTTGTGGAATCTGCAAGTGGATATTTGGCTAGTTTGGAGGATTTCGTTGGAAGCGGGAATTCATACAAATTGCAGACTGCAGCGTTCTGAGAAACATCTTTGTGATGTTTGTATTCAGGACACAGAGTTGAACATTCCCTATCATAGAGCAGGTTTGAATCACTCCTTTTGTAGTATCCGGAAGTGGACATTTGGAGCGCTTTCAGGCCTATGTTGGAAAAGGAAATATCTTCCCATAACAACTAGACAGAAGCATTCTCAGAAACTTATTTGAGATGTGTGTACTCAACTAAGAGAATTGAACCACCGTTTTGAAGGAGCAGTTTTGAAACACTCTTTTTCTGGAATCTGCAAGTGGATATTTGGCTAGCTTTGGGGATTTCGCTGGAAGCGGGAATACATATAAAAAGCACACAGCAGCGTTCTGAGAAACTGCTTTCTGATGTTTGCATTCAAGTCAAAAGTTGAACACTCCCTTTCATAGAGCAGTCTTGAAACACCCCTTTTGTAGTATCTGGAACTGGACTTTTGGAGCGATTTCAGGGCTAAGGTGAAAAAGGAAATATCTTCCCATAAAAACTGGACAGAAGCATTCTCAGAAACTTGTTTATGCTGTATCTACTCAACTAACAAAGTTGAACCTTTCTTTTGATAGAGCAGTTTTGAAATGCTCTTTTTGTGGAATCTGCAAGTGGATATTTGGCTAGTTTTGAGGATTTCGTTGGAAGCGGGAATTCATACAAATTGCAGACTGCAGCGTTCTGAGAAACATCTTTGTGATGTTTGTATTCAGGACACAGAGTTGAACATTCCCTATCATAGAGCAGGTTGGAATCACTCCTTTTGTAGTATCTGGAAGTGGACATTTGGAGCGCTTTCAGGCCTATGTTGAAAAAGGAAATGTCTTCCCATAACAACTAGACACAAGCATTCTCAGAAACTTGTTTGTGATGTGTGCCCTCTACTGACAGAGTTGAACCTTTCTTTTCATAGAGCAGTTTTGAAACACTCTTTTTGTAGAATCTGCAAGAGGATATTTGCATAGCTTTGAGGATTTCGTGGGAAACGGGATTGTCTTCAGGTAAAATCTAGACAGAAGCATTCTCAGAAACTTCTTCGGGATGTTTGCATTCAAGTCACAGAGTAGAACATTCCCTTTGGTAGAGCAGGTTTGAAACACTCTTTTTGTAGTATCTGGAAGTGGACATTTGGAGCGCTTTCAGGCCTATGTTGGAAAGGGAAATATCTTCCCGTAACAACTAGGCAGAAGCATTCTCAGAAACTTATTTGAGATGTGTGTACTCAACTAAGAGAATTGAACCACCGTTTTGAAGGAGCAGTTTTGAAACACTCTTTTTCTGGAATCTGCAAGAGTATATTTGCCTAGCCTTGAGGATTTCGTTGGAAACGGGATTGTCTTCAGAGAAAATCTAGACAGAAGCATTCTCAGAAACTTCTTTGGGATGTTTGCATTCAAGTCACAGAGTAGAACATTCCCTTTGGTAGAGCAGGTTTGAAACACTCTTTTTTTAGTATATGGAAGTGGACATTTGGATCGCTTTCAGGCCTACGTTGGAAAAGGAAATATCTTCCCATAACAACTAGACAGAAGCATTCTCAGAAACTAGTTTCTGATGTGTGTCCTCAACTAACACAGTTGAACATTTCTTTAGACAGAACAGTTTTGAAACACTCTTTTTGTGGAATCTGCAAGTGGCTATTTGGCTAGATTTGAGGATTTCGTTGGAAACGGGATTACATATAAAAAGCAGTCAGCAGCATTCTCAGAAAGTTCTTTGTGATGATTGCATTCAAGTCACAGAATTGAACATTCCCTTTCACAGAGCAGGTTTGAAACACTCTTTTTGTAGTGTGTGTAAGTGGACATTTGGAGCGCTTTCCGGCCTAAGGTGAAAAAGGAAATATCTTCCCATAAAAACTAGACAGAAGCATTCTCAGAAACTTACTCGTGATGTGTGTCCTCAACTAAAGGAGTAGAACCTTTCTTTTCATAGAGAAGTTTTGAAACGCTCTTTTTGTGGAATCTGCAAGTGGATATTTGGCTAGTTTGGAGGATTTCGTTGGAAGCGGGAATTCATACAAATTGCAGACTGCAGCGTTCTGAGAAACATCTTTGTGATGTTTGTATTCAGGACACAGAGTTGAACATTCCCTATCATAGAGCAGGTTTGAATCACTCCTTTTGTAGTATCTGGAAGTGGACATTTGGAGCGCTTTCAGGCCTATGTTGGAAAAGGAAATATCTTCCCATAACAACTAGACAGAAGCATTCTCAGAAACTTATTTGAGATGTGTGTACTCAACTAAGAGAATTGAACCACCGTTTTGAAGGAGCAGTTTTGAAACTCTCTTTTTCTGGAATCTGCAAGTGGATATTTGGCTAGCTTTGGGGATTTCGCTGGAAGCGGGAATACATATAAAAAGCACACAGCAGCGTTCTGAGAAACTGCTTTCTGATGTTTGCATTCAAGTCAAAAGTTGAACACTCCCTTTCATAGAGCAGTCCTGAAACACCCCTTTTGTAGTATCTGGAACTGGACTTTTGGAGCGATTTCAGGGCTAAGGTGAAAAAGGAAATATCTTCCCATAAAAACTGGACAGAAGCATTCTCAGAAACTTGTTTATGCTGTATCTACTCAACTAACAAAGTTGAACCTTTCTTTTGATAGAGCAGTTTTGAAATGGTCTTTTTGTGGAATCTGCAAGTGGATATTTGGCTAGTTTGGAGGATTTCGTTGGAAGCGGGAATTCATACAAATTGCAGACTGCAGCGTTCTGAGAAACATCTTTGTGATGTTTGTATTCAGGACACAGAGTTGAACATTCCCTATCATAGAGCAGGTTGGAATCACTCCTTTTGTAGTATCTGGAAGTGGACATTTGGAGCGCTTTCAGGCCTATGTTGAAAAAGGAAATATCTTCCCATAACAACTAGACACAAGCATTCTCAGAAACTTGTTTGTGATGTGTGCCCTCTACTGACAGAGTTGAACCTTTCTTTTCATAGAGCAGTTTTGAAACACTCTTTTTGTAGAATCTGCAAGAGGATATTTGCATAGCTTTGAGGATTTCGTGGGAAACGGGATTGTCTTCAGGTAAAATCTAGACAGAAGCATTCTCAGAAACTTCTTTGGGATGTTTGCATTCAAGTCACAGAGTAGAACATTCCCTTTGGTAGAGCAGGTTTGAAACACTCTTTTTGTAGTATCTGGAAGTGGACATTTGGAGCGCTTTCAGGCCCATGTTGGAAAGGGAAATATCTTCCCGTAACAACTAGGCAGAAGCATTCTCAGAAACTTATTTGAGATGTGTGTACTCAACTAAGAGAATTGAACCACCGTTTTGAAGGAGCAGTTTTGAAACACTCTTTTTCTGGAATCTGCAAGAGTATATTTGCCTAGCCTTGAGGATTTCGTTGGAAACGGGATTGTCTTCAGAGAAAATCTAGACAGAAGCATTCTCAGGAAACTTCTTTGGGATGTTTGCATTCAAGTCACAGAGTAGAACATTCCCTTTGGTAGAGCAGGTTTGAAACACTCTTTTTGTAGTATCTGGAAGTGGACATTTGGAGCGCTTTCAGGCCTACGTTGGAAAAGGAAATATCTTCCCATAACAACTAGACAGAAGCATTCTCAGAAACTAGTTTCTGATGTGTGTCCTCAACTAACACAGTTGAACATTTCTTTAGACAGAACAGTTTTGAAACACTCTTTTTGTGGAATCTGCAAGTGGCTATTTGGCTAGATTTGAGGATTTCGTTGGAAACGGGATTACATATAAAAAGCAGTCAGCAGCATTCTCAGAAAGTTCTTTGTGATGATTGCATTCAAGTCACAGAATTGAACATTCCCTTTCACAGAGCAGGTTTGAAACACTCTTTTTGTAGTGTGTGTAAGTGGACATTTGGAGCACTTACCGGCCTAAGGTGAAAAAGGAAATATCTTCCCATAAAAACTAGACAGAAGCATTCTCAGAAACTTACTCGTGATGTGTGTCCTCAACTAAAGGAGTAGAACCTTTCTTTTCATAGAGAAGTTTTGAAACGCTCTTTTTGTGGAATCTGCAAGTGGATATTTGGCTAGTTTTGAGGATTTCGTTGGAAGCGGGAATTCATACAAATTGCAGACTGCAGCGTTCTGAGAAACTGCTTTCTGATGTTTGCATTCAAGTCAAAAGTTGAACACTCCCTTTCATAGAGCAGTCTTGAAACACCCGTTTTGTAGTATCTGGAACTGGACTTTTGGAGCGATTTCAGGGCTAAGGTGAAAAAGGAAATATCTTCCCATAAAAACTGGACAGAAAGCATTCTCAGAAACTTATTTGAGATGTGTGTACTCAACTAAGAGAATTGAACCACCGTTTTGAAGGAGCAGTTTTGAAACTCTCTTTTTCTGAAATCTGCAAGTGGATATTTGGCTAGCTTTGGGGATTTCGCTGGAAGCGGGAATACATATAAAAAGCACACAGCAGCGTTCTGAGAAACTGCTTTCTGATGTTTGCATTCAAGTCAAAAGTTGAACACTCCCTTTCATAGTGCAGTCCTGAAACACTCCTTTTGTAGTATCTGGAACTGGACTTTTGGAGCGCTTTCAGGGCTAAGGTGAAAAAGGAAATATCTTCCCATAAAAACTGGACAGAAGCATTCTCAGAAACTTGTTTATGCTGTATCTACTCAACTAACAAAGTTGAACCTTTCTTTTGATAGAGCAGTTTTGAAATGGTCTTTTTGTGGAATCTGCAAGTGGATATTTGGCTAGTTTTGAGGATTTCGTTGGAAGCGGGAATTCATACAAATTGCAGACTGCAGCGTTCTGAGAAACATCTTTGTGATGTTTGTATTCAGGACAGAGAGTTGAACATTCCCTATCATAGAGCAGGTTGGAATCACTCCTTTTGTAGTATCTGGAAGTGGACATTTGGAGCGCTTTCAGGCCTATGTTGAAAAAGGAAATATCTTCCCATAACAACTAGACACAAGCATTCTCAGAAACTTGTTTGTGATGTGTGCCCTCTACTGACAGAGTTGAACCTTTCTTTTCATAGAGCAGTTTTGAAACACTCTTTTTGTAGAATCCGCAAGAGGATATTTGCATAGCTTTGAGGATTTCGTGGGAAACGGGATTGTCTTCAGGTAAAATCTAGACAGAAGCATTCTCAGAAACTTCTTTGGGATGTTTGCATTCAAGTCACAGAGTAGAACATTCCCTTTGGTAGAGTAGGTTTGAAACACTCTTTTTGTAGTATCTGGAAGTGGACATTTGGAGCGCTTTCAGGCCTATGTTGGAAAGGGAAATATCTTCCCGTAACAACTAGGCAGAAGCATTCTCAGAAACTTATTTGAGATGTGTGTATTCAACTAAGAGAATTGAACCACCGTTTTGAAGGAGCAGTTTTGAAACACTCTTTTTCTGGAATCTGAAAGAGGATATTTGCCTAGCCTTGAGGATTTCGTTGGAAACGGGATTGTCTTCAGATCAAATCTATACAGAAGCATTCTCAGAAACTTCTTTGGGATGTTTGCATTCAAGTCACAGAGTAGAACATTCCCTTTGGTAGAGCAGGTTTGAAACACTCTTTTTTTAGTATATGGAAGTGGACATTTGGAGCGCATTCAGGCCTACGTTGGAAAAGGAAATATCTTCCCATAACAACTAGACAGAAGCATTCTCAGAAACTAGTTTCTGATGTGTGTCCTCAACTAACACAGTTGTACATTTCTTTAGACAGAACAGTTTTGAAACACTCTTTTTGTGGAATCTGCAAGTGGCTATTTGGCTAGATTTGAGGATTTCGTTGGAAACGGGATTACATATAAAAAGCAGTCAGCGGCATTCTCAGAAAGTTCTTTGTGATGATTGCATTCAAGTCACAGAATTGAACATTCCCTTTCACAGAGCAGGTTTGAAACACTCTTTTTGTAGTGTGTGTAAGTGGACATTTGGAGCACTTACCGGCCTAAGGTGAAAAAGGAAATAATCTTCCCATAAAAACTAGACAGAAGCATTCTCAGAAACTTACTCGTGATGTGTGTCCTCAACTAAAGGAGTAGAACCTTTCTATTCATAGAGAAGTTTTGAAACGCTCTTTTTGTGGAATCTGCAAGTGGATATTTGGCTAGTTTTGAGGATTTCGTTGGAAGCGGGAATTCATACAAATTGCAGACTGCAGCGTTCTGAGAAACATCTTTGTGATGTTTGTATTCAGGACACAGAGTTGAACATTCCCTATCATAGAGCAGGTTTGAATCACTCCTTTTGTAGTATCTGGAAGTGGACATTTGGAGCGCTTTCAGGCCTATGTTGGAAAAGGAAATATCTTCCCATAACAACTAGACAGAAGCATTCTCAGAAACTTATTTGAGATGTGTGTACTCAACTAAGAGAATTGAACCACCGTTTTGAAGGAGCAGTTTTGAAACTCTCTTTTTCTGGAATCTGCAAGTGGATATTTGGCTAGCTTTGGGGATTTCGCTGGAAGCGGGAATACATATAAAAAGCACACAGCAGCGTTCTGAGAAACTGCTTTCTGATGTTTGCATTCAAGTCAAAAGTTGAACACTCCCTTTCATAGAGCAGTCTTGAAACACCCCTTTTGTAGTATCTGGAACTGGACTTTTGGAGCGATTTCAGGGCTAAGGTGAAAAAGGAAATATCTTCCCATAAAAACTGGACAGAAGCATTCTCAGAAACTTGTTTATGCTGTATCTACTCAACTAACAAAGTTGAACCTTTCTTTTGATAGAGCAGTTTTGAAATGGTCTTTTTGTGGAATCTGCAAGTGGATATTTGGCTAGTTTTGAGGATTTCGTTGGAAGCGGGAATTCATACAAATTGCAGACTGCAGCGTTCTGAGAAACATCTTTGTGATGTTTGTATTCAGGACACAGAGTTGAACATTCCCTATCATAGAGCAGGTTGGAATCACTCCTTTTGTAGTATCTGGAAGTGGACATTTGGAGCGCTTTCAGGCCTATTTTGGAAAGGGAAATATCTTCCCGTAACAACTATGCAGAAGCATTCTCAGAAACTTGTTTGTGATGTGTGCCCTCTACTGACAGAGTTGAACCTTTCTTTTCATAGAGCAGTTTTGAAACACTCTTTTTGTAGAATCTGCAAGAGGATATTTGCATAGCTTTGAGGATTTCGTGGGAAACGGGATTGTCTTCAGGTAAAATCTAGACAGAAGCATTCTCAGAAACTTCTTTGGGATGTTTGCATTCAAGTCACAGAGTAGAACATTCCCTTTGGTAGAGCAGGTTTGAAACACTCTTTTTGTAGTATCTGGAAGTGGACATTTGGAGCGCTTTCAGGCCCATGTTGGAAAGGGAAATATCTTCCCGTAACAACTAGGCAGAAGCATTCTCAGAAACTTATTTGAGATGTGTGTACTCAACTAAGAGAATTGAACCACCGTTTTGAAGGAGCAGTTTTGAAACACTCTTTTTCTGGAATCTGCAAGAGGATATTTGCCTAGCCTTGAGGATTTCGTTGGAAACGGGATTGTCTTCAGATCAAATCTAGACAGAAGCATTCTCAGAAACTTCTTTGGGATGTTTGCATTCAAGTCACAGAGTAGAACATTCCCTTTGGTAGAGCAGGTTTGAAACACTCTTTTTTTAGTATATGGAAGTGGACATTTGGAGCGCTTTCAGGCCTACGTTGGAAAAGGAAATATCTTCCCATAACAATTAGACAGAAGCATTCTCAGAAACTAGTTTCTGATGTGTGTCCTCAACTAACACAGTTGAACATTTCTTTAGACAGAACAGTTTTGAAACACTCTTTTTGTGGAATCTGCAAGTGGCTAATTGGCTAGATTTGAGGATTTCGTTGGAAACGGGATTACATATAAAAAGCAGACAGCAGCATTCTCAGAAAGTTCTTTGTGATGATTGCATTCAAGTCACAGAATTGAACATTCCCTTTCACAGAGCAGGTTTGAAACACTCTTTTTGTAGTGTGTGTAAGTGGACATTTGGAGCACTTTCCGGCCTAAGGTGAAAAAGGGAATATCTTCCCATAAAAACTAGACAGAAGCATTCTCAGAAACTTACTCGTGATGTGTGTCCTCAACTAAAGGAGTAGAACCTTTGTTTTCATAGAGAAGTTTTGAAACGCTCTTTTTGTGGAATCTGCAAGTGGATATTTGGCTAGTTTGGAGGATTTCGTTGGAAGCGGGAATTCATACAAATTGCAGACTGCAGCGTTCTGAGAAACTGCTTTCTGATGTTTGCATTCAAGTCAAAAGTTGAACACTCCCTTTCATAGAGCAGTCTTGAAACACCCCTTTTGTAGTATCTGGAACTGGAAATTTGGAGCGCCTTCAGGGCTAAGGTGAAAAAGGAAATATCTTCCCATAAAAACTGGACAGAAGCATTCTCAGAAACTTGTTTATGCTGTATCTACTCAACTAACAAAGTTGAACCTTTCTTTTGATAGAGCAGTTTTGAAATGCTCTTTTTGTGGAATCTGCAAGTGGATATTTGGCTAGTTTTGAGGATTTCGTTGGAAGCGGGAATTCATACAAATTGCAGACTGCAGCGTTCTGAGAAACATCTTTGTGATGTTTGTATTCAAGACAGAGAGTTGAACATTCCCTATCATAGAGCAGGTTGGAATCACTCCTTTTGTAGTATCTGGAAGTGGACATTTGGAGCACTTTCCGGCCTAAGGTGAAAAAGGAAATATCTTCCCATAAAAACTAGACAGAAGCATTCTCAGAAACTTACTCGTGATGTGTGTCCTCCACTAAATGAGTAGAACCTTTCTTTTCATAGAGAAGTTTTGAAACGCTCTTTTTGTAGAATCTGCAAGAGGATATTTGCATAGCTTTGAGGATTTCGTGGGAAACGGGATTGTCTTCAGGTAAAATCTAGACAGAAGCATTCTCAGTAACTTCTTTGGGATGTTTGCATTCAAGTCACAGAGTAGAACATTCCCTTTGGTAGAGCAGGTTTGAAACACTCTTTTTGTACTATCTGGAAGTGGACATTTGGAGCGCTTTCAGGCCCATGTTGGAAAGGGATATATCTTCCCGTAACAACTAGGCAGAAGCATTCTCAGAAACTTATTTGAGATGTGTGTACTCAACTAAGAGAATTGAACCACCGTTTTGAAGGAGCAGTTTTGAAACACTCTTTTTCTGGAATCTGCAAGAGGATATTTGCCTAGCCTTGAGGATTTCGTTGGAAACGGGATTGTCTTCAGATCAAATCTAGACAGAAGCATTCTCAGAAACTTCTTTGGGATGCTTGCATTCAAGTCACAGAGTAGAACATTCCCTTTGGTAGAGCAGGTTTGAAACACTCTTTTTGTAGTATCTGGAAGTGGACATTTGGAGCGCTTTCAGGCCTACGTTGGAAAAGGAAATATCTTCCCATAACAACTAGACAGAAGCATTCTCAGAAACTAGTTTCTGATGTGTGTCCTCAACTAACACAGTTGAACATTTCTTTAGACAGAACAGTTTTGAAACACTCTTTTTGTGGAATCTGCAAGTGGCTATTTGGCTAGATTTGAGGATTTCGTTGGAAACGGGATTACATATAAAAAGCAGTCAGCAGCATTCTCAGAAAGTTCTTTGTGATGATTGCATTCAAGTCACAGAATTGAACATTCCCTTTCACAGAGCAGGTTTGAAACACTCTTTTTGTAGTGTGTGTAAGTGGACATTTGGAGCACTTACCGGCCTAAGGTGAAAAAGGAAATATCTTCCCATAAAAACTAGACAGAAGCATTCTCAGAAACTTACTCGTGATGTGTGTCCTCAACTAAAGGAGTAGAACCTTTCTTTTCATAGAGAAGTTTTGAAACGCTCTTTTTGTGGAATCTGCAAGTGGATATTTGGCTAGTTTTGAGGATTTCGTTGGAAGCGGGAATTCATACAAATTGCAGACTGCAGCGTTCTGAGAAACATCTTTGTGATGTTTGTATTCAGGACACAGAGTTGAACATTCCCTATCATAGAGCAGGTTTGAATCACTCCTTTTGTAGTATCTGGAAGTGGACATTTGGAGCGCTTTCAGGCCTATGTTGGAAAAGGAAATATCTTCCCATAACAACTAGACAGAAGCATTCTCAGAAACTTATTTGAGATGTGTGTACTCAACTAAGAGAATTGAACCACCGTTTTGAAGGAGCAGTTTTGAAACTCTCTTTTTCTGGAATCTGCAAGTGGATATTTGGCTAGCTTTGGGGATTTCGCTGGAAGCGGGAATACATATAAAAAGCACACAGCAGCGTTCTGAGAAACTGCTTTCTGATGTTTGCATTCAAGTCAAAAGTTGAACACTCCCTTTCATAGAGCAGTCCTGAAACACCCCTTTTGTAGTATCTGGAACTGGACTTTTGGAGCGATTTCAGGGCTAAGGTGAAAAAGGAAATATCTTCCCATAAAAACTGGACAGAAGCATTCTCAGAAACTTGTTTATGCTGTATCTACTCAACTAACAAAGTTGAACCTTTCTTTTGATAGAGCAGTTTTGAAATGGTCTTTTTGTGGAATCTGCAAGTGGATATTTGGCTAGTTTTGAGGATTTCGTTGGAAGCGGGAATTCATACAAATTGCAGACTGCAGCGTTCTGAGAAACATCTTTGTGATGTTTGTATTCAGGACACAGAGTTGAACATTCCCTATCATAGAGCAGGTTGGAATCACTCCTTTTGTAGTATCTGGAAGTGGACATTTGGAGCGCTTTCTGGCCTATGTTGAAAAAGGAAATATCTTCCCATAACAACTAGACACAAGCATTCTCAGAAACTTGTTTGTGATGTGTGCCCTCTACTGACAGAGTTGAACCTTTCTTTTCATAGAGCAGTTTTGAAACACTCTTTTTGTAGAATCTGCAAGAGGATATTTGCATAGCTTTGAGGATTTCGTGGGAAACGGGATTGTCTTCAGGTAAAATCTCGACAGAAGCATTCTCAGAAACTTCTTTGGGATGTTTGCATTCAAGTCACAGAGTAGAACATTCCCTTTGGTAGAGCAGGTTTGAAACACTCTTTTTGTAGTATCTGGAAGTGGACATTTGGAGCGCTTTCAGGCCTATGTTGGAAAGGGAAATATCTTCCCGTAACAACTAGGCAGAAGCATTCTCAGAAACTTATTTGAGATGTGTGTACTCAACTAAGAGAATTGAACCACCGTTTTGAAGGAGCAGTTTTGAAACACTCTTTTTCTGGAATCTGCAAGAGTATATTTGCCTAGCCTTGAGGATTTCGTTGGAAACGGGATTGTCTTCAGATCAAATCTAGACAGAAGCATTCTCAGAAACTTCTTTGGGATGTTTGCATTCAAGTCACAGAGTAGAACATTCCCTTTGGTAGAGCAGGTTTGAAACACTCTTTTTTTAGTATATGGAAGTGGACATTTGGAGCGCTTTCAGGCCTACGTTGGAAAAGGAAATATCTTCCCATAACAACTAGACAGAAGCATTCTCAGAAACTAGTTTCTGATGTGTGTCCTCAACTAACACAGTTGAACATTTCTTTAGACAGAACAGTTTTGAAACACTCTTTTTGTGGAATCTGCAAGTGGCTATTTGGCTAGATTTGAGGATTTCGTTGGAAACGGGATTACATATAAAAAGCAGACAGCAGCATTCTCAGAAAGTTCTTTGTGATGATTGCATTCAAGTCACAGAATTGAACATTCCCTTTCACAGAGCAGGTTTGAAACACTCTTTTTGTAGTGTGTGTAAGTGGACATTTGGAGCACTTTCCGGCCTAAGGTGAAAAAGGAAATATCTTCCCATAAAAACTAGACAGAAGCATTCTCAGAAACTTACTCGTGATGTGTGTCCTCAACTAAAGGAGTAGAACCTTTCTTTTCATAGAGAAGTTTTGAAACGCTCTTTTTGTGGAATCTGCAAGTGGATATTTGGCTAGTTTTGAGGATTTCGTTGGAAGCGGGAATTCATACAAATTGCAGACTGCAGCGTTCTGAGAAACTGCTTTCTGATGTTTGCATTCAAGTCAAAAGTTGAACACTCCCTTTCATAGAGCAGTCCTGAAACACTCCTTTTGTAGTATCTGGAACTGGACTTTTGGAGCGCTTTCAGGGCTAAGGTGAAAAAGGAAATATCTTCCCATAAAAACTGGACAGAAGCATTCTCAGAAACTTGTTTATGCTGTATCTACTCAACTAACAAAGTTGAACCTTTCTTTTGATAGAGCAGTTTTGAAATGCTCTTTTTGTGGAATCTGCAAGTGGATATTTGGCTAGTTTTGAGTATTTCATTGGAAGCGGGAATTCATACAAATTGCAGACTGCAGCGTTCTGAGAAACATCTTTGTGATGTTTGTATTCAGGACAGAGAGTTGAACATTCCCTATCATAGAGCAGGTTGGAATCACTCCTTTTGTAGTATCTGGAAGTGGACATTTGGAGCGCTTTCTGGCCTATGTTGAAAAAGGAAATATCTTCCCATAACAACTAGACACAAGCATTCTCAGAAACTTGTTTGTGATGTGTGCCCTCTACTGACAGAGTTGAACCTTTCTTTTCATAGAGCAGTTTTGAAACACTCTTTTTGTAGAATCTGCAAGAGGATATTTGCATAGCTTTGAGGATTTCGTGGGAAACGGGATTGTCTTCAGGTAAAATCTAGACAGAAGCATTCTCAGAAACTTCTTTGGGATGTTTGCATTCAAGTCACAGAGTAGAACATTCCCTTTGGTAGAGCAGGTTTGAAACACTCTTTTTGTAGTATCTGGAAGTGGACATTTGGAGCGCTTTCAGGCCTATGTTGGAAAGGGAAATATCTTCCGGTAACAACTAGGCAGAAGCATTCTCAGAAACTTATTTGAGATGTGTGTACTCAACTAAGAGAATTGAACCACCGTTTTGAAGGAGCAGTTTTGAAACACTCTTTTTCTGGAATCTGCAAGAGTATATTTGCCTAGCCTTGAGGATTTCGTTGGAAACGGGATTGTCTTCAGAGAAAATCTAGACAGAAGCATTCTCAGAAACTTCTTTGGGATGTTTGCATTCAAGTCACAGAGTAGAACATTCCCTTTGGTAGAGCAGGTTTGAAACACTCTTTTTTTAGTATATGGAAGTGGACATTTTGATCGCTTTGAGGCCTACGTTGGAAAAGGAAATATCTTCCCATAACAACTAGACAGAAGCATTCTCAGAAACTAGTTTCTGATGTGTGTCCTCAACTAACACAGTTGAACATTTCTTTAGACAGAACAGTTTTGAAACACTCTTTTTGTGGAATCTGCAAGTGGCTATTTGGCTAGATTTGAGGATTTCGTTGGAAACGGGATTACATATAAAAAGCAGTCAGCAGCATTCTCAGAAAGTTCTTTGTGATGATTGCATTCAAGTCACAGAATTGAACATTCCCTTTCACAGAGCAGGTTTGAAACACTCTTTTTGTAGTGTGTGTAAGTGGACATTTGGAGCGCTTTCCGGCCTAAGGTGAAAAAGGAAATATCTTCCCATAAAAACTAGACAGAAGCATTCTCAGAAACTTACTCGTGATGTGTGTCCTCAACTAAAGGAGTAGAACCTTTCTTTTCATAGAGAAGTTTTGAAACGCTCTTTTTGTGGAATCTGCAAGTGGATATTTGGCTAGTTTTGAGGATTTCGTTGGAAGCGGGAATTCATACAAATTGCAGACTGCAGCGTTCTGAGAAACATCTTTGTGATGTTTGTATTCAGGACACAGAGTTGAACATTCCCTATCATAGAGCAGGTTGGAATCACTCCTTTTGTAGTATCTGGAAGTGGACATTTGGAGCGCTTTCAGGCCTATGTTGGAAAAGGAAATATCTTCCCATAACAACTAGACAGAAGCATTCTCAGAAACTTATTTGAGATGTGTGTACTCAACTAAGAGAATTGAACCACCGTTTTGAAGGAGCAGTTTTGAAACACTCTTTTTCTGGAATCTGCAAGTGGATATTTGGCTAGCTTTGGGGATTTCGCTGGAAGCGGGAATACATATAAAAAGCACACAGCAGCGTTCTGAGAAACTGCTTTCTGATGTTTGCATTCAAGTCAAAAGTTGAACACTCCCTTTCATAGAGCAGTCCTGAAACACCCCTTTTGTAGTATCTGGAACTGGACTTTTGGAGCGATTTCAGGGCTAAGGTGAAAAAGGAAATATCTTCCCATAAAAACTGGACAGAAGCATTCTCAGAAACTTGTTTATGCTGTATCTACTCAACTAACAAAGTTGAACCTTTCTTTTGATAGAGCAGTTTTGAAATGGTCTTTTTGTGGAATCTGCAAGTGGATATTTGGCTAGTTTTGAGGATTTCGTTGGAAGCGGGAATTCATACAAATTGCAGACTGCAGCGTTATGAGAAACATCTTTGTGATGTTTGTATTCAGGACACAGAGTTGAACATTCCCTATCATAGAGCAGGTTGGAATCACTCCTTTTGTAGTATCTGGAAGTGGACATTTGGAGCGCTTTCAGGCCTATTTTGGACAGGGAAATATCTTCCCATAACAACTATGCAGAAGCATTCTCAGAAACTTGTTTGTGATGTGTGCCCTCTACTGACAGAGTTGAACCTTTCTTTTCTTAGAGCAGTTTTGAAACACTCTTTTTGTAGAATCTGCAAGAGGATATTTGCATAGCTTTGAGGATTTCGTGGGAAACGGGATTGTCTTCAGGTAAAATCTAGACAGAAGCATTCTCAGAAACTTCCTTGGGATGTTTGCATTCAAGACACAGAGTAGAACATTCCCTTTGGTAGAGCAGGTTTGAAACACTCTTTTTGTAGTATCTGGAAGTGGACATTTGGAGCGCTTTCAGGCCCATGTTGGAAAGGGAAATATCTTCCCGTAACAACTAGGCAGAAGCATTCTCAGAAACTTATTTGAGATGTGTGTACTCAACTAAGAGAATTGAACCACCGTTTTGAAGGAGCAGTTTTGAAACACTCTTTTTCTGGAATCTGCAAGAGGATATTTGCCTAGCCTTGAGGATTTCGTTGGAAACGGGATTGTCTTCAGATCAAATCTAGACAGAAGCATTCTCAGAAACTTCTTTGGGATGTTTGCATTCAAGTCACAGAGTAGAACATTCCCTTTGGTAGAGCAGGTATGAAACACTCTTTTTTTAGTATATGGAAGTGGACATTTGGAGCGCTTTCAGGCCTACGTTGGAAAAGGAAATATCTTCCCATAACAACTAGACAGAAGCATTCTCAGAAACTAGTTTCTGATGTGTGTCCTCAACTAACACAGTTGAACTTTTCTTTAGACAGAACAGTTTTGAAACACTCTTTTTGTGGAATCTGCAAGTGGATATTGGGCTAGATTTGAGGATTTCGTTGGAAACGGGATTACATATAAAAAGCAGACAGCAGCATTCTCAGAAAGTTCTTTGTGATGATTGCATTCAAGTCACAGAATTGAACATTCCCTTTCACAGAGCAGGTTTGAAACACTCTTTTTGTAGTGTGTGTAAGTGGACATTTGGAGCGTTTTCCGGCCTAAGGTGAAAGAGGAAATATCTTCCCATAAAAACTAGACAGAAGCATTCTCAGAAACTTACTCGTGATGTGTGTCCTCAACTAAAGGAGTAGAACCTTTCTATTCATAGAGAAGTTTTGAAACGCTCTTTTTGTGGAATCTCCAAGTGGATATTTGGCTAGTTTTGAGGATTTCGTTGGAAGCGGGAATTCATACAAATTGCAGACTGCCAGCGTTTTGAGAACCATCTTTGTGATGTTTGTATTCAAGACACAGAGATGAACATTCCCTATCATAGAGCAGGTTGGAATCACTCCTTTTGTAGTATCTGGAAGTGGACATTTGGAGCGCTTTCAGGCCTATGTTGAAAAAGGAAATATCTTCCCATAACAACTAGACACAAGCATTCTCAGAAACTTATTTGAGATGTGTGTACTCAACTAAGAGAATTGAACCACCGTTTTGAAGGAGCAGTTTTGAAACACTCTTTTTCTGGAATCTGCAAGTGGATATTTGGCTAGCTTTGGGGATTTCGCTGGAAGCGGGAATACATATAAAAAGCACACAGCAGCGTTCTGAGAAACTGCTTTCTGATGTTTGCATTCAAGTCAAAAGTTGAACACTCCCTTTCATAGAGCAGTCTTGAAACACCCCTTTTGTAGTATCTGGAACTGGACTTTTGGAGCGATTTCAGGGCTAAGGTGAAAAAGGAAATATCTTCCCATAAAAACTGGACAGAATCATTCTCAGAAACTTGTTTATGCTGTATCTACTCAACTAACATAGTTGAACCTTTCTTTTGATAGAGCAGTTTTGAAATGCTCTTTTTGTGGAATCTGCAAGTGGATATTTGGCTAGTTTGGAGGATTTCGTTGGAAGCGGGAATTCATACAAATTGCAGACTGCAGCGTTCTGAGAAACATCTTTGTGATGTTTGTATTCAGGACACAGAGTTGAACATTCCCTATCATAGAGCAGGTTGGAATCACTCCTTTTGTAGTATCTGGAAGTGGACATTTGGAGCGCTTTCAGGCCTATGTTGAAAAAGGAAATATCTTCCCATAACAACTAGACACAAGCATTCTCAGAAACTTGTTTGTGATGTGTGCCCTCTACTGACAGAGTTGAACCTTTCTTTTCATAGAGCAGTTTTGAAACACTCTTTTTGTAGAATCCGCAAGAGGATATTTGCATAGCTTTGAGGATTTCGTGGGAAACGGGATTGTCTTCAGGTAAAATCTAGACAGAAGCATTCTCAGAAACTTCTTTGGGATGTTTGCATTCAAGTCACAGAGTAGAACATTCCCTTTGGTAGAGCAGGTTTGAAACACTCTTTTTGTAGTATCTGGAAGTGGACATTTGGAGCGCTTTCAGGCCCATGTTGGAAAGGGAAATATCTTCCCGTAACAACTAGGCAGAAGCATTCTCAGAAACTTATTTGAGATGTGTGTACTCAACTAAGAGAATTGAACCACCGTTTTGAAGGAGCAGTTTTGAAACACTCTTTTTCTGGAATCTGCAAGAGTATATTTGCCTAGCCTTGAGGATTTCGTTGGAAACGGGATTGTCTTCAGAGAAAATCTAGACAGAGGCATTCTCAGAAACTTCTTTGGGATGTTTGCATTCAAGTCACAGAGTAGAACATTCCCTTTGGTAGAGCAGGTTTGAAACACTCTTTTTTTAGTATATGGAAGTGGACATTTGGAGCGCTTTCAGGCCTACGTTGGAAAAGGAAATATCTTCCCTTAACAACTAGACAGAAGCATTCTCAGAAACTTGTTTGTGATGTGTGCCCTCTACTGACCGAGTTGAACCTTTCTTTTCATAGAGCAGTTTTGAAACACTCTTTTTGTAGAATCTGCAAGAGGATATTTGCATAGGTTTGAGGATTTCGTGCGAAACGGGATTGTCTTCAGGTAAAATCTACACAGAAGCATTCTCAGAAACTTCTTTGGGATGTTTGCATTCAAGTCACAGAGTAGAACATTCCCTTTGGTAGAGCAGGTTTGAAACACTCTTTTTGTAGTATCTGGAAGTGGACATTTGGAGCGCTTTCAGGCCCATGTTGGAAAGGGAAATATCTTCCCGTAACAACTAGGCAGAAGCATTCTCAGAAACTTATTTGAGATGTGTGTACTCAACTAAGAGAATTGAACCACCGTTTTGAAGGAGCAGTTTTGAAACACTCTTTTTCTGGAATCTGCAAGAGTATATTTGCCTAGCCTTGAGGATTTCGTTGGAAACGGGATTGTCTTCAGAGAAAATCTAGACAGAAGCATTCTCAGAAACTTCTTTGGGATGTTTGCATTCAAGTCACAGAGTAGAACATTCCCTTTGGTAGAGCAGGTTTGAAACACTCTTTTTGTAGTATCTGGAAGTGGACATTTGGAGCGCTTTCAGGCCTACGTTGGAAAAGGAAATATCTTCCCATAACAACTAGACAGAAGCATTCTCAGAAACTAGTTTCTGATGTGTGTCCTCAACTAACACAGTTGAACATTTCTTTAGACAGAACAGTTTTGAAACACTCTTTTTGTGGAATCTGCAAGTGGCTATTTGGCTAGATTTGAGGATTTCGTTGGAAACGGGATTACATATAAAAAGCAGTCAGCAGCATTCTCAGAAAGTTCTTTGTGATGATTGCATTCAAGTCACAGAATTGAACATTCCCTTTCACAGAGCAGGTTTGAAACACTCTTTTTGTAGTGTGTGTAAGTGGACATTTGGAGCACTTACCGGCCTAAGGTGAAAAAGGAAATATCTTCCCATAAAAACTAGACAGAAGCATTCTCAGAAACTTACTCGTGATGTGTGTCCTCAACTAAAGGAGTAGAACCTTTCTTTTCATAGAGAAGTTTTGAAACGCTCTTTTTGTGGAATCTGCAAGTGGATATTTGGCTAGTTTTGAGGATTTCGTTGGAAGCGGGAATTCATACAAATTGCAGACTGCAGCGTTCTGAGAAACATCTTTGTGATGTTTGTATTCAGGACACAGAGTTGAACATTCCCTATCATAGAGCAGGTTTGAATCACTCCTTTTGTAGTATCTGGAAGTGGACATTTGGAGCGCTTTCAGGCCTATGTTGGAAAAGGAAATATCTTCCCATAACAACTAGACAGAAGCATTCTCAGAAACTTATTTGAGATGTGTGTACTCAACTAAGAGAATTGAACCACCGTTTTGAAGGAGCAGTTTTGAAACACTCTTTTTCTGGAATCTGCAAGTGGATATTTAGCTAGATATGAGGATTTCGTTGGAAACGGGATTATATACACAAAGCAGACAGCAGCGTTCTGAGAAACTGCTTTCTGATGTTTGCATTCAAGTCAAAAGTTGAACACTCCCTTTCATAGAGCAGTCCTGAAACACCCCTTTTGTAGTATCTGGAACTGGACTTTTGGAGCGATTTCAGGGCTAAGGTGAAAAAGGAAATATCTTCCCATAAAAACTGGACAGAAGCATTCTCAGAAACTTGTTTATGCTGTATCTACTCAACTAACAAAGTTGAACCTTTCTTTTGATAGAGCAGTTTTGAAATGCTCTTTTTGTGGAATCTGCAAGTGGATATTTGGCTAGTTTTGAGGATTTCGTTGGAAGCGGGAATTCATACAAATTGCAGACTGCAGCGTTCTGAGAAACATCTTTGTGATGTTTGTATTCGGGACACAGTAGTTGAACATTCCCTATCATAGAGCAGGTTTGAATCACTCCTTTTGTAGTATCTGGAAGTGGACATTTGGAGCGCTTTCAGGCCTATGTTGGAAAAGGAAATATCTTCCCATAACAACTAGACAGAAGCATTCTCAGAAACTTGTTTGTGATGTGTGCCCTCTACTGACAGAGTTGAACCTTTCTTTTCATAGAGCAGTTTTGAAACACTCTTTTTGTAGAATCTGCAAGAGGATATTTGCATAGCTTTGAGGATTACGTGGGAAACGGGATAGTCTTCAGGTAAAATCTAGACAGAAGCATTCTCAGAAACTTCTTTGGGATGTTTGCATTCAAGTCACAGAGTAGAACATTCCCTTTGGTAGAGCAGGTTTGAAACACTCTTTTTGTAGTATCTGGAAGTGGACATTTGGAGCGCTTTCAGGCCCATGTTGGAAAGGGAAATATCTTCCCGTAACAACTAGGCAGAAGCATTCTCAGAAACTTATTTGAGATGTGTGTACTCAACTAAGAGAATTGAACCACCGTTTTGAAGGAGCAGTTTTGAAACACTCTTTTTCTGGAATCTGCAAGAGTATATTTGCCTAGCCTTGAGGATTTCGTTGGAAACGGGATTGTCTTCAGAGAAAATCTAGACAGAAGCATTCTCAGAAACTTCTTTGGGATGTTTGCATTCAAGTCACAGTAGTAGAACATTCCCTTTGGTAGAGCAGGTTTGAAACACTCTTTTTTTAGTATATGGAAGTGGACATTTGGATCGCTTTCAGGCCTACGTTGGAAAAGGAAATATCTTCCCATAACAACTAGACAGAAGCATTCTCAGAAACTAGTTTCTGATGTGTGTCCTCAACTAACACAGTTGAACATTTCTTTAGACAGAACAGTTTTGAAACACTCTTTTTGTGGAATCTGCAAGTGGCTATTTGGCTAGATTTGAGGATTTCGTTGGAAACGGGATTACATATAAAAAGCAGTCAGCAGCATTCTCAGAAAGTTCTTTGTGATGATTGCATTCAAGTCACAGAATTGAACATTCCCTTTCACAGAGCAGGTTTGAAACACTCTTTTTGTAGTGTGTGTAAGTGGACATTTGGAGCGCTTTCCGGCCTAAGGTGAAAAAGGAAATATGCTTCCCATAAAAACTAGACAGAAGCATTCTCAGAAACTTACTCGTGATGTGTGTCCTCAACTAAAGGAGTAGAACTTTTCTTTTCATAGAGAAGTTTTGAAACACTCTTTTTGTGGAATCTGCAAGTGGATATTTGGCTAGTTTTGAGGATTTCGTTGGAAGCGGGAATTCATAAAAGTTGCAGACTGCAGCGTTCTGAGAAACATCTTTGTGATGTTTGTATTCAGGACACAGAGTTGAACATTCCCTATCATAGAGCAGGTTTGAATCACTGCTTTTGTAGTATCTGGAAGTGGACATTTGGAGCGATTTCAGGCCTATGTTGAAAAAGGAAATATCTTCCCATAACAACTAGACAGAAGCATTCTCAGAAACTTGTTTATGCTGTATCTACTCAGCTAACAAAGTTGAACCTTTCTTTTGATAGAGAAGTTTTGAAATGCTCTTTTTGTGGAGTCTGCAAGTGGATATTTGGTTAGTTTTGAGGATTTCTTTGGAAGCGGGAATTCATACAAATTGCAGACTGCAGCGTTCTGAGAAACATCTTTGTGATGTTTGTATTCAGGACACAGAGTTGAACATTCCCTATCATAGAGCAGGTTGGAATCACTCCTTTTGTAGTATCTGGAAGTGGACATTTGGAGCGCTTTCAGGCCTATGTTGAAAAAGGAAATATCTTCCCATAACAAGTAGACACAAGCATTCTCAGAAACTTGTTTGTGATGTGTGCCCTCTACTGACAGAGTTGAACCTTTCTTTTCATAGAGCAGTTTTGAAACACTCTTTTTGTAGAATCTGCAAGAGGATATTTGCATAGCTTTGAGGATTTCGTGGGAAACGGGATTGTCTTCAGGTAAAATCTAGACAGAAGCATTCTCAGAAACTTCTTTGGGATGTTTGCATTCAAGTCACAGAGTAGAACATTCCCTTTGGTAGAGCAGGTTTGAAACACTCTTTTTGTAGTATCTGGAAGTGGACATTTGGAGCGCTTTCAGGCCTATGTTGGAAAGGGAAATATCTTCCCGTAACAACTAGGCAGAAGCATTCTCAGAAACTTATTTGAGATGTGTGTACTCAACTAAGAGAATTGAACCACCGTTTTGAAGGAGCAGTTTTGAAACACTCTTTTTCTGGAATCTGCAAGAGTATATTTGCCTAGCCTTGAGGATTTCGTGGGAAACGGGATTGTCTTCAGGTAAAATCTAGACAGAAGCATTCTCAGAAACTTCTTTGGGATGTTTGCATTCAAGTCACAGAGTAGAACATTCCCTTTGGTAGAGCAGGTTTGAAACACTCTTTTTGTAGTATCTGGAAGTGGACATTTGGAGCGCTTTCAGGCCCATGTTGGAAAGGGAAATATCTTCCCGTAACAAATAGGCAGAAGCATTCTCAGAAACTTATTTGAGATGTGTGTACTCAACTAAGAGAATTGAACCACCGTTTTGAAGGAGCAGTTTTGAAACACTCTTTTTCTGGAATCTGCAAGAGGATATTTGCCTAGCTTTGAGGATTTCGTTGGAAACGGGATTGTGTTCAGATCAAATCTAGACAGAAGCATTCTCAGAAACTTCTTTGGGATGTTTGCATTCAAGTCACAGAGTAGAACATTCCCTTTGGTAGAGCAGGTTTGAAACACTCTTTTTGTAGTGTGTGTAAGTGGACATTTGGAGCGCTTTCAGGCCTACGTTGGAAAAGGAAATATCTTCCCATAACAACTAGACAGAAGCATTCTCAGAAACTAGTTTCTGATGTGTGTCCTCAACTAACACAGTTGAACATTTCTTTAGACAGAACAGTTTTGAAACACTCTTTTTGTGGAATCTGCAAGTGGATATTTGGCTAGATTTGAGGATTTCGTTGGAAACGGGATTACATATAAAAAGCAGACAGCAGCATTCTCAGAAACTTCTTTGTGATGATTGCATTCAAGTCACAGAATTGAACATTCCCTTTCACAGAGCAGGTTTGAAACACGCTTTTTGTAGTGTGTGTAAGTGGACATTTGGAGCGCTTTTCGGCCTAAGGTGAACAAGGAAATATCTTCCCATAAAAACTAGACAGAAGCATTCTCAGAAACTTACTCGTGATGTGTGTCCTCAACTAAAGGAGTAGAACCTTTCTTTTCATAGAGAAGTTTTGAAACGCTCTTTTTGTGGACTCTGCAAGTGGATATTTGGCTAGTTTTGAGGATTTCGTTGGAAGCGGGAATTCATACAAATTGCAGACTGCAGCGTTCTGAGAAACATCTTTGTGATGTTTGTATTCAGGACACAGAGTTGAACATTCCCTATCATAGAGCAGGTTGGAATCACTCCTTTTGTAGTATCTGGAAGTGGACATTTGGAGCGCTTTCAGGCCTATGTTGGAAAAGGAAATATCTTCCCATAACAACTAGACAGAAAGCATTCTCAGAAACTTATTTGAGATGTGCGTACTCAACTAAGCAGAATTGAACCACCGTTTTGAAGGAGCAGTTTTGAAACACTCTTTTTCTGGAATCTGCAAGTGGATATCTGGCTAGCTTTGGGGATTTCGCTGGAAGCGGGAATACATATAAAAAGCACACAGCAGCGTTCTGAGAAACTGCTTTCTGATGTTTGCATTCAAGTCAAAAGTTGAACACTCCCTTTCATAGAGCAGTCCTGAAACACTCCTTTTGTAGTATCTGGAACTGGACTTTTGGAGCGCTTTCAGGGCTAAGGTGAAAAAGGAAATATCTTCCCATAAAAACTGGACAGAAGCATTCTCAGAAACTTGTTTATGCTGTATCTACTCTACTAACAAAGTTGAACCTTTCTTTTGATAGAGCAGTTTTGAAACGCTCTTTTTGTGGAATCTGCAAGTGGATATTTGGCTAGTTTTGAGGATTTCGGTTGAAGCTGGAATTCATACAAATTGCAGACTGCAGCGTTCTGAGAAACATCTTTGTGATGTTTGTATTCAGGACACAGAGATGATCATTCCCTATCATAGAGCAGGTTGGAATCAGTCCTTTTGTAGTATCTCGAAGTGGACATTTGGAGCGCTTTCAGGCCTATGTTGAAAAAGGAAATATCTTCCCATAACAACTAGACACAAGCATTCTCAGAAACTTGTTTGTGATGTGTGCCCTCTACTGACAGAGTTGAACCTTTCTTTTCATAGAGCAGTTTCGAAACACTCTTTTTGTAGAATCTGCAAGAGGATATTTGCATAGATTTGAGGATTTCGTGGGAAAAGGGATTGTCTTCAGGTAAAATCTAGACAGAAGCACTCTCAGAGAGTTCTTTGGGATGTTTGCATTCAAGTCACAGAGTAGAACATTCCCTTTGGTAGAGCAGGTTTGAAACACTCTTTTTGTAGTATCTGGAAGTGGACATTTGGAGTGCTTTCAGGCCCATGTTGGAAAGGGAAATATCTTCCCGTAACAACTAAGCAGAAGCATTCTCAGAAACTTATTTGAGATGTGTGTACTCAACTAAGAGAATTGAACCACCGTTTTGAAGGAGCAGTTTTCGAACACTCTTTTTCTGGAATCTGCAAGAGTATATTTGCCTAGCCTTGAGGATTTCGTTGGAAACGGGATTGTCTTCAGATCAAATCTAGACAGAAGCATTCTCAGAAACTTCTTTGGGATGTTTGCATTCAAGTCAGAGAGTAGAACATTCCCTTTGGTAGAGCAGGTTTGAAACACTCTTTTTTTAGTATATGGAAGTGGACAATTTGAGCGCTTTCAGGCCTACGTTGGAAAAGGAAATATCTTCCCATAACAACTAGACAGAAGCATTCTCAGAAACTAGTTTCTGATGTGTGTCCTCAACTAACACAGTTGAACATTTCTTTTGACACAACAGTTTTGAAACACTCTTTTTGTGGATTCTGCAAGTGGATATTTGGCTAGAGTTGAGGATTTCGTTGGAAACGGGATTACATATAAAAAGCAGACAGCAGCATTCTCAGAAACTTCATTGTGATGATTGCATCCCAGTCACAGAATTGAACATTCCCTTTCATAGAGCAGGTTTGAAACACTCTTTTTGTAGTGTCTGTAAGTGGACATTTGGAGCGCTTTCCGGTCTCAGGTGAACAGGGAAATATCTTCCCATAAAAACTAGACAGAAGCATTCTCAGAAACTTACTCGTGATGTGTGTCCTCAACTAAAGGAGTAGAAACTTTCTTTTCATAGAGAAGTTTTGAAACGCTCTTTTTGTGGAATCTGCAAGCGGATATTTGACTAATTTTGAGGATTTCGTTGGAAGCGGGAATTCATACAAATTGCAGACTGCAGCGTTCTGAGAAACATCTTTGTGATGTTTGTATTCAGGACACAGAGTTGAACATTCCCTATCATAGAGCAGGTTTGAATCACTCCTTTTGTAGTATCTGGAAGTGGACATTTGGAGCGCTTTCAGGCCTATGTTGGAAAAGGAAATATCTTCCCATAACAACTAGACAGAAGCATTCTCAGAAACTTATTTGAGATGTGTGTACTCAACTAAGAGAATTGAACCACCGTTTTGAAGGAGCAGTTTTGAAACACTCTTTTTCTGGAATCTGCAAGTGGATATTTGGCTAGCTTTGGGGATTTCGCTGGAAGCGGGAATACATATAAAAAGCACACAGCAGCGTTCTGAGAAACTGCTTTCTGATGTTTGCATTCAAGTCAAAAGTTGAACACTCCCTTTCATAGAGCAGTCTTGAAACACCCCTTTTGTAGTATCTGGAACTGGACTTTTGGAGCGATTTCAGGGCTAAGGTGAAAAAGGAAATATCTTCCCATAAAAACTGGACAGAAGCATTCTCAGAAACTTGTTTATGCTGTATCTACTCAACTAACAAAGTTGAACCTTTCTTTTGATAGAGCAGTTTTGAAATGGTCTTTTTGTGGAATCTGCAAGTGGATATTTGGCTAGTTTTGAGGATTTCGTTGGAAGCGGGAATTCATACAAATTGCAGACTGCAGCGTTCTGAGAAACATCTTTGTGATGTTTGTATTCAGGACACAGAGTTGAACATTCCCTATCATAGAGCAGGTTTGAATCACTCCTTTTGTAGTATCTGGAAGTGGACATTTGGAGCGCTTTCAGGCCTATGTTGGAAAAGGAAATATCTTCCCATAACAACTAGACAGAAGCATTCTCAGAAACTTATTTGAGATGTGTGTACTCAACTAAGAGAATTGAACCACCGTTTTGAAGGAGCAGTTTTGAAACACTCTTTTTCTGGAATCTGCAAGTGGATATTTGGCTAGCTTTGGGGATTTCGCTGGAAGCGGGAATACATATAAAAAGCACACAGCAGCGTTCTGAGAAACTGCTTTCTGATGTTTGCATTCAAGTCAAAAGTTGAACACTCCCTTTCATAGAGCAGTCTTGAAACACCCCTTTTGTAGTATCTGGAACTGGACTTTTGGAGCGATTTCAGGGCTAAGGTGAAAAAGGAAATATCTTCCCATAAAAACTGGACAGAAGCATTCTCAGAAACTTGTTTATGCTGTATCTACTCAACTAACAAAGTTGAACCTTTCTTTTGATAGAGCAGTTTTGAAATGGTCTTTTTGTGGAATCTGCAAGTGGATATTTGGCTAGTTTTGAGGATTTCGTTGGAAGCGGGAATTCATACAAATTGCAGACTGCAGCGTTCTGAGAAACATCTTTGTGATGTTTGTATTCAGGACACAGAGTTGAACATTCCCTATCATAGAGCAGGTTTGAATCACTCCTTTTGTAGTATCTGGAAGTGGACATTTGGAGCGCTTTCAGGCCTATGTTGGAAAAGGAAATATCTTCCCATAACAACTAGACAGAAGCATTCTCAGAAACTTATTTGAGATGTGTGTACTCAACTAAGAGAATTGAACCACCGTTTTGAAGGAGCAGTTTTGAAACACTCTTTTTCTGGAATCTGCAAGTGGATATTTGGCTAGCTTTGGGGATTTCGCTGGAAGCGGGAATACATATAAAAAGCACACAGCAGCGTTCTGAGAAACTGCTTTCTGATGTTTGCATTCAAGTCAAAAGTTGAACACTCCCTTTCATAGAGCAGTCTTGAAACACCCCTTTTGTAGTATCTGGAACTGGACTTTTGGAGCGATTTCAGGGCTAAGGTGAAAAAGGAAATATCTTCCCATAAAAACTGGACAGAAGCATTCTCAGAAACTTGTTTATGCTGTATCTACTCAACTAACAAAGTTGAACCTTTCTTTTGATAGAGCAGTTTTGAAATGGTCTTTTTGTGGAATCTGCAAGTGGATATTTGGCTAGTTTTGAGGATTTCGTTGGAAGCGGGAATTCATACAAATTGCAGACTGCAGCGTTCTGAGAAACATCTTTGTGATGTTTGTATTCAGGACACAGAGTTGAACATTCCCTATCATAGAGCAGGTTGGAATCACTCCTTTTGTAGTATCTGGAAGTGGACATTTGGAGCGCTTTCAGGCCTATTTTGGAAAGGGAAATATCTTCCCGTAACAACTATGCAGAAGCATTCTCAGAAACTTGTTTGTGATGTGTGCCCTCTACTGACAGAGTTGAACCTTTCTTTTCATAGAGCAGTTTTGAAACACTCTTTTTGTAGAATCTGCAAGAGGATATTTGCATAGCTTTGAGGATTTCGTGGGAAACGGGATTGTCTTCAGGTAAAATCTAGACAGAAGCATTCTCAGAAAATTCTTCGGGATGTTTGCATTCAAGTCACAGAGTAGAACATTCCCTTTGGTAGAGCAGGTTTGAAACACTCTTTTTGTAGTATCTGGAAGTGGACATTTGGAGCGCTTTCAGGCCTATGTTGGAAAGGGAAATATCTTCCCGTAACAACTAGGCAGAAGCATTCTCAGAAACTTATTTGAGATGTGTGTACTCAACTAAGAGAATTGAACCACCGTTTTGAAGGAGCAGTTTTGAAACACTCTTTTTCTGGAATCTGCAAGAGGATATTTGCATAGATTTGAGGATTTCGTTGGAAACGGGATTGTCTTCAGATCCAATCTAGACAGAAGCATTCTCAGAAACTTCTTTGGGATGTTTGCATTCAAGTCACAGAGTAGAACATTCCTTTGGTAGAGCAGGTTTGAAACACTCTTTTTTTAGTATATGGAAGTGGACATTTGGAGCGCTTTCAGGCCTACGTTGGAAAAGGAAATATCTTCCCATAACAACTAGACAGAAGCATTCTCAGAAACTAGTTTCTGATGTGTGTCCTCAACTAACAGAGTTGAACATTTCTTTAGACAGAACAGTTTTGAAATACTCTTTTTGTGGAATCTGCAAGTGGATATTTGGCTAGATTTGAGGATTTCGTTGGAAACGGGATTACATATAAAAAGCAGACAGCAGCATTCTCAGAAACTTCTTTGTGATGATTGCATTCAAGTCACAGAATTGAACATTCCCTTTCACAGAGCAGGTTTGAAACACTCTTTTTGTAGTGTGTGTAAGTGGACATTTGGAGCGCTTTCCGGCCTAAGGTGAACAAGGAAATATCTTCCCATAAAAACTAGACAGAAGCATTCTCAGAAACTTACTCGTGATGTGTGTCCTCAACTAAAGGAGTAGAACCTTTCTTTTCATAGAGAAGTTTTGAAACGCTCTTTTTGTGGAATCTGCAAGTGGATATTTGGCTAGTTTTGAGGATTTCGTTGGAAGAGGGAATTCATACAAATTGCAGACTGCAGCGTTCTGAGAAACATCTTTGTGATGTTTGTATTCAGGACACAGAGTTGAACATTCCCTATCATAGAGCAGGTTGGGATCACTCCTTTTGTAGTATCTGGAAGTGGACATTTGGAGCGCTTTCAGGCCTATGTTGAAAAAGGAAAAATCTTCCCATAACAACTAGACAGAAGCATTCTCAGAAACTTGTTGGTGATGTGTTTCCTCTACTGACAGAAGTTGAACCTTTCTTTTCATAGAGCAGTTTCGAAACACTCTTTTTGTAGAATCTGCAAGAGGATATTTGCATAGCTCTGAGGATTTCGTGGGAAACGGGATTGTCTTCAGGTAAAACCTAGACAGAAGCATTCTCAGAAACTTCTTCGGGATGTTTGCATTCAAGTCACAGAGTAGAACATTCCCTTTGGTAGAGCAGGTTTGAAACACTCTTTTTGTCGTATCTGGAAGTGGACATTTGTTGCGCTTTCAGGCCTATGTTGGAAAGGGAAATATCTTCCCGTAACAACTAGGCAGAAGCATTCTCAGAAACTTATTTGAGATGTGTGTACTCAACTAAGGGAATTGAACCACCGTTTTGAAGGAGCAGTTTTGAAACACTCTTTTTCTGGAATCTGCAAGAGGATATTTGCCTAGCTTTGAGGATTTCGTTGGAAACGGGATTGTGTTCAGATCAAATCTAGACAGAAGCATTCTCAGAAACTTCTTTGGGATGTTTGCATTCAAGTCACAGAGTAGAACATTCCCTTTGGTAGAGCAGGTTTGAAACACTCTTTTTTTAGTATATGGAAGTGGACATTTGGAGCACTTTCAGGCCTACGTTGGAAAAGGAAATATCTTCCCATAACAACTAGACAGAGAGCATTCTCAGAAACTAGTTTCTGATGTGTGTCCTCAACTAACACAGTTGAACATTTCTTTAGACAGAACAGTTTTGAAACACTCTCTTTGTGGAATCTGCAAGTGGATATTTGGCTAGATTTGAGGATTTCATTGGAAACGGGATTACATATAAAAAGCAGACAGCAGCATTCTCAGAAAGTTCTTTGTGATGATTGCATTCAAGTCACAGAATTGAACATTCCCTTTCACAGAGCAGGTTTGAAACACTCTTTTTGTAGTGTGTGTAAGTGGACATTTGGAGCGCTTTCCGGCCTAAGGTGAAAAAGGACATATCTTCCCATAAAAACTAGACAGAAGCATTCTCAGAAACTTACTCGTGATGTGTTTCCTCAACTAAAGGAGTAGAACCTTTCTATTCATAGAGAAGTTTTGAAACGCTCTTTTTGTGGAATCTCCAAGTGGATATTTGGCTAGTTTTGAGGATTTCGTTGGAAGCGGGAATTCATCCAAATTGCAGACTGCAGCGTTCTGAGAAACATCTTTGTGATGTTTGTATTCAGGACACAGAGATGAACATTCCCTATCATAGAGCAGGTTGGAATCACTCCTTTTGTAGTATCTGGAAGTGGACATTTGGAGCGCTTTCAGGCCTATGTTGAAAAAGGAAATATCTTCCCATAACAACTAGACACAAGCATTCTCAGAAACTTGTTTGTGATGTGTGCCCTCTACTGACAGAGTTGAACCTTTCTTTTCATAGAGCAGTTTTGAAACACTCTTTTTGTAGAATCCGCAAGAGGATATTTGCATAGCTTTGAGGATTTCGTGGGAAACGGGATTGTCTTCAGGTAAAATCTAGACAGAAGCATTCTCAGAAACTTCTTTGGGATGTTTGCATTCAAGTCACAGAGTAGAACATTCCCTTTGGTAGAGCAGGTTTGAAACACTCTTTTTGTAGTATCTGGAAGTGGACATTTGGAGCGCTTTCAGGCCTATGTTGGAAAGGGAAATATCTTCCCGTAACAACTAGGCAGAAGCATTCTCAGAAACTTATTTGAGATGTGTGTACTGAACTAAGAGAATTGAACCACCGTTTTGAAGGAGCAGGTTTGAAACACTCTTTTTGTAGTATCTGGAAGTGGACATTTGGAGCGCTTTCAGGCCTATGTTGGAAAGGGAAATATCTTCCCGTAACAACTAGGCAGAAGCATTCTCAGAAACTTATTTGAGATGTGTGTACTCAACTAAGAGAATTGAACCACCGTTTTGAAGGAGCAGTTTTGAAACACTCTTTTTCTGGAATCTGCAAGAGTATATTTGCCTAGCCTTGAGGATTTCGTTGGAAACGGGATTGTCTTCAGAGAAAATCTAGACAGAAGCATTCTCAGAAACTTCTTTGGGATGTTTGCATTCAAGTCACAGAGTAGAACATTCCCTTTGGTAGAGCAGGTTTGAAACACTCTTTTTGTAGTATCTGGAAGTGGACATTTGGATCGCTTTCAGGCCTACGTTGGAAAAGGAAATATCTTCCCATAACAACTAGACAGAAGCATTCTCAGAAACTAGTTTCTGATGTGTGTCCTCAACTAACACAGTTGAACATTTCTTTAGACAGAACAGTTTTGAAACACTCTTTTTGTGGAATCTGCAAGTGGCTATTTGGCTAGATTTGAGGATTTCGTTGGAAACGGGATTACATATAAAAAGCAGTCAGCAGCATTCTCAGAAAGTTCTTTGTGATGATTGCATTCAAGTCACAGAATTGAACATTCCCTTTCACAGAGCAGGTTTGAAACACTCTTTTTGTAGTGTGTGTAAGTGGACATTTGGAGCACTTTCCGGCCTAAGGTGAAAAAGGACATATCTTCCCATAAAAAATAGACAGAAGCATTCTCAGAAACTTACTCGTGATGTGTGTCCTCAACTAAAGGAGTAGAACCTTTCTTTTCATAGAGAAGTTTTGAAACGCTCTTTTTGTGGAATCTGCAAGTGGATATTTGGCTAGTTTTGAGGATTTCGTTGGAAGCGGGAATTCATACAAATTGCAGACTGCAGCGTTCTGAGAAACATCTTTTTGATGTTTGTATTCAGGACACAGAGTTGAACATTCCCTATCATAGAGCAGGTTTGAATCACTCCTTTTGTAGTATCTGGAAGTGGACATTTGGAGCGCTTTCAGGCCTATGTTGGAAAAGGAAATATCTTCCCATAACAACTAGACAGAAGCATTCTCAGAAACCTATTTGAGATGTGTGTACTCAACTAGCAGAATTGAACCACCGTTTTGAAGGAGCAGTTTTGAAACACTCTTTTTCTGGAATCTGCAAGTGGATATTTGGCTAGATTTGGGGATTTCGCTGGAAGCGGGAATACATATAAAAAGCACACAGCAGCGTTCTGAGAAACTGCTTTCTGATGTTTGCATTCAAGTCAAAAGTTGAACACTCCCTTTCATAGAGCAGTCTTGAAACACCCCTTTTGTAGTATCTGGAACTGGACTTTTGGAGCGATTTCAGGGCTAAGGTGAAAAAGGAAATATCTTCCCATAAAAACTGGACAGAAGCATTCTCAGAAACTTGTTTATGCTGTATCTACTCAACTAACAAAGTTGAACCTTTCTTTTGATAGAGCAGTTTTGAAATGGTCTTTTTGTGGAATCTGCAAGTGGATATTTGGCTAGTTTTGAGGATTTCGTTGGAAGCGGGAATTCATACAAATTGCAGACTGCAGCGTTCTGAGAAACATCTTTGTGATGTTTGTATTCAGGACACAGACATGAACATTCCCTATCATAGAGCAGGTTGGAATCACTCCTTTTGTAGTATCTGGAAGTGGACATTTGGAGCGCTTTCAGGCCTATGTTGAAAAAGGAAATATCTTCCCATAACAACTAGACACAAGCATTCTCAGAAACTTGTTTGTGATGTGTGCCCTCTACTGACAGAGTTGAACCTTTCTTTTCATAGAGCAGTTTTGAAACACTCTTTTTGTAGAATCCGCAAGAGGATATTTGCATAGCTTTGAGGATTTCGTGGGAAACGGGATTGTCTTCAGGTAAAATCTAGACAGAAGCATTCTCAGAAACTTCTTTGGGATGTTTGCATTCAAGTCACAGAGTAGAACATTCCCTTTGGTAGAGTAGGTTTGAAACACTCTTTTTGTAGTATCTGGAAGTGGACATTTGGAGCGCTTTCAGGCCCATGTTGGAAAGGGAAATATCTTCCCGTAACAACTAGGCAGAAGCATTCTCAGAAACTTATTTGAGATGTGTGTACTCAACTAAGAGAATTGAACCACCGTTTTGAAGGAGCAGTTTGGAAACACTCTTTTTCTGGAATCTGCAAGAGGATATTTGCCTAGCTTTGAGGATTTCGTTGGAAAAGGGATTGTCTTCAGATCAAATCTAGACAGAAGCATTCTCAGAAACTTCTTTGGGATGTTTGCATTCAAGTCACAGCAGTAGAACATTCCCTTTGGTAGAGCAGGTTTGAAACACTCTTTTTGTAGTGTGTGTAAGTGGACATTTGGAGCGCTTTCTGGCCTACGTTGGAAAAGGAAATATCTTCCCATAACAACTAGACAGAAGCATTCTCAGAAACTAGTTTCTGATGTGTGTCCTCAACTAACACAGTTGAACATTTCTTTAGACAGAACAGTTTTGAAACACTCTTTTTGTGGAATCTGCAAGTGGATATTTGGCTAGATTTGAGGATTTCGTTGGAAACGGGATTACATATAAAAAGCAGACAGCAGCATTCTCAGAAACTTCTTTGTGATGATTGCATTCAAGTCACAGAATTGAACATTCCCTTTCACAGAGCAGGTTTGAAACACTCTTTTTGTAGTGTGTGTAAGTGGACATTTGGAGCGCTTTCCGGCCTAAGGTGAACAAGGAAATATCTTCCCATAAAAACTAGACAGAAGCATTCTCAGAAACTTACTCGTGATGTGTGTCCTCAACTAAAGGAGTAGAACCTTTCTTTTCATAGAGAAGTTTTGAAACGCTCTTTTTGTGGAATCTGCAAGTGGATATTTGGCTAGTTTGGAGGATTTCGTTGGAAGCGGGAATTCATACAAATTGCAGACTGCAGCGTTCTGAGAAACATCTTTGTGATGTTTGTATTCAGGACACAGAGTTGAACATTCCCTATCATAGAGCAGGTTGGAATCACTCCTTTTGTAGTATCTGGAAGTGGACATTTGGAGCGCTTTCAGGCCTATGTTGGAAAAGGAAATATCTTCCCATAACAACTAGACAGAAGCATTCTCAGAAACTTATTTGAGATGTGTGTACTCAACTAAGAGAATTGAACCACCGTTTTGAAGGAGCAGTTTTGAAACACTCTTTTTCTGGAATCTGCAAGTGGATATTTAGCTAGATATGAGGATTTCGTTGGAAACGGGATTATATACACAAAGCAGACAGCAGCGTTCTGAGAAACTGCTTTCTGATGTTTGCATTCAAGTCAAAAGTTGAACACTCCCTTTCATAGAGCAGTCTTGAAACACCCCTTTTGTAGTATCTGGAACTGGACTTTTGGAGCGATTTCAGGGCTAAGGTGAAAAAGGAAATATCTTCCCATAAAAACTGGACAGAAGCATTCTCAGAAACTTGTTTATGCTGTATCTACTCAACTAACAAAGTTGAACCTTTCTTTTGATAGAGCAGTTTTGAAATGGTCTTTTTGTGGAATCTGCAAGTGGATATTTGGCTAGTTTTGAGGATTTCGTTGGAAGCGGGAATTCATACAAATTGCAGACTGCAGCGTTCTGAGAAACATCTTTGTGATGTTTGTATTCAGGACAGAGAGTTGAACATTCCCTATCATAGAGCAGGTTGGAATCACTCCTTTTGTAGTATCTGGAAGTGGACATTTGGAGCGCTTTCAGGCCTATGTTGAAAAAGGAAATATCTTCCCATAACAACTAGACACAAGCATTCTCAGAAACTTGTTTGTGATGTGTGCCCTCTACTGACAGAGTTGAACCTTTCTTTTCATAGAGCAGTTTTGAAACACTCTTTTTGTAGAATCTGCAAGAGGATATTTGCATAGCTTTGAGGATTTCGTGGGAAACGGGATTGTCTTCAGGTAAAATCTAGACAGAAGCATTCTCAGAAACTTCTTTGGGATGTTTGCATTCAAGTCACAGAGCAGAACATTCCCTTTGGTAGAGCAGGTTTGAAACACTCTTTTTGTAGTATCTGGAAGTGGACATTTGGAGCGCTTTCAGGCCTATGTTGGAAAGGGAAATATCTTCCCGTAACAACTAGGCAGAAGCATTCTCAGAAACTTATTTGAGATGTGTGTACTCAACTAAGAGAATTGAACCACCGTTTTGAAGGAGCAGTTTTGAAACACTCTTTTTCTGGAATCTGCAAGAGGATATTTGCCTAGCCTTGAGGATTTCGTTGGAAACGGGATTGTCTTCAGAGAAAATCTAGACAGAAGCATTCTCAGAAACTTCTTTGGGATGTTTGCATTCAAGTCACAGAGTAGAACATTCCCTTTGGTAGAGCAGGTTTGAAACACTCTTTTTGTAGTGTGTGTAAGTGGACATTTGGAGCGCTTTCAGGCCTACGTTGGAAAAGGAAATATCTTCCCATAACAACTAGACAGAAGCATTCTCAGAAACTAGTTTCTGATGTGTGTCCTCAACTAACACAGTTGAACATTTCTTTAGACAGAACAGTTTTGAAACACTCTTTTTGTGGAATCTGCAAGTGGCTATTTGGCTAGATTTGAGGATTTCGTTGGAAACGGGATTACATATAAAAAGCAGACAGCAGCATTCTCAGAAACTTCTTTGTGATGATTGCATTCAAGTCACAGAATTGAACATTCCCTTTCACAGAGCAGGTTTGAAACACTCTTTTTGTAGTGTGTGTAAGTGGACATTTGGAGCGCTTTCCGGCCTAAGGTGAACAAGGAAATATCTTCCCATAAAAACTAGACAGAAGCATTCTCAGAAACTTACTCGTGATGTGTGTCCTCAACTAAAGGAGTAGAACCTTTCATTTCATAGAGAAGTTTTGAAACGCTCTTTTTGTGGAATCTGCAAGTGGATATTTGGCTAGTTTTGAGGATTTCGTTGGAAGAGGGAATTCATACAAATTGCAGACTGCAGCGTTCTGAGAAACATCTTTGTGATGTTTGTATTCAGGACACAGAGTTGAACATTCCCTATCATAGAGCAGGTTGGGATCACTCCTTTTGTAGTATCTGGAAGTGGACATTTGGAGCTCTTTCAGGCCTATGTTGAAAAAGGAAAAATCTTCCCATAACAACTAGACAGAAGCATTCTCAGAAACTTATTTGAGATGTGTGTACTCAACTAAGAGAATTGAACCACCGTTTTGAAGGAGCAGTTTTGAAACACTCTTTTTCTGGAATCTGCAAGTGGATATTTGGCTAGCTTTGGGGATTTCGCTGGAAGCGGGAATACATATAAAAAGCACACAGCAGCGTTCTGAGAAACTGCTTTCTGATGTTTGCATTCAAGTCAAAAGTTGAACACTCCCTTTCATAGAGCAGTCTTGAAACACCCCTTTTGTAGTATCTGGAACTGGACTTTTGGAGCGATTTCAGGGCTAAGGTGAAAAAGGAAATATCTTCCCATAAAAACTGGACAGAATCATTCTCAGAAACTTGTTTATGCTGTATCTACTCAACTAACATAGTTGAACCTTTCTTTTGATAGAGCAGTTTTGAAATGCTCTTTTTGTGGAATCTGCAAGTGGATATTTGGCTAGTTTGGAGGATTTCGTTGGAAGCGGGAATTCATACAAATTGCAGACTGCAGCGTTCTGAGAAACATCTTTGTGATGTTTGTATTCAGGACACAGAGTTGAACATTCCCTATCATAGAGCAGGTTTGAATCACTCCTTTTGTAGTATCTGGAAGTGGACATTTGGAGCGCTTTCAGGCCTATGTTGGAAAAGGAAATATCTTCCCATAACAACTAGACAGAAGCATTCTCAGAAACTTATTTGAGATGTGTGTACTCAACTAAGAGAATTGAACCACCGTTTTGAAGGAGCAGTTTTGAAACACTCTTTTTCTGGAATCTGCAAGTGGATATTTGGCTAGCTTTGGGGATTTCGCTGGAAGCGGGAATACATATAAAAAGCACACAGCAGCGTTCTGAGAAACTGCTTTCTGATGTTTGCATTCAAGTCAAAAGTTGAACACTCCCTTTCATAGAGCAGTCCTGAAACACCCCTTTTGTAGTATCTGGAACTGGACTTTTGGAGCGATTTCAGGGCTAAGGTGAAAAAGGAAATATCTTCCCATAAAAACTGGACAGAAGCATTCTCAGAAACTTGTTTATGCTGTATCTACTCAACTAACAAAGTTGAACCTTTCTTTTGATAGAGCAGTTTTGAAATGCTCTTTTTGTGGAATCTGCAAGTGGATATTTGGCTAGTTTTGAGGATTTCGTTGGAAGCGGGAATTCATACAAATTGCAGACTGCAGCGTTCTGAGAAACATCTTTGTGATGTTTGTATTCAGGACAGAGAGTTGAACATTCCCTATCATAGAGCAGGTTGGAATCACTCCTTTTGTAGTATCTGGAAGTGGACATTTGGAGCGCTTTCTGGCCTATGTTGAAAAAGGAAATATCTTCCCATAACAACTAGACACAAGCATTCTCAGAAACTTGTTTGTGATGTGTGCCCTCTACTGACAGAGTTGAACCTTTCTTTTCATAGAGCAGTTTTGAAACACTCTTTTTGTAGAATCTGCAAGAGGATTTTTGCATAGCTTTGAGGATTTCGTGGGAAACGGGATTGTCTTCAGGTAAAATCTAGACAGAAGCATTCTCAGAAACTTCTTTGGGATGTTTGCATTCAAGTCCCAGAGTAGAACATTCCCTTTGGTAGAGTAGGTTTGAAACACTCTTTTTGTAGTATCTGGAAGTGGACATTTGGAGCGCTTTCAGGCCTATGTTGGAAAGGGAAATATCTTCCCGTAACAACTAGGCAGAAGCATTCTCAGAAACTTATTTGAGATGTGTGTACTCAACTAAGAGAATTGAACCACCGTTTTGAAGGAGCAGTTTTGAAACACTCTTTTTCTCGAATCTGCAAGAGTATATTTGCCTAGCCTTGAGGATTTCGTTGGAAACGGGATTGTCTTCAGAGAAAATCTAGACAGAAGCATTCTCAGAAACTTCTTTGGGATGTTTGCATTCAAGTCACAGAGTAGAACATTCCCTTTGGTAGAGCAGGTTTGAAACACTCTTTTTTTAGTATATGGAAGTGGACATTTGGAGCGCTTTCAGGCCTACGTTGGAAAAGGAAATATCTTCCCATAACAACTAGACAGAAGCATTCTCAGAAACTAGTTTCTGATGTGTGTCCTCAACTAACACAGTTGAACATTTCTTTAGACAGAACAGTTTTGAAACACTCTTTTTGTGGAATCTGCAAGTGGCTATTTGGCTAGATTTGAGGATTTCGTTAGAAACGGGATTACATATAAAAAGCAGTCAGCAGCATTCTCAGAAAGTTCTTTGTGATGATTGCATTCAAGTCACAGAATTGAACATTCCCTTTCACAGAGCAGGTTTGAAACACTCTTTTTGTAGTGTGTGTAAGTGGACCTTTGGAGCACTTACCGGCCTAAGGTGAAAAGGGAAATATCTTCCCATAAAAACTAGACAGAAGCATTCTCAGAAACTTACTCGTGATGTGTGTCCTCAACTAAAGGAGTAGAACCTTTCTTTTCATAGAGAAGTTTTGAAACGCTCTTTTTGTGGAATCTGCAAGTGGATATTTGGCTAGTTTTGAGGATTTCGTTGGAAGCGGGAATTCATACAAATTGCAGACTGCAGCGTTCTGAGAAACATCTTTGTGATGTTTGTATTCAGGACACAGAGTTGAACATTCCCTATCATAGAGCAGGTTTGAATCACTCCTTTTGTAGTATCTGGAAGTGGACATTTGGAGCGCTTTCAGGCCTATGTTGGAAAAGGAAATATCTTCCCATAACAACTAGACAGAAGCATTCCCAGAAACTTATTTGAGATGTGTGTACTCAACTAAGAGAATTGAACCACCGTTTTGAAGGAGCAGTTTGGAAACACTCTTTTTCTGGAATCTGCAAGTGGATATTTGGCTAGCTTTGGGGATTTCGCTGGAAGCGGGAATACATATAAAAAGCACACAGCAGCGTTCTGAGAAACTGCTTTCTGATGTTTGCATTCAAGTCAAAAGTTGAACACTCCCTTTCATAGAGCAGTCTTGAAACACCCCTTTTGTAGTATCTGGAACTGGACTTTTGGAGCGATTTCAGGGCTAAGGTGAAAAAGGAAATATCTTCCCATAAAAACTGGACAGAAGCATTCTCAGAAACTTGGTTATGCTGTATCTACTCAACTAACAAAGTTGAACCTTTCTTTTGATAGAGCAGTTTTGAAATGGTCTTTTTGTGGAATCTGCAAGTGGATATTTGGCTAGTTTTGAGGATTTCGTTGGAAGCGGGAATTCATACAAATTGCAGACTGCAGCGTTCTGAGAAACATCTTTGTGATGTTTGTATTCAGGACAGAGAGTTGAACATTCCCTATCATAGAGCAGGTTGGAATCACTCCTTTTGTAGTATCTGGTAGTGGACATTTGGAGCGCTTTCAGGCCTATTTTGGAAAGGGAAATATCTTCCCGTAACAACTATGCAGAAGCATTCTCAGAAACTTGTTTGTGATGTGTGCCCTCTACTGACAGATTTGAACCTTTCTTTTCATAGAGCAGTTTTGAAACACTCTTTTTGTAGAATCTGCAAGAGGATATTTGCATAGCTTTGAGGATTTCGTGGGAAACGGGATTGTCTTCAGGTTAAATCTGGACAGAAGCATTCTCAGAAACTTCTTTGGGATGTTTGCATTCAAGTCACAGAGTAGAACATTCCCTTTGGTAGAGCAGGTTTGAAACACTCTTTTTGTAGTATCTGGAAGTGGACATTTGGAGCGCTTTCAGGCCTATGTTGGAAAGGGAAATATCTTCCCGTAACAACTAGGCAGAAGCATTCTCAGAAACTTATTTGAGATGTGTGTACTCAACTAAGAGAATTGAACCACCGTTTTGAAGGAGCAGTTTTGAAACACTCTTTTTCTGGAATCTGCAAGAGGATATTTGCCTAGCCTTGAGGATTTCGTTGGAAACGGGATTGTCTTCAGATCAAATCTAGACAGAAGCATTCTCAGAAACTTCTTTGGGATGTTTGCATTCAAGTCACAGAGTAGAACATTCCCTTTGGTAGAGCAGGTTTGAAACACTCTTTTTTTAGTATATGGAAGTGGACATTTGGAGCGCTTTCAGGCCTACGTTGGAAAAGGAAATATCTTCCCATAACAACTAGACAGAAGCATTCTCAGAAACTAGTTTCTGATGTGTGTCCTCAACTAACACAGTTGAACATTTCTTTAGACAGAACAGTTTTGAAACACTCTTTTTGTGGAATCTGCAAGTGGCTATTTGGCTAGATTTGAGGATTTCGTTGGAAACGGGATTACATATAAAAAGCAGTCAGCAGCATTCTCAGAAAGTTCTTTGTGATGATTGCATTCAAGTCACAGAATTGAACATTCCCTTTCACAGAGCAGGTTTGAAACACTCTTTTTGTAGTGTGTGTAAGTGGATATTTGGAACCCTTACCGGCCTAAGGTGAAAAAGGAAATATCTTCCCATAAAAACTAGACAGAAGCATTCTCAGAAACTTACTCGTGATGTGTGTCCTCAACTAAAGGAGTAGAACCTTTCTTTTCATAGAGAAGTTTTGAAACGCTCTTTTTGTGGAATCTGCAAGTGGATATTTGGCTAGTTTTGAGGATTTCGTTGGAAGCGGGAATTCATACAAATTGCAGACTGCAGCATTCTCAGAAACTTGTTTATGCTGTATCTACTCAACTAACAAAGTTGAACCTTTCTTTTGATAGAGCAGTTTTGAAATGCTCTTTTTGTGGAATCTGCAAGTGGATATTTGGCTAGTTTTGAGGATTTCGTTGGAAGCGGGAATTCATACAAATTGCAGACTGCAGCGTTCTGAGAAACATCTTTGTGATGTTTGTATTCAGGACAGAGAGTTGAACATTCCCTATCATAGAGCAGGTTGGAATCACTCCTTTTGTAGTATCTGGAAGTGGACATTTGGAGCGCTTTCAGGCCTATGTTGAAAAAGGAAATATCTTCCCATAACAACTAGACACAAGCATTCTCAGAAACTTGTTTGTGATGTGTGCCCTCTACTGACAGAGTTGAACCTTTCTTTTCATAGAGCAGTTTTGAAACACTCTTTTTGTAGAATCTGCAAGAGGATATTTGCATAGCTTTGAGGATTTCGTGGGAAACGGGATTGTCTTCAGGTAAAATCTAGACAGAAGCATTCTCAGAAACATCTTTGGGATGTTTGCATTCAAGTCACAGAGTAGAACATTCCCTTTGGTAGAGCAGGTTTGAAACACTCTTTTTGTAGTATCTGGAAGTGGACATTTGGAGCGCTTTCAGGCCTATGTTGGAAAGGGAAATATCTTCCCGTAACAACTAGGCAGAAGCATTCTCAGAAACTTATTTGAGATGTGTGTACTCAACTAAGAGAATTGAACCACCGTTTTGAAGGAGCAGTTTTGAAACACTCTTTTTCTGGAATCTGCAAGAGGATATTTGCCTAGCCTTGAGGATTTCGTTGGAAACGGGATTGTCTTCAGATCAAATCTAGACAGAAGCATTCTCAGAAACTTCTTTGGGATGTTTGCATTCAAGTCACAGAGTAGAACATTCCCTTTGGTAGAGCAGGTTTGAAACACTCTTTTTTTAGTATATGGAAGTGGACATTTTGATCGCTTTCAGGCCTACGTTGGAAAAGGAAATATCTTCCCATAACAACTAGACAGAAGCATTCTCAGAAACTAGTTTCTGATGTGTGTCCTCAACTAACACAGTTGAACATTTCTTTAGACAGAACAGTTTTGAAACACTCTTTTTGTGGAATCTGCAAGTGGCTATTTGGCTAGATTTGAGGATTTCGTTGGAAACGGGATTACATATAAAAAGCAGTCAGCAGCATTCTCAGAAAGTTCTTTGTGATGATGGCATTCAAGTCACAGAATTGAACATTCCCTTTCACAGAGCAGGTTTGAAACACTCTTTTTGTAGTGTGTGTAAGTGGACATTTGGAGCACTTACCGGCCTAAGGTGAAAAAGGAAATATCTTCCCATAAAAACTAGACAGAAGCATTCTCAGAAACTTACTCGTGATGTGTGTCCTCAACTAAAGGAGTAGAACCTTTCTTTTCATAGAGAAGTTTTGAAACGCTCTTTTTGTGGAATCTGCAAGTGGATATTTGGCTAGTTTTGAGGATTTCGTTGGAAGCGGGAATTCATACAAATTGCAGACTGCAGCGTTCTGAGAAACATCTTTGTGATGTTTGTATTCAGGACACAGAGTTGAACATTCCCTATCATAGAGCAGGTTGGAATCACTCCTTTTGTAGTATCTGGAAGTGGACATTTGGAGCGCTTTCAGGCCTATGTTGGAAAAGGAAATATCTTCCCATAACAACTAGACAGAAGCATTCTCAGAAACTTATTTGAGATGTGTGTACTCAACTAAGAGAATTGAACCACCGTTTTGAAGGAGCAGTTTTGAAACACTCTTTTTCTGGAATCTGCAAGTGGATATTTGGCTAGCTTTGGGGATTTCGCTGGAAGCGGGAATACATATAAAAAGCACACAGCAGCGTTCTGAGAAACTGCTTTCTGATGTTTGCATTCAAGTCAAAAGTTGAACACTCCCTTTCATAGAGCAGTCTTGAAACACCCCTTTTGTAGTATCTGGAACTGGACTTTTGGAGCGATTTCAGGGCTAAGGTGAAAAAGGAAATATCTTCCCATAAAAACTGGACAGAAGCATTCTCAGAAACTTGTTTATGCTGTATCTACTCAACTAACAAAGTTGAACCTTTATTTTGATAGAGCAGTTTTGAAATGGTCTTTTTGTGGAATCTGCAAGTGGATATTTGGCTAGTTTTGAGGATTTCGTTGGAAGCGGGAATTCATACAAATTGCAGACTGCAGCGTTCTGAGAAACATCTTTGTGATGTTTGTATTCAGGACACAGAGTTGAACATTCCCTATCATAGAGCAGGTTGGAATCACTCCTTTTGTAGTATCTGGAAGTGGACATTTGGAGCGCTTTCAGGCCTATTTTGGAAAGGGAAATATCTTCCCGTAACAACTATGCAGAAGCATTCTCAGAAACTTGTTTGTGATGTGTGCCCTCTACTGACAGAGTTGAACCTTTCTTTTCATAGAGCAGTTTTGAAACACTCTTTTTGTAGAATCTGCAAGAGGATATTTGCATAGCTTTGAGGATTTCGTGGGAAACGGGATTGTCTTCAGGTAAAATCTAGACAGAAGCATTCTCAGAAACTTCTTTGGGATGTTTGCATTCAAGTCACAGAGTAGAACATTCCCTTTGGTAGAGCAGGTTTGAAACACTCTTTTTGTAGTATCTGGAAGTGGACATTTGGAGCGCTTTCAGGCCCATGTTGGAAAGGGAAATATCTTCCCGTAACAACTAGGCAGAAGCATTCTCAGAAACTTATTTGAGATGTGTGTACTCAACTAAGAGAATTGAACCACCGTTTTGAAGGAGCAGTTTTGAAACACTCTTTTTCTGGAATCTGCAAGAGGATATTTGCCTAGCCTTGAGGATTTCGTTGGAAACGGGATTGTCTTCAGATCAAATCTAGACAGAAGCATTCTCAGAAACTTCTTTGGGATGTTTGCATTCAAGTCACAGAGTAGAACATTCCCTTTGGTAGAGCAGGTTTGAAACACTCTTTTTTTAGTATATGGAAGTGGACATTTGGAGCGCTTTCAGGCCTACGTTGGAAAAGGAAATATCTTCCCATAACAACTAGACAGAAGCATTCTCAGAAACTAGTTTCTGATGTGTGTCCTCAACTAACACAGTTGAACATTTCTTTAGACAGAACAGTTTTGAAACTCTCTTTTTGTGGAATCTGCAAGTGGCTATTTGGCTAGATTTGAGGATTTCGTTGGAAACGGGATTACATATAAAAAGCAGACAGCAGCATTCTCAGAAAGTTCTTTGTGATGATTGCATTCAAGTCACAGAATTGAACATTCCCTTTCACAGAGCAGGCTTGAAACACTCTTTTTGTAGTGTGTGTAAGTGGACATTTGGAGCACTTTCCGGCCTAAGGTGAGAAAGGAAATATCTTCCCATAAAAACTAGACAGAAGCATTCTCAGAAACTTACTCGTGATGTGTGTCCTCAACTAAAGGAGTAGAACCTTTCTTTTCATAGAGAAGTTTTGAAACGCTCTTTTTGTGGAATCTGCAAGTGGATATTTGGCTAGTTTTGAGGATTTCGTTGGAAGCGGGAATTCATACAAACTGCAGACTGCAGCGTTCTGAGAAACTGCTTTCTGATGTTTGCATTCAAGTCAAAAGTTGAACACTCCCTTTCATAGAGCAGTCCTGAAACACTCCTTTTGTAGTATCTGGAACTGGACTTTTGGAGCGCTTTCAGGGCTAAGGTGAAAAAGGAAATATCTTCCCATAAAAACTGGACAGAAGCATTCTCAGAAACTTTTTTATGCTGTATCTACTCAACTAACAAAGTTGAACCTTTCTTTTGATAGAGCAGTTTTGAAATGCTCTTTTTGTGGAATCTGCAAGTGGATATTTGGCTAGTTTTGAGGATTTCGTTGGAAGCGGGAATTCATACAAATTGCAGACTGCAGCGTTCTGAGAAACATCTTTGTGATGTTTGTATTCAGGACAGAGAGTTGAACATTCCCTATCATAGAGCAGGTTGGAATCACTCCTTTTGTAGTATCTGGAAGTGGACATTTGGAGCGCTTTCTGGCCTATGTTGAAAAAGGAAATATCTTCCCATAACAACTAGACACAAGCATTCTCAGAAACTTGTTTGTGATGTGTGCCCTCTACTGACAGAGTTGAACCTTTCTTTTCATAGAGCAGTTTTGAAACACTCTTTTTGTAGAATCTGCAAGAGGATATTTGCATAGCTTTGAGGATTTCGTGGGAAACGGGATTGTCTTCAGGTAAAATCTAGACAGAAGCATTCTCAGAAACTTCTTTGGGATGTTTGCATTCAAGTCACAGAGTAGAACATTCCCTTTGGTAGAGCAGGTTTGAAACACTCTTTTTGTAGTATCTGGAAGTGGACATTTGGAGCGCTTTCAGGCCTATGTTGGAAAGGGAAATATCTTCCCGTAACAACTAGGCAGAAGCATTCTCAGAAACTTATTTGAGATGTGTGTACTCAACCTAAGAGAATTGAACCACCGTTTTGAAGGAGCAGTTTTGAAACACTCTTTTTCTGGAATCTGCAAGAGTATATTTGCCTAGCCTTGAGGATTTCGTTGGAAACGGGATTGTCTTCAGAGAAAATCTAGACAGAAGCATTCTCAGAAACTTCTTTGGGATGCTTGCATTCAAGTCACAGAGTAGAACATTCCCTTTGGTAGAGCAGGTTTGAAACACTCTTTTTGTAGTATCTGGAAGTGGACATTTGGAGCGCTTTCAGGCCTACGTTGGAAAAGGAAATATCTTCCCATAACAACTAGACAGAAGCATTCTCAGAAACTAGTTTCTGATGTGTGTCCTCAACTAACACAGTTGAACATTTCTTTAGACAGAACAGTTTTGAAACACTCTTTTTGTGGAATCTGCAAGTGGCTATTTGGCTAGATTTGAGGATTTCGTTGGAAACGGGATTACATATAAAAAGCAGTCAGCAGCATTCTCAGAAAGTTCTTTGTGATGATTGCATTCAAGTCACAGAATTGAACATTCCCTTTCACAGAGCAGGTTTGAAACACTCTTTTTGTAGTGTGTGTAAGTGGACATTTGGAGCACTTACCGGCCTAAGGTGAAAAAGGAAATATCTTCCCATAAAAACTAGACAGAAGCATTCTCAGAAACTTACTCGTGATGTGTGTCCTCAACTAAAGGTGTAGAACCTTTCTTTTCATAGAGAAGTTTTGAAACGCTCTTTTTGTGGAATCTGCAAGTGGATATTTGGCTAGTTTTGAGGATTTCGTTGGAAGCGGGAATTCATACAAATTGCAGACTGCAGCGTTCTGAGAAATATCTTTGTGATGTTTGTATTCAGGACACAGAGTTGAACATTCCCTATCATAGAGCAGGTTGGAATCACTCCTTTTGTAGTATCTGGAAGTGGACATTTGGAGCGCTTTCAGGCCTATGTTGAAAAAGGAAATATCTTCCCATAACAACTAGACACAAGCATTCTCAGAAACTTATTTGAGATGTGTGTACTCAACTAAGAGAATTGAACCACCGTTTTGAAGGAGCAGTTTTGAAACTCTCTTTTTCTGGAATCTGCAAGTGGATATTTGGCTAGCTTTGGGGATTTCGCTGGAAGCGGGAATACATATAAAAAGCACACAGCAGCGTTCTGAGAAACTGCTTTCTGATGTTTGCATTCAAGTCAAAAGTTGAACACTCCCTTTCATAGAGCAGTCTTGAAACACCCCTTTTGTAGTATCTGGAACTGGACTTTTGGAGCGATTTCAGGGCTAAGGTGAAAAAGGAAATATCTTCCCATAAAAACTGGACAGAAGCATTCTCAGAAACTTGTTTATGCTGTATCTACTCAACTAACAAAGTTGAACCTTTCTTTTGATAGAGCAGTTTTGAAATGGTCTTTTTGTGGAATCTGCAAGTGGATATTTGGCTAGTTTTGAGGATTTCGTTGGAAGCGGGAATTCATACAAATTGCAGACTGCAGCGTTCTGAGAAACATCTTTGTGATGTTTGTATTCAGGACACAGAGTTGAACATTCCCTATCATAGAGCAGGTTTGAATCACTCCTTTTGTAGTATCTGGAAGTGGACATTTGGAGCGCTTTCAGGCCTATGTTGGAAAAGGAAATATCTTCCCATAACAACTAGACAGAAGCATTCTCAGAAACTTATTTGAGATGTGTGTACTCAACTTAGAGAATTGAACCACCGTTTTGAAGGAGCAGTTTTGAAACACTCTTTTTCTGGAATCTGCAAGTGGATATTTGGCTAGCTTTGGGGATTTCGCTGGAAGCGGGAATACATATAAAAAGCACACAGCAGCGTTCTGAGAAACTGCTTTCTGATGTTTGCATTCAAGTCAAAAGTTGAACACTCCCTTTCATAGAGCAGTCCTGAAACACTCCTTTTGTAGTATCTGGAACTGGACTTTTGGAGCGCTTTCAGGGCTAAGGTGAAAAAGGAAATATCTTCCCATAAAAACTGGACAGAAGCATTCTCAGAAACTTGTTTATGCTGTATCTACTCAACTAACAAAGTTGAACCTTTCTTTTGATAGAGCAGTTTTGAAATGCTCTTTTTGTGGAATCTGCAAGTGGATATTTGGCTAGTTTTGAGGATTTCGTTGGAAGCGGGAATTCATACAAATTGCAGACTGCAGCGTTCTGAGAAACATCTTTGTGATGTTTGTATTCAGGACACAGAGTTGAACATTCCCTATCATAGAGCAGGTTGGAATCACTCCTTTTGTAGTATCTGGAAGTGGACATTTGGAGCGCTTTCAGGCCTATGTTGAAAAAGGAAATATCTTCCCATAACAACTAGACACAAGCATTCTCAGAAACTTGTTTGTGATGTGTGCCCTCTACTGACAGAGTTGAACCTTTCTTTTCATAGAGCAGTTTTGAAACACTCTTTTTGTAGAATCTGCAAGAGGATATTTGCATAGCTTTGAGGATTTCGTGGGAAACGGGATTGTCTTCAGGTAAAATCTAGACAGAAGCATTCTCAGAAACTTCTTTGGGATGTTTGCATTCAAGTCACAGAGTAGAACATTCCCTTTGGTAGAGCAGGTTTGAAACACTCTTTTTGTAGTATCTGGAAGTGGACATTTGGAGCGCTTTCAGGCCCATGTTGGAAAAGGAAATATCTTCCCGTAACAACTAGGCAGAAGCATTCTCAGAAACTTATTTGAGATGTGTGTACTCAACTAAGAGAATTGAACCACCGTTTTGAAGGAGCAGTTTTGAAACACTCTTTTTCTGGAATCTGCAAGAGTATATTTGCCTAGCCTTGAGGATTTCGTTGGAAACGGGATTGTCTTCAGAGAAAATCTAGACAGAAGCATTCTCAGAAACTTCTTTGGGATGTTTGCATTCAAGTCACAGAGTAGAACATTCCCTTTGGTAGAGCAGGTTTGAAACACTCTTTTTTTAGTATATGGAAGTGGACATTTTGATCGCTTTGAGGCCTACGTTGGAAAAGGAAATATCTTCCCATAACAACTAGACAGAAGCATTCTCAGAAACTAGTTTCTGATGTGTGTCCTCAACTAACACAGTTGAACATTTCTTTAGACAGAACAGTTTTGAAACACTCTTTTTGTGGAATCTGCAAGTGGCTATTTGGCTAGATTTGAGGATTTCGTTGGAAACGGGATTCCATATAAAAAGCAGTCAGCAGCATTCTCAGAAAGTTCTTTGTGATGATTGCATTCAAGTCACAGAATTGAACATTCCCTTTCACAGAGCAGGTTTGAAACACTCTTTTTGTAGTGTGTGTAAGTGGACATTTGGAGCGCTTTCCGGCCTAAGGTGAAAAAGGAAATATCTTCCCATAAAAACTAGACAGAAGCATTCTCAGAAACTTACTCGTGATGTGTGTCCTCAACTAAAGGAGTAGAACCTTTCTATTCATAGAGAAGTTTTGAAACGCTCTTTTTGTGGAATCTCCAAGTGGATATTTGGCTAGTTTTGAGGATTTCGTTGGAAGCAGGAATTCATACAAATTGCAGACTGCAGCGTTCTGAGAAACATCTTTGTGATGTTTGTATTCAGGACACAGAGTTTGAACATTCCCTATCATAGAGCAGGTTGGAATCACTCCTTTTGTAGTATCTGGAAGTGGACATTTGGAGCGCTTTCCGGCCTCAGGTGAAAAAGGAAATATCTTCCCATAAAAACTAGGCAGAAAGCATTCTCAGCAAACTTATTTGAGATGTGTGTACTCAACTAAGGAGAATTGAACCACCGTTTTGAAGGAGCAGTTTTGAAACTCTCTTTTTCTGGAATCTGCAAGTGGATATTTGGCTAGCTTTGGGGATTTCGCTGGAAGCGGGAATACATATAAAAAGCACACAGCAGCGTTCTGAGAAACTGCTTTCTGATGTTTGCATTCAAGTCAAAAGTTGAACACTCCCTTTCATAGAGCAGTCCTGAAACACCCCTTTTGTAGTATCTGGAACTGGACTTTTGGAGCGATTTCAGGGCTAAGGTGAAAAAGGAAATATCTTCCCATAAAAACTGGACAGAAGCATTCTCAGAAACTTGTTTATGCTGTATCTACTCAACTAACAAAGTTGAACCTTTCTTTTGATAGAGCAGTTTTGAAATGCTCTTTTTGTGGAATCTGCAAGTGGATATTTGGCTAGTTTTGAGGATTTCGTTGGAAGCGGGAATTCATACAAATTGCAGACCGCAGCGTTCTGAGAAACATCTTTGTGATGTTTGTATTCAGGACAGAGAGTTGAACATTCCCTATCATAGAGCAGGTTGGAATCACTCCTTTTGTAGTATCTGGAAGTGGACATTTGGAGCGCTTTCAGGCCTATGTTGAAAAAGGAAATATCTTCCCATAACAACTAGACACAAGCATTCTCAGAAACTTGTTTGTGATGTGTGCCCTCTACTGACAGAGTTGAACCTTTCTTTTCATAGAGCAGTTTTGAAACACTCTTTTTGTAGAATCTGCAAGAGGATATTTGCATAGCTTTGAGGATTTCGTGGGAAACGGGATTGTCTTCAGGTAAAATCTAGACAGAAGCATTCTCAGAAACTTCTTTGGGATGTTTGCATTCAAGTCACAGAGTAGAACATTCCCTTTGGTAGAGGAGGTTTGAAACACTCTTTTTGTAGTATCTGGAAGTGGACATTTGGAGCGCTTTCAGGCCTATGTTGGAAAGGGAAATATCTTCCCGTAACAACTAGGCAGAAGCATTCTCAGAAACTTATTTGAGATGTGTGTACTCAACTAAGAGAATTGAACCACCGTTTTGAAGGAGCAGTTTTGAAACACTCTTTTTCTGGAATCTGCAAGAGTATATTTGCCTAGCCTTGAGGATTTCGTTGGAAACGGGATTGTCTTCAGAGAAAATCTAGACAGAAGCATTCTCAGAAACTTCTTTGGGATGTTTGCATTCAAGTCACAGAGTAGAACATTCCCTTTGGTAGAGCAGGTTTGAAACACTCTTTTTTTAGTATATGGAAGTGGACATTTGGATCGCTTTCAGGCCTACGTTGGAAAAGGAAATATCTTCCCATAACAACTAGACAGAAGCATTCTCAGAAACTAGTTTCTGATGTGTGTCCTCAACTAACACAGTTGAACATTTCTTTAGACAGAACAGTTTTGAAACACTCTTTTTGTGGAATCTGCAAGTGGCTATTTGGCTAGATTTGAGGATTTCGTTGGAAACGGGATTACATATAAAAAGCAGTCAGCAGCATTCTCAGAAAGTTCTTTGTGATGATTGCATTCAAGTCACAGAATTGAACATTCCCTTTCACAGAGCAGGTTTGAAACACTCTTTTTGTAGTGTGTGTAAGTGGACATTTGGAGCACTTACCGGCCTAAGGTGAAAAAGGAAATATCTTCCCATAAAAACTAGACAGAAGCATTCTCAGAAACTTACTCGTGATGTGTGTCCTCAACTAAAGGAGTAGAACCTTTCTTTTCATAGAGAAGTTTTGAAACGCTCTTTTTGTGGAATCTGCAAGTGGATATTTGGCTAGTTTTGAGGATTTCGTTGGAAGCGGGAATTCATACAAATTGCAGACTGCAGCGTTCTGAGAAACTGCTTTCTGATGTTTGCATTCAAGTCAAAAGTTGAACACTCCCTTTCATAGAGCAGTCCTGAAACACTCCTTTTGTAGTATCTGGAACTGGACTTTTGGAGCGCTTTCAGTGCTAAGGTGAAAAAGGAAATATCTTCCCATAAAAACTGGACAGAAGCATTCTCAGAAACTTATTTGAGATGTGTGTACTCAACTAAGAGAATTGAACCACCGTTTTGAAGGAGCAGTTTTGAAACACTCTTTTTCTGGAATCTGCAAGTGGATATTTGCCTAGCTTTGGGGATTTCGCTGGAAGCGGGAATACATATAAAAAGCACACAGCAGCGTTCTGAGAAACTGCTTTCTGATGTTTGCATTCAAGTCAAAAGTTGAACACTCCCTTTCATAGAGCAGTCTTGAAACACCCCTTTTGTAGTATCTGGAACTGGACTTTTGGAGCGATTTCAGGGCTAAGGTGAAAAAGGAAATATCTTCCCATAAAAACTGGACAGAAGCATTCTCAGAAACTTGTTTATGCTGTATCTGCTCAACTAACAAAGTTGAACCTTTCTTTTGATAGAGCAGTTTTGAAATGCTCTTTTTGTGGAATCTGCAAGTGGATATTTGGCTAGTTTTGAGGATTTCGTTGGAAGCGGGAATTCATACAAATTGCAGACTGCAGCGTTCTGAGAAACATCTTTGTGATGTTTGTATTCAGGACACAGAGTTGAACATTCCCTATCATAGAGCAGGTTGGGATCACTCCTTTTGTAGTATCTGGAAGTGGACATTTGGAGCGCTTTCAGGCCTATGTTGAAAAAGGAAAAATCTTCCCATAACAACTAGACAGAAGCATTCTCAGAAACTTGTTGGTGATGTGTTTCCTCTACTGACAGAGTTGAACCTTTCTTTTCATAGAGCAGTTTCGAAACACTCTTTTTGTAGAATCTGCAAGAGGATATTTGCCTAGCTTTGAGGATTTCGTTGGAAAAGGGATTGTCTTCAGATCAAATCTAGACAGAAGCATTCTCAGAAACTTCTTTGGGATGTTTGCATTCAAGTCACAGAGTAGAACATTCCCTTTGGTAGAGCAGGTTTGAAACACTCTTTTTGTAGTATCTGGAAGTGGACATTTGGAGCGCTTTCAGGCCCATGTTGGAAAGGGAAATATCTTCCCGTAACAACTAGGCAGAAGCATTCTCAGAAACTTATTTGAGATGTGTGTACTCAACTAAGAGAATTGAACCACCGTTTTGAAGGAGCAGTTTTGAAACACTCTTTTTCTGGAATCTGCAAGAGTATATTTGCCTAGCCTTGAGGATTTCGTTGGAAACGGGATTGTCTTCAGAGAAAATCTAGACAGAAGCATTCTCAGAAACTTCTTTGGGATGCTTGCATTCCAGTCACAGAGTAGAACATTCCCTTTGGTAGAGCAGGTTTGAAACACTCTTTTTTTAGTATCTGGAAGTGGACATTTGGAGCGCTTTCAGGCCTACGTTGGAAAAGGAAATATCTTCCCATAACAACTAGACAGAAGCATTCTCAGAAACTAGTTTCTGATGTGTGTCCTCAACTAACACAGTTGAACATTTCTTTAGACAGAACAGTTTTGAAACACTCTTTTTGTGGAATCTGCAAGTGGCTATTTGGCTAGATTTGAGGATTTCGTTGGAAACGGGATTACATATAAAAAGCAGTCAGCGGCATTCTCAGAAAGTTCTTTGTGATGATTGCATTCAAGTCACAGAATTGAACATTCCCTTTCACAGAGCAGGTTTGAAACACTCTTTTTGTAGTGTGTGTAAGTGGACATTTGGAGCACTTACCGGCCTAAGGTGAAAAAGGAAATAATCTTCCCATAAAAACTAGACAGAAGCATTCTCAGAAACTTACTCGTGATGTGTGTCCT